>NC_000011.10:79540544-79843574 GCF_000001405.40 Homo sapiens
TGGGAGTGTTACTGCATAACTTTAAAGTGCCTGCATGAGGTTTGACCAGTTTGTTTGGGATGGTCTGGCTTAAAATATAAGGCTTGACATGGACTTAACTTGGCTGCCTTTGAAGATTCCTCAAAGCAACTGACAGTCACCCTCCAGGAAAACCCCATTCCCATGCTGCCTGTGTGGGAAAGGTATGTCAGACATCTGAAGACACCTTGTACAGAGAAAACAAACAGTAGTTTATAATATTAGGGCCAAATAGAAATGCCCAAGGGCAGACCCTAATTTGTGATGGAGTGGTTTCTCACATGGGTGACCCTCTATACCTGTCTTCCAGGTGAGCAGCAGCTGGGAGTTGCTTATTTAACTGTGGCTAATGATCTTCAGCCTAACCCTGGGGAGACCAGCTGGTGCTGCAGAAAAACCAGCCCTCGGGGATTACTTACTCTATGCAGAATACTTTGTGAACCACGTTACATCATCTCATTTAATGCTCAGAATCATAATCACCCACATCTGACTGAGGTTTAGACTCAAACAACTTGGCTCAGGGCACAGGACTTTGACTTTGACAAACTGGGACTTTGAATTTGGAGCCTGAATTCTGAACCATGAACTTCACTAGTTGAATGTTCCCCATTTCTCTGAAGGGAGAGAATTGCCAAAAACTGGCCAGTAGGTGTCTTGGTTAAAGGCCTAACTGCCCCGTCCACACATCTCATGGTCTAGGATGAGTGAAGGGCTTCTGCTAGCAAGTTGTATTTAGCATGTTGAATTTAGCCTGGCATGGTGGCACATGCCTGTAGTCCCATTTTTTGGGGTAGGGGGACAAGTAGATGGCTTGAGCCCAGGAGTTTGAGGTTGTAGTGAGCTATGATTGTACCACTGCACTCCAGCCTGGGTGACAAAGCAAGACCCTGTCTCTAAACACAAACAAACAAACAAACAAATAAACAAAAAACCGAAGTATGTTGTGTGCCTTTTTCTTTAGCACACACTTCACTCTGGTCTACATTCTAGTTGATTTTATACATAACCCAAGAGCCAGTTGCCGTTCTCTGTCTTTGACATTCAAAATAAGTTGGCTCGAGCCCCATCCATGGCAATGGCAGCCCCATATCCCTTCCAGCTCCCTGATGACTTTAAGTGTGTGTGTGACAGACAGAAGAGAGAATGTGGATTTCTCAGTCTTTTCTGCTGCCAAGGTTCTGTTTCTGCTTAATAAGTTCAGTGAATAGATCACGTAAACCAAAAATAAAATTCTAAGCCCCCTGACTGAGGGACCCTCCCCTTGGCTGGGGGCATTCCAAATTATCCTGACAAACTAGTTCAAGCTATGATGGGAAGTGGGGGTCAGATATGCGTCATAAACATCAACATAGAGACCTTAAGTCTGATAGAACAGACTTTTTAAGTCTGATAAGAAACATTCACAATCTATTCTCTCTGAAGCCTGCTACCTGGAGGTTTCATCTGAATAATAAAACCTTGGTCTCCACAATTCCTTATCGTAATGCAGACATTCCTTTCTATTTGATCCTAGGTCTTTAGATAATAACTCTTTCCACCAAATGCCAATGAGAAAAATCTTTAAATCTACCTATGACTTGGAAGCCCCTGCTTCAAGTTGTCCCACCTTACCAGACCAAACCAGTGTACATCTTTCATGTATTGATTGATGTCTCATGTCTCCCTGAAGTGTATAAAACCAGCTGTACCCCCACCACTTTGGGCACATCTCATCAGGACCTCCTAAGGTTGTGTCACAGCCATGTCCTTAACCTTGGCAAAATAAACTTTCTAAATTAATTGAGACCTGTCTCAGATACTTTAGGTTTACCATCATCTCATCATTAATTGGTTCTTTCTCTAATCTCCAGATGGAGAACAGAACCTCCTTTCACTTGATTTTCCCTTAAATCATTGCTCACAAGGCATTTGTGAGTATAGCAAACTTTGCAGGTTGGAAGTGATGAAAGGGTTTATTCCTTCAGGTGGCTTTGCTCCCTTCAGCTCTCCTCTCCTCTCCTCTCCCCCTCTCCCACCTTGAAAGACTCACCTTTCCCAGTCTTGCCCAAAGATTCAATAATATGCTCTGTTAAACAATGGGCCATTTACTCCAGGCTAATCATGTAGCAGAAACAAAAAGTTGGCAAGGACTTTGGAATTTGGGTTCATGCCTCTCCTCCTATTTCAGCAAGGGCAAAGAAGAAATTTAGAAATGAGATAATCCTGACATAAATAAATAAAATTGGGATCCACCCAATTAGAAAGCAAAAGTGGCTACTGTTAATGTAAACTGTAATTTGCAGTAATTCCTTTTTTCTCCTCTTGGTCACTTGTCTGACTTCTCTGTTAGATCACGTACTTCCTTAGGGAAGACACTCTGTAACACCATTCCTGGGTCCCTCTGAGGACCTGCCATGGTGCCTACCAGAGCATAAGGACCAGAGAGAGCTGGTGGAGCTGAATTGCTTCTCTTGGTCATCATTTTCTGTGGAGGTCACCTTCAGAGACTGCAGTTTCTTGGCTTGGACTTTTAAAACATGGGAGGAAAAATGTATATACCTGGGAGAGTGTCAAATGCAGAAGTATTTTAGGGAACACTCCCAGGATTATTAGAACTGGCTCTTATCTCTGCATTTGCAGGCCCCAGCATCCAACTCCTTTGTAGGGAACACTGCTTGATCAGGGTGCCTTATTTGGATTGGTGGGGATTCTTGACTGTGCAGAGGAACTCATTCCCTGCAACCCCAGGCAGGCCTGAGTCAGGCACAGTGGGGCACAGGGCAGGCAGCTCCCTTGCTGTGAGGTCTCCATGTTAAATGTTCAACTAATTAACGTGCTCAGTGGAGGCACATCCCTTTGATTAATCACAACTTGCAGAGAATTCAGAGACTGAAAAAGCAGCACCTTTGCTTATTTACTTACTTAAGGACTAGGCACCTATATTAAAACTTTCACTTTGTCTCTAAATTAAGACATCTGCATCTGTTTTTGAGGCAATTATACAAAAGTTCTTTGTCTTTAAAAAGCCTATTTAGAAAGTTGTGAATAATAATGGTCACAACTTTATTGACCATTTCTCAATAAAAGCCTACAAGAAAGGGAGAAAGTCTCCTAGAAAGGGAGACAAAACCAACCAAACTTAGAAGAAGATGGAATTTGGGGCTTCAAATATAAGAGTATCTGGGTTTAGTCTCCAGCTCCCTTATATCTGTAACATACTCTTTAGACTAAACCTGGAACCAGACCAAGAACATAGTAGGTATTAATTGAATGATTACATGGAAGAATAAATAAGACAAGATGTTGAGAGGCTTATCCTTTCAGCACTGAGCACACAGTATGTACACACACAAGTAGAGGGAGGCCCAGTAATGTTTCAGAAACACAGCACCCTTTTGTCAACAGAGCATGTCCATGCCATCTTGAATTAGGTATAATTTTTAATTGCTGATATTCTTTTACCAATCAAAATATGCCTTATTTCTTCTAAAATGCACAGATCTTAAAGAAGCATTGTGCCACAGTTTAATTGGTGGAGATTTTTTTCTTTAATAATGTACATACAAGCATGAATTTGGTGGTAATTGTGGTGAGGCTTATATTGGTGTCATTTTAGATTTGGTGAAATACAGTATGTGGGAATTTCTGTTAAATTTTATTCACATTGATTGTTTGGTTATTGTCTAAGTAATGCTTTGTTCTGTTTTTGTTGTTATTTTTGCTGTCTTAATTCTTTGTTATTTTTGAGTTCTTTTTCAATATAGGAAAGAGATAGAGATAAGATATTTAGTTGGGATATAGTGAGTTGTGACTGACATTAGTGTCCTCTGGTCAAAATAAATTTGAGGATTTCTGCCCCAGACCAGGGTCAGTACACAAAGAGCCTGTGCCATCCCTCCGCATCCCTGCACCCATGTCAGACATCACTAATTGATTGCCATACTCTTTCCTGTTGGGCTCAGATAAGGGCTCCTGATCCTCACTACAGTGCCTTGGGCGGTCACTACTGATGATCTGGGCTTGGTATTAAAGATAAGACCTATCTGACATCACAGGCATTCTTGGTTCTGTTTCTGGATCAAATCAAACCATTAAAAAGCTTTGCATTTATATCTTATTTCCTTTGCATTTGGCAGCTATGCTGTAGGCTTTTATTGAGAAATGATACAAAAATTGCCTTACAAAACTGTTTTCTGCATTTTTGCAAGGAAGCTGTTAAAGTCATTATTCACTACATCGCTTGGTGCACCTCATAAGGATTTTTTAAAAAAACGTATAAGCTGCTAGGAAATATATACTTTCTGTCTCTTGAGAAACGATTCTGTTTCTTTCTCAGATGACTAGAACTATATAACTAACTGGGTCTCTATTTTGGTTTTGGCTGCCAAGAAGCTCACAGCCAGATCTGAGAGATCTTTATAGATTCATTTAGCATTTATATTTGTGTTCTTCCTCCAGCCCCAATTTTTGACTTTTAGCCTTTATATATGTTACAGATTACTTTATATTTTATCATGCACTCATTTCCACTGTATAGTATGTATTCTTATTGTAAGGCTTTTGTAGACCAAGCTGCAGTAAAATAAGAGTGTAACTGAATGGTTTGGCCTATAAGACCAACAAGAGTTCAGGCCAAAGTTTTTACGGAGGAAAACAGGCATGCTCATAATGTGATGTAAATGATAACCTTCAGATCTGGGTGACTGTGGGAGGCAGCTTCTCAGATGGCTCTCAATGATCCTTGCCCTCTGTTTTTCACCCTATGTGTAAATCCCCTTTGCTTTGTTACGGCCTGTGAGAGACCCTGAGACAGAGGACTTCATTAAGCCACAGAAACTATGAGATAATAAACCTTGTTGCTTCAAGCCAATAAGTCGGGTGGTGATTTTTTGTGCAGCAATCGATAAACTAAAACAAGAAGACATCCCAGCTTATGCAAGCTTCTCATTTGATTCATATGTCAACATTAATGGCTAGGTGTTATCCTCACTCCTGGTACATAGAAGGGCAACGAGCTCTGGAGCTCAGAGAGGAGCAGTTTCACAGGGAAGTTCACTCAGATAATGGCAGAGAACTTCAGATCACGTTGTTGGACTCCAAGCTCAGTGTTCTTTCCTCTACAACAGTGACTTCTTAACTCGGGCTGATATGAGCATTGTTGATGGCAACCCATTAACTAGTTAAATTGATGGAACTTGATAACTTTCACCTATATTCTCATGTGGAAGCTATAGGAACATATTTTATTGAATGTCTGGAGTGCTGTACATTTTGTTGATTGTCTCATTTGCTGGAGTTTTAGTCTTCATGTACAAAGCAGGTTGCACAGTGAATATTTAGTAATTATAATTTTACAACAAGCATGGAGGCAACATCTGTGTGTCAGTTACTTTTTAATCTAGCTAATTCAATGTATACCATTTGAACCTCACAGCTGATCAATGAGGTAAGTTACAGATAATGAGGACTGAGGCTCAAAGAGGTTGAAGGATTTGCCCTAGATTACCTAGAAATAAGGCCCAAAGACAGAGTTTAAACCCAGTTCTATCCAAGCTAAAACCCAAGGTTTCTTCACCACAAATTGGATTCTTTTTTTTCTGTAAGTAGATCAATTCTAGAAAACTGGCAAGTGTTGAAGTGGGGTGAAGTTTCCTTCTAAAGTTTTGTCTTTGTATTAGTGGAAAGAAATCTTTTTGAAAACCACTAAAATGCTACAGAACAAATCCTAACACCTACTCATACTACTTTTAAAATTTGGGATTCAGCATCCCGCAAATCCCTACTGTATTAAAGGACATTTTCTTGTCCCCAAAGAAAAAAAGAATAAAGACATTTTGAAATTGGTATCAGTTTCACTTTAACAGACCCTTCTCAAGGGCTTTTACATGTAAACAAGATCGTTAAACACTTAACGTGACATTTATTACCTTTAAATATTCATAAGCCACTGAGTACCGGGAAACACCTACTGCACCGTTCAAGCTGGCTGAGTCTCTCAAAATATGATGTGCACGTGAAGTACTTTCAGGAACCTCAGGTAACTTCAGGGTACAGCTTCCTCCTCTGAAACCTTAATGGCACTCACTAAGTTTACGAACCGTCTTGTTTGCAAACAAGGCAGTAAACCCAATAAAGCAATCTGTGTCTATTTCCTTACACGTGTGAGTAAAATTATGCTTTCCTTTAAAGAAGCCAGCAGGAAAACATGCGCATTTTGTCTGGACTTGTTCTACCAGGCTGTTCCCTTGCCCAGGGTTAAACAACCAAACCCTAGAAGGATGAAGGCTACCTTCTTTTCAGCCCTGATCATTGTGACCAGTATTTGGCATCAGTTCTAGGATGTGAGATAGGAAACTTGGACCAATGGCAGTGAGAAGAAAATGCATTTTTATTTTGTTGCAAACATTGTCCTGTGTAGATGGGAAATAAATCTACCCCCAGACACAGCGATGAAACTCTGTCTGTGCATGATTTTTTCCCTCTCTATCTCAGGAAAGTAAAAAATATTACTTAGGTATAAAGTTAGAGCAGTAAGAATCTGGAGATTGTAGGGATGGGCAGAAGAGAGAAAGATCTCTTCTCACCTTTTATTCCCTCTATGGCAAAGTCTTGTGATGCTGTCAATTCCACCGTTGTCAGTATTGAATCTCTTTCATGTTGATAGTAATCATATTAATGATTATCATACCCACTTTATAGGTAAGAAAACTGAGGTTCAGGGATTTTGAATGATTAGTTCAGAGTTGCACAGCTGGGACTCAAAGTGCTATTTTAACCCTAAATTTAGGACTCTCTACCACAAACACCTAATTTTACAAGTTCTGCCCCTGTCCATTTGGATTTCCCAGCATCCCTTGAAAGAACTGGATATTAAAAGCATGAATCAGAGAAGGCCAAGGAGAGATGTGGTTTCTGTCTTCAAGTAGATGGTCATATGAGAAAGGAATTAAGGCTGTTCTGTGTGGTTTGTAGATAATGGAATGAGATCAATTGGTAGAAGTTTAAGGGAATAGATCAAAGAATTTTCTAACCATCAACACTAACCAACTTTAAAACAGACAATAATATTAGGTGGTGAGTGTCTTGTCCTAAAAATGTTCCAATAGCATCTGGCTGACCCTCTGACTGGGACTCTGTGACTGGGATCCCCGTACTGGGGAGTATGGAATACTTCAGATTCCATAGTATGCTTGATTGCTGAGTATTGAGGGCTCTGCTATAGCTCAGCCTGAAGCTCAATTAAGTGTACTAACATACGACTAACTTAAAAACCTCAGTATTCCACAGAGATGCTGCAGGGTTCCACAAGTGCCTGATTTGAATTTGAAGTTTTGTGTTTTCTTATATAACAAGAAAAAAAAAAGAACCTAAACATATGTTTTTTTGTTTTGTTGGTTTTTTTTTTTTTTTTTGAGACAGGGTCTAGTTTTGTCACACAGGCTGGAGTTCAGTGGCACCATCAAGGCTCACCTCAGCAACGTGAGTAGCTGTTACTACAGGTATGCACCACCATGCCTGGCTAACTTTTTTATTTTTTGTAGAGAGGGAGTCTTGCTACATTGCTCAGGCTTGTCTTGAACTCCTGAGCTCAAGTGATCCTTTTGCCTTGGCATCTCAAAGTGCTAGGATTACAAGTGTGAGCCAATGCATCCAGTCTTCATAAATGATCAAAGATGGCAGTTAAAAAGAAATAAAATTTTCAATAAATATTGCTGGGACAAATGCCTAGTTATTAGGACAAAAGTAAAGCTGGACCTTTCCCTCATTCCTTTTGTGGAAATAAATTCCAGCTTAATCAAATATTTAAACCCTAAAAATAAATATTAGAAGATATATGTGAGGGTAGCCACACGCATACACACAGGCGTGCAGCACATGTGAAGGATGAAGGGCTGGCTTCCTGGTCTGCAGAGTCTTTTAGTGCATATTCCAAAGTTCTTGCACACATGTCATTGATCAGGCAGTTATATCCCTGAATTTTTTGTTTTTAAAAGTCAGGCTTGTGCATGTTGCCCATGTGAGTTGGTTCACCCCTATCGCATGGGGTGTGCTGAAGAGAGTTGTGTGATCTATTCCTAGCAAAACCCGGGTGCCTCTGTTCTTGGCATTCTCCTGTAATAACAAAATGGACAGCAGAGTAAAAATAGCAAGCACATTTCAAATGTTTTGTTGTGTGCTATTATTGAATTAGGAATCTTTTTGTTTTCACTGGAACTTTTGGGTGATCCTTTTCTGTACTTCATATTCATGTGAAAAATATATACAGGTGTCGTTGGAGGTCATCAGTGATTGAACTTTGAAAAGAAACTTTCCTTTGGCTCCTCTTTGAAGTTTGTGGATCAGTTGATTTGAGGGGCAGCCGGAGATCGTGAGGCAAGCTATGAAAAATGTGCCATTTGCAGCTACTTATCTGTGCAAATAAGGACATTCTCAAGACTGGCAAAGCCACACAGTGCAGGAAAATCAAATGAATGCTGAGTTTGATTTAAGGTTGTAGCTTCACAACCTCATTGTTCTCTTTGACTTAATAAGTCAATGCTACATTTTGAACTTAAAAAATACATTGGAGCTAAATAGACTTTTTTTGTTGTTGGGGCGCTTGGTATGGTGTTGTTATGGATAAAAAGTTTTCACTATTGAAAAGTTTGAAAATCAGTGACTTAAGATGTATTTTTTTCTGGAAAAAGAAGTCTTCTTTGATTATCATTGCTTTTCCTTTACTCCTTTGGCCTCAACTGTCAAGATAATACAGAACTATGATAGGCTTTCAACTGTAATAGTGTCCATACCTTAAGTTTTCTAGGATAATTATTTCCCTTCTTTTTCCATCATTACTTCTTTTAAAGATATTTGTTTTTCTACTATCTGTCAATTGGCTTTTTTTTAAAAAAAAAAAAAATTAAAACTACTTCTTATTCTGGAGGCAGGTGGGATATATTTGGTCAAGAAATATTTAATGTGATGGATATTTATTGCCTGTCTACTATATTTCAGGTACATTTCTAGGTGCAGAGAAATTAGATAACAAAGGAGAGTCTCCAGCCTCATGGAGTTTGCTTTCTAATAGGTTGACATAGACAATAAACAAATGTATACTATGTCAGGAAATGATGAGGGCTAAGCAAGCTAAGCAGGCAGAGTGAGGGCTGGAGGATGGATGTCCCATTTTAAGTCACAGTTGGCCTCTCGGAAAAAAATATGATTTGAACAGAGACTTGAATGAAGTGAGGAAGAAAGGCATAATGACATCTGAGGGCAGAGGTGACCTGTCTGAAGAATCCAGAAAGGGCGTGAGGTGGAGCCTTGGACACCATGCATGTAAATTTAGAAAATGAGAATGAGGGAGGCGATTGCATTTCTCCCTTTGTCAGCGGAAATGAGTTGGGACAGGGGACTGCCAATAGCATTCCCTAACCTGCCTGCCTCTCTGTCCACTCACTACTGTGGACACTTGTTCCCAGGGCTCAGCCAGTCTTTCTGGAGAGCTCAGGAGCCACTGAAATCTTACTACCATATTCCTCAGGTTCTGCCTTCTTTAGTGCCACTTTTCTACCGACACCGACATCTACAGCATTCTGGCTCAGCCCGTAGCTCCCAAGCTATTTCTAGTCAATAGCTGACCTACCAGGGGGGTTAACCTTGCCAGTTAGGCCAGGCACCTTGACTGCCAAATAATGATGACGGTGATGGTGGTGGTGGTGGTGGTGGTGATGATAGCAGCACCTACCACTTATTGAGCACTCACTCTAAAGAAGTGTCAACAATCTTTCAGGGCAGCTAATATTTTCAATCTACAAATGAGGAAACTGAGGCTCAGAGAGGACAAATGCATTGCTTTACGCCTCACAGGTTGGGAGAGATAAGCTGGTGTTTGAACGCAGGTCTATCTGACTCCAGAGAATGAGTCCCTTCTACTACTGGGTGCTCCTGAGGGTCAATGCAGGTTGCTGTGTAGTCATTAACAAGTAACCCACACCAACTGCATGCCTTTTGGCCTTGTATCAAGGATTGAGCTTCTTTCATGGTTCCTAATTATTGCTCCAGTCACTTGTTGAGAGGACACATTGACTGGTATTTTCCAGAACCTTGCCCAGAATGGTGGTCCCTGTCCATCATTACCTGAGAATCCACTGAAACAGGTCCTCTATAAACCATACGAACAACCCTGGACATCAGTGCTGATAGGCATTTTGGCTGCCATGCCTCAGCTGTCATGGAGCAGCCCCAGATTTGCCACCTTTTAAAGAATTCCATATAATTTAAACTTCTTGTTACCTGCTTCAGGGACCAGTCCTTTTAGTGAATGGTTTTCCTTAGACTGAGTCCCAGACAGACACTGCCTGGCTTACTCTTCTTTCTGAGTTTGCCTGGGCTATAATCCTTTTCCTTGATGTGAGAACATGTTCCACAAATGCAGAACTATAATGAGCATTTTTGCCAAGATTTTATCCTCTATATGCTCACTTTTTTGGGATATGTTCCAAAACAATTTTTTTTTAATAGGATAATTTCTGGGGAGAAAGCTTACTGTGTTTAAAACCTGATATTTCAAGGGCAGATGAAAGATTTTTTTCAAGAATTAAGAAAACACTTCATCATTTATTTCTTTGGCAGAGTATCTGCATGTGTTTCTTTTGAAATCCTCAGAAATTAAGGCCATACTGTATTCATTTTCAAATTATAGAAAATACACTAAAGAAGAAATGAACAGAAGAGAAGAAAGACACGCTTTGCTAAAAGCCATGTTTTCTTAAATTGCTTGGTCACATGAATTCATTTATTTGTCTAATGTAGAAATTGGCAAACTTTATTTGTAAAGGGCCAGACAGTATAAGTATTTTAGGCTGTTTGGCCATATAACCACTCTCACAAGAACTCAACTCTACCATACATGAAAACAGCCATAGGCAATGTGCAACTAAGTGAATGTGACTGTCTTCCTATAAAACTATTTCCAAAAACAGGTGGCAAGCCAGATTTGGTCTGTAGGCCATAGCTTGTTCACTCCTTGTCTAGTGGAAGAATACTTACTATATGGCCCCTTATGCCAGCAACAAGGTAGGCACAAAGCTGGTCAGAACTAGAAGGATGCTTATAGGTAATCTATTCTAATTCCTTCATTTTATCTTTGAGGATTTGTTGATGCTCAAGGTTACATACGTTGTTATCAGCAGCATCAAAAAAAGAATTAACATTAATTGAATGTGTTCATATTCATGACAAAAATTGCTAGTTTTCTCTAATATCCATTCTCCCCAACTTTTTTAGTAATGGAACCCCAGATTTTTATTTGGTTATATGGCCACTGGAATTAAGACTATATTTCCCAGACTCTGTTGTCTTTGGGTGTGGCTGTGTAACTAAGTTCCTCTCAATATATGTGTGCTACTTAAAGGAAGTACTCTAAAAGAAAGGGAATATGCCATTTTTCCTCTCTCTTTTCTTCAGACTGGAACGTGGATGTGTTAGCTGAAGCCTGAGTAGGCACCTTGCACTGCGGTGGAAGCATTGTGCTGACAGTGGTGAATCAATAACAGATAAAGTGCTCAGATGCCTGATGCTATGTAGCACCACAACTGAACTGTGCTGCCTTCTGACTTCTTTTATTTCAGCAGATTCAAGATGTTATTCTTTGCTTTCTGATCTGGATTGCCTCTGATGAGAAGTCTGCAGTAATTCTTATCTCCGCTCCTCTCTATAGAGTGTGCCATTTTCTTTCACTGCTCTTAAAATTTTCTCTTTATTGTTGATTTTTAGCAATTTGATTATGATGTGCAATGGTATGGTTTGTATTTCTCCTTCTTTAGTGTGTAGACTTCTTGGATCTGGAAAATTTAAAGCCATCATGATCACAAGTTTTCTTAGTTCCCTCCTCCCCTTTCACACCTTGTTTCTGGGATTTCAATTAAATGCATGTTAAATTGGCTTATATCATCCTACAGGTCACTAAAGCTCTGTATTATTTTTCCAGTCTTCATTCTCTCTGTAATTCAGTTTAGAGAGTTTCTATTGTCTTACCTTAAAGTTCACTGATTTTTTTTTTAAATTTTCTGTTAAATCCAATCAGCCAGTAAGCCTATTCAGTAAACTCTTTTAAGACGTTATAGCTGGGGAGGAGCCAAGATGGCCGAATAGGAACAGCTCCGGTCTACAGCTCCCAGCGTGAGTGACGCAGAAGACGGGTGATTTCTGCATTTCCATCTGAGGTACCAGGCTCATCTCACTGGGGAGTGCCAGACAGTGGGCGCAGGTCAGTGGGTGTGCGCACCATGCACAAGCTGAAGCAGGGTGAGGCATTGCCTCACTCAGGAAGCGCAAGGGGTCAGGGAGTTCCCTTTCCTAGTCAAAGAAAGGGGTGACAGACGGCACCTGGAAAATCGGGTCACTCCCACCCAAATACTGCGCTTTTCCGACGGGCTTAAAAAACGGCGCACCACGAGATTATATCCCGCACCTGGCTCGGAGGGTCCTATGCCCACGGAGTCTCACTGATTGCTAGCACAGCAGTCTGAGATCAAACTGCAAGGCGGCAGCGAGGCTGGGGGAAGGGCGCCCACCATTGCCCAGGCTTGCTTAGGTAAACAAAGCAGCTGGGAAGCTCGAACTGGGTGGAGCCCACCACAGCTCAAGGAGGCCTGCCTGCCTCTGTAGGCTCCACCTCTGGGGGCAGGGCACAGACAAACAAAAAGACAGCAGTAACCTCTGCAGACTTAAATGTCCCTGTCTGACAGCTTTGAAGAGAGCAGTGGCTCTCCCAGTATGCAGCTGGAGATCTAAGAATGGGCAGACTGCCTCCTCAAGTGAGTCCCTGACCCCTGATCCCCGAGCAACCTAACTGGGAGGCACCCCCCAGCAGGGGCACACTGACACTTCACACGGCAGCGTACTCCAACAGACCTGCAGCTGAGGGTCCTGTCTGTTAGAAGGAAAACTAACAAACAGAAAGGACATCCACACCAAAAACCCATCTGTACATCAACATCATCAGAGACCAAAAGTAGATAAAACCACAAAGATGGCGAAAAAACAGAACAGAAAAACTGGAAACTCTAAAAAGCAGAGTGCCTCTCCTCCTCCAAAGGAACGCAGTTCCTCACCAGCAACGGAACAAAGCTGGACGGAGAATGACTTTGACGAGCTGAGAGAAGAAGGCTTCAGATGATCAAATTACTCTGAGCTACGGGAGGACATTCAAACCAAAGGCAAAGAAGTTGAAAACTTTGAAAAAAATTTAGAAGAATGTATAACTAGAATAACCAATACAGAGAAGTGCTTAAAGGAGCTGATGGAGCTGAAAACCAAGGCTCAAGAACTACGTGAAGAATGCAGAAGCCTCAGGAGCCGATGCAATCAACTGGAAGAAAGGGTATCAGCAATGGAAGAGGAAATGAATGAAATGAAGCGAGAAGGGAAGTTTAGAGAAAAAAGAATAAAAAGAAACGAGCAAAGCCTCCAAGATATATGGGACTATGTGAAAAGACCAAATCTACGTCTGATTGGTGTACCTGAAAGTGACGGGGAGAATGGAACCAAGTTGGAAAACACTCTGCAGGATATTATCCAGGAGAACTTCCCCAATCTAGCAAGGCAGGCCAACGTTCAGATTCAGGAAATACAGAGAACACCACAAAGATACTCCTCAAGAAGAGCAACTCCAAGACACATAATTGTCAGATTCACCAAATTTGAATGAAGGAAAAAATGTTAAGGGCAGCCAGAGAGAAAGGTCGGGTTACCCTCAAAGGGAAGCCCATCAGACTAACAGCAGATCTCTCGGCAGAAACCCTACAAGCCAGAAGAGAGTGGGGGCCAATATTCAACATTCTTAAAGAAAAGAATTTTCAACCCAGAATTTTCAACCCAGCCAAACTAAGCTTCATAAGTGAAGGAGAAATAAAATACTTTACAGACAAGCAAATGCTGAGAGATTTTGTCACCACCAGGCCTGCCCTAAAAGAGCTCCTGAAGGAAGTGCTAAACATGGAAAGGAACAACCGGTACCAGCCGCTGCAAAATCATGCCAAAATGTAAAGACCATCGAGACTAGGAAGAAACTGCATCAACTAACGAGCAAAATCACCAGCTAACATCATAATGACAGGATCAAATTCACACATGACAATATTAACTTTAAATGTAAATGGACTAAATGCTCCAATTAAAAGGCACAGACTGGCAAATTGGATAAAGAGTCAAGACCCATCAGTGTGCTGTATTCAGGAAACCCATCTCACGTGCAGAGACACACATAGGCTCAAAATAAAAGGATGGAGGAAGATCTACCAAGCAAATGGAAAACAAAAAAAGGCAGGGGTTGCAATCCTAGTCTCTGATAAAACAGACTTTAAACCAACAAAGATCAAAAGAGACAAAGAAGGCCATTACATAATGGTAAAGGCATCAATTCAACAAGAAGAGCTAACTATCCTACATATATATGCACCCAATACAGGAGCACCCAGATTCATAAAGCAAGTCCTGAGTGACCTACAAAGAGACTTAGACTCCCACACATTAATAATGGGAGACTTTAACACCCCACTGTCAACATTAGACAGATCAACGAGACAGAAAGTCAACAAGGATACCCAGGAATTGAACTCAGCTCTGCACCAAGCAGACCTAATAGACATCTACAGAACTCTCCACCCCAAATCAACAGAATATACATTTTTTTCAGCACCACACCACACCTATTCCAAAATTGACCACATAGTTGGAAGTAAAGCTCTCCTCAGCAAATGTAAAAGAACAGAAATTATAACAAACTATCTCTCAGACCACAGTGCAATCATACTAGGATTCAGGATTAAGAATCTCACTCAAAACCACTCAACTACATGGAAACTGAACAACCTGCTCCTGAATGACTACTGGGTACATAACGAAATGAAGGCAGAAATAAAGATGTTCTTTGAAACCAATGAGAACAAAGACACAACATACCAGAATCTCTGGGACGCATTCAAAGCAGTGTGTAGAGGGAAATTTATAGCACTAAATGCCCACAGGAGAAAGCAGGAAAGATCCAAAATTGACACCCTAACATCACAATTAAAAGAACTAGAAAAGCAAGAGCAAACACATTCAAAAGCTAGCAGAAGGCAAGAAATAACTAAGATCAGAGCAGAACTGAAGGAAATAGAGACACAAAAAACCCTTCAAAAAATTAATGAATCCAGGGGCTGGTTTTTTGAAAGGATCAACAAAATAGATAGACCGCTAGCAAGATTAACAAAGAAAAAAGAGAAGAATCAAATAGACGCAATAAAAAATGATAAAGGGGATATCACCACTGATCCCACAGAAATACAAACTACCATCAGAGAATACTACAAACACCTCTATGCAAATAAACTAGAAAATCCAGAAGAAATGGATAAATTCCTTGACACATACACTCTCCCAAGACTAAACCAGGAAGAAGTTGAATCTCTGAATAGACCAATAACAGGATCTGAAATTGTGGCAATAATCAATAGCTTACCAACCAAAAAGAGTCCAGGACCAGACGGATTCACAGCCGAATTCTACCAGAGGTACAAGGAGGAACTGGTGCCATTCCTTCTGAAACTATTCCAATCAATACAAAAAGAGGGAATCCTCCCTAACTCATTTTATGAGGCCAGCATCATTCTGATACAAAAGCCAGGCAGAGACACAACAAAAAAAGAGAATTTTAGACCAATATCCTTGATGAACATTGATGCAAAAATCCTCAATAAAATACTGGCAAAACGAATCCAGCAGCACATCAAAAAGCTTATCCACCATGATCAAGTGGGCTTCATCCCTGGGATGCAAGGCTGGTTCAATATACGCAAATCAATAAATGTAATCCAGCATATAAACAGAGCCAAAGACAAAAACCACATGATTATCTCAATAGATGCAGAAAAGGCCTTTGACAAAATTCAACAACCCTTCATGCTAAAAACTCTCAATAAATTAGGTATTGATGGGACATATTTCAAAATAATAAGAGCTATCTATGACAAACCCACAGCCAATATCACACTGAATGGGCAAAAACTGGAAACATTCCCTTTGAAAACTGGCATAAG
The DNA here is from genome assembly GCF_000001405.40 of Homo sapiens. Classification (NCBI taxonomy): domain Eukaryota; kingdom Metazoa; phylum Chordata; class Mammalia; order Primates; family Hominidae; genus Homo; species Homo sapiens. The sequence continues at coordinate 79,556,609 of NC_000011.10, forward strand.
ACAGGGATGCCCTCTCTCACCACTCCTATTCAACATAGTGTTGGAAGTTCTGGCCAGGGCAATTAGGCAGGAGAAGGAAATAAAGGGTATTCAATTAGGAAAAGAGGAAGTCAAATTGTCCCTGTTTGCAGATGACATGATTGTATATTTAGAAAACCCCATCGTCTCAGCCCAAAATCTCCTTAAGCTGATAAGCAACTTCAGCAAAGTCTCAGGATACAAAATCAATGTACAAAAATCACAGGCATTCTTATACACCAACGACAGACAAACAGAGAGCCAAATCATGAGTGAACTCCCATTCACAATTGCTTCAAAGAGAATAAAATACCTAGGAATCCAACTTAAAAGAGATGTGAAGGACCTCTTCAAGGAGAACTACAAACCACTGCTCAAGGAAATAAAAGAGGATACAAACAAATGGAAGAACATTCCATGCTCATGGGTAGGAAGAATCAATATCACGAAAATGGCCATACTGCCCAAGGTAATTTACAGATTCAATGCCATCCCCATCAAGCTACCAATGCCTTTCTTCACAGAATTGGAAAAAACTATTTTAAAGTTCATATGGAACCAAAAAAGAGCCCGCATTGCCAAGTCAATCCTAAGCCAAAAGAACAAAGCTGGAGGCATCACACTACCTGACTTCAAACTATACTACAAGGCTACAGTAACCAAAACAGCATGGTACTGGTACCAAAACAGAGATATAGATCAATGGAACAGAACAGAGCCCTCAGAAATAATGCCGCATATCTACAACTATCTGATCTTTGACAAACCTGAGAAAAACAAGCAATGGGGAAAGGATTCCCTATTTAATAAATGGTGCTGGGAAAACTGGCTAGCCATATGTAGAAAGCTGAAACTGGATCCCTTCCTTACACCTTATACAAAAATCAATTCAAGATGGATTAAAGACTTACATGTTAGACCTAAAACCATAAAAACCCTAGAAGAAAACCTAGGCAATACCATTCAGGACATAGGCATGGGCAAGGACTTCATGTCTAAAACACCAAAAGCAATGGCAACAAAAGCCAAAATTGACAAATGGGATCTAATTAAACTAAAGAGCTTCTGCACAGCAAAAGAAACTACCATCAGAGTGAACAGGCAACCTACAAAATGGGAGAAAATTTTCGCAAGCTACTCATCTGACAAAGGGCTAATATCCAGAATCTACAATGAACTTAAACAAATTTACAAGAAAAAAACAAACAACCCCATCAAAAAGTGGACAAAGGACATGAACAGACACTTCTCAAAAGAAGACATTTATGCAGCCAAAAAACACATGAAAAAATGCTCATCATCACTGGCCATCAGAGAAATGCAAATCAAAACCACAATGAGATACCATCTCACACCAGTTAGAATGGCAATCATTAAAAAGTCAGGAAACAACAGGTGCTGGAGAGGATGTGGAGAAATAGGAACACTTTTACACTGTTGGTGGGACTGTAAACTAGTTCAACCATTGTGGAAGTCAGGTGGCGATTCCTCAGGGATCTAGAACTAGAAATACCATTTGACCCCGCCATCCCATTACTGGGTATATACCCAAAGGACTGTAAATCATGCTGCTATAAAGACACATGCACACGTATGTTTATTGCAGCACTATTCACAATAGCAAAGTCTTGGAACCAACCCAAATGTCCAGCAATGATAGACTGGATTAAGAAAATGTGGCACATATACACCATGGAATACTATGCAGCCATAAAAAATGATGAGTTCATGTCCTTTGTAGGGACATGGATGAAATTGGAAATCATCATTCTCAGTAAACCATTGCAAGAACAAAAAACCAAACACCGCATATTCTCACTCATAGGTGGGAATGGAACAATGAGATCACATGGACACAGGAAGGGGAACATCACACTCTGGGGACTGTTGTGGGGTGGGGGGAGGGGGGAGGGATAGCTTTAGGAGATATACCTAATGCTAGATGACGAGTTAGTGGGTGCAGCACACCAGCATGGCACATGTATACATATGTAACTAACCTGCACAATGTGCACATGTACCCTAAAACTTAAAGTATAATAATAAAAAAAAAAAGAAAAAAAATTCAGGAAGGATTGACACCAAGGAATGAATACATTTAGTAAAGATCTTTACTCTTATTTGTTTTGAAAAAAAAAAAAAAAGATGTTACAGCTTTCAGCTCTGGAAGTTCTATTTGTTTTTCTTTTCAATAGTTTCCATTTCTCTTTTCATTATGTTCATATTTTCCCTAAAATCCTTGAAAATATTTATAATAGTGTATTAAAAGCCCTTCTCTGTTAATTCCAAAATATTTGTAAATTCTCTGTCTGTTCCTATTGATTGATTTGACTCCTGGCTATGGGTTACATTTTCCTGTTTGTTTACGTGTCCTATAAGTTTTATTAGGTGCTGGATATTATGCATGTTATGCATTGAGTTCAATATTGGCAAGCAATTAATTTATGTATAAATTAGCTTGATCCTTTGAGTCTGAAAAATTTTGTTGTGGCAGATCAAGAGTAGCATTTACTCTCTAAGGATAGTCTGGCTCTCTAAGGTGTGATCTTTTTAGAGTCTCTACTGAATATTTACTAAGTGTTCAATGACCTTCAGACTCTGGGAGATGTTCAGCTGATAGCTTTTCCCATAGTTATTTTCTTTTTGTTCATTGTTCTTTGCCTTGCCTTGTGGAATCTCATTCTACATTTGTGTCGCTTAGTATTAAGCCAAAAATTCAAGGGGATCCCTATGTTGAGTTTTTGGTGTTTTCTTTGCATAGCTTCTTTTTCTCTGGTACAGCGCTCTGAAAATTTCAGCTGCCTTAGCCTCCCTAAACTTCATTTTTACAAAGATGTTGTACTCTGCTTGGGTTCCCCATCTCTGTTGCAGGGAGGAAGATTTCAGGCATAAATCTGGGAAAATCATTAGTCTCACTTTCTTTGTTTCCCTTATTTCAAGGATTATAGTCATGCACAGCCTTTGTCCCATGACTGAGAATAGTTGCTTTATATAGTTTTTTTGGTTTTCTAGTTGCTTACTGAAAGAAGACTAGTCTAGTACTAGCAATTACATCATAGTTGAAAGTGAGAAATACTTATGTTTAAAAGAAAGGGAATAAGAAATTTCTACTTGTAACTTGTTTAAGTCCCTGTAATTTTCATTTTTTCAGTTACTTGCTGCCAAACCCAGTCTTAAATACTCCACTTGAAAATGCCAACTGCTAAGCTAGGTGTTTCATATACATTATTTCATAGACTTCATTTTAGCTACATAAAAGTCCTATAAAGTTGTGGTTACTGTTATTCTCACTTTACAGATGAAGAAAACTGAACTACAGGGGAAAAGAAAATGGAATCAAGGCAGCTCCTAAAAAGTCCATTGGGTAGTTAACAAGGTCCTGCATTTGAGTGATCGCAGAGAGAATGAAAAATAAGGTACCTGAATTACACTGGGTAGATAGAATTAAGTGACATCAATAAGTGATTTATATGGAAAAATAGAAAAAATCTGTGAGTGTTGGTATCTAGAATAATAGCAGTACTATGAACATATACAGGAAAGATTCAGTGATACTGCATTTACTAAGGCAGGAAAGATATTGGTGTTGTGGTATAAAGAAGCTCAAAACTTAGGGCAAAATATGGTACTTTTGTTATTAAATCATTTTCAGAAACTCACAATTTTTATTTTTTCCTCATGTATAACTGAGTTTTGCTTTTTGGGATTTCTGGCCATCCAAGAGGGCTGCACAGGAGCCACTGCTGCTGGAGTGGCTTCGTCTCCACCTGTAGGTAGAGTGCAATCACCATAGGGTGGAAAGGCCTTTTCCTGGACTAAGTTTACAGACTGGATGCCTCTGGGGCCTTGCCCCAACATCTTCTGGGCCCAATTTCTTACACCAGTCACTGCCCTGGTGACCAATTTCCTGCAGGCTTTGGCAGCTTTGCGTAGGTATGATTGGACAGCATTTCACCTTAGGCCCTATGCCACCTACCTTTCTTTCCTTCCCTGGGATTTCTTAGATACTATGGAACAGGACATCTTATAAAACCTGCTCTATTTACATATATGCAGCTAGGAACTTCAGAGAAATTAACACTTGTGGGGCCATCCTTGATGAATATGGGAGAGAGGACCCAATGGATAAATGCTACTTCCCCTTAAGTCTCAGGGCAGGTAATTCTGATTTGTAATTTATAAGCCTTCTGGGAAGTTCCTGGCAGGATTGAGAACCAGTTGCTTTAGTAGTGATTAAGCAATGATCACATTTTAATTTTAATTTCTCCTTCTCCCTTCTCTTGCATTTCTGCTCCCTGGGATCACATTCCCAGATAAATTACCTGCGTGAAGATCATGGCCTTAGTCTTTGCTTTGGGAGAAACTTAGCCTATGACATTTTGTGAAATAGAACAACTCAGGGAGTAAGTCTGAGAGCGTCATAGGTCAATGTTTTAGGGTTGACCTAAACCCTAGAGAGGAAGGCACTGTAGGGACTAGAAGGATAAAGACAGAGACATAAAAAATGAGAGAAAATTTGTTGAAGAAACAAGAGGTAATGTCATCTATCATAGAAACACCTGGTCATAGAGTTAAGAGACAAGAGAACTCTTCAAAATTTTTCCTGACCAGTTGTCTAACAACCAGCTTGGCTTTATGAACAGAAATTGGACAACATCAGTTTAATTTCATCTTAAGATATAAGGTTAGAAATGAGAGAAATTGTTCTACAGAATCTTGTTTGTAGAGACTTGATTTCTTGGATCTGCAGGGTCAGGGACAAGAGGGGGAAGTTGAACCAAACTTTTGATGTAAAGTTGACTAAACAGTGCTACTACAATGGCTTTTTAACTGGATTTACCACCTCCTGCCTCTTTGTACTGCCTGCAATCAATTCTACTCAACAGCAGCCAGATAACTGTTCCTAGAGCTCAGCAGCAGGGAGACCAGACCTTCTCCTCACAGACCTTCAGTGGCTCCCCATTGCTTAGTTTAGCTTTCAAGGCCTTCTACAGTCTGTTTCCAATTTATCTAAAATTCCAGTTAAATTGGACTGCTGCCATTCCTTGAATGCATGCCTTACTCTCCTGTCCTCAGGCTATCTCTTTCACCTGGAATATCCTTGCTTAACTCTGCCTGTTGAAGTCATACCTACCCTTTGAGAACATCCCCCAAGTGCTACTTTCTTCAGGCAGCCCAAACAACACTTCCTGCTCTGAACCCCATGGTCTCTTGTACTTGGTCTCTAGGGCTTATTATTAAGTATTAGAGACATTTGTGAAAATGCCAGTATCACCTTTAGAATATAGAATGCTCTTCTCCATTCATATGTGTTGAACTGAACTATTAAATGGATATATACCCAAAAGAGGTACTTGGAGAACTACAAAATAAGAATTCGCATTCTTCTGACTTATATAGGGTTGGTGAATATGGAAGTAGGAGAGAAAGGGAAAGAGAATTGACTTTTATGGAGGAACCACTGTGTGCCAAGTGCTTTCCATAGTTTGCGCATTTTTGGAATATGTATAATACCCTAGAAAACATGTAGTATTGAACTCATTTTACAGAAGGAGAATGTGAAGCTCAGAAGGGTTGAGTGAATTACCCTCAATGCACAGCTAGTAAGTGGTAGAGCCAGGATTTAAGCTCAGGTCTCTGTGACTCCAAGATACTTCCTTATTCCATAATAAATAGGTGACCATTTAAGTTATTGCCCTGACTGGAACACTTTTGAAAATGAAAGGGCATGCTATTAAAAATTATACTGGGACAACTTGGGTAAACTGGGACTCTCCTGGCTAAACTGTGTCCTATGATCACCCTAATTGTAAATCACCATTGCCTCCTTGCCTCTTGAGTATTGACTGGTCTGAACCAGAAAACTAAACTAAACCTCCTCTTGAGATTGTAATTCCCTCAGACAGGGTAACTTTGGAAGAAACAATTTGGCATTTTAGGAATTTTCTTTTGCTGATAATTGGAAAGAAATCCACGTTATCCAATGGAATGAGTGAGAAATCTTCTCATGTTCTTTTCAGAACAATCCTCCCACTTTGGTGATATGGTTTGACTGTCCCCACCCAAACCTCATCTTGAATTGTAACTCCCATAATTGTCACATGTTGTGAGAGGGGTCTGGTGGGAGATAATTGAATCATGGGGGTGGGTCTTTCCTGTGCTGTTCTCTTGATAGTGAATAAGTCTCATGAGATCTGATGGTTTTAAAAAGGGGAGTTTCCCTGCACAATTCTCTTCTCTTGTCTGCTGCCGTGTGAGTCATGCCTTTCACCTTCTGCCATGATTGTGAGGCTTCTCAGGCACGTGGAACTGTGAGTCCATTACACCTCTTTCTTTTGTAAATTGTCCAGTCTTGGGTATGTCTTTATCAGCTGTGTGAAAACGGACTAATACACTTGGCCTCCAAAATTCTTCTTCCATTTTATTGCCTTTTTTCTTTTCATTGGGGTCTTACTCTGTTGGCCAGGCTGGGGTGCAGTGGTGCCATTATGACTCACTGCAGCTTCAACCTCCTGGGCTCAAGTGATCCTCCCTGCTCAGCCTTTCAAACATCTGGGATTACAGGCATGTGCCACCATGCCCAGCTATTTTTTTATATTTTTTGTAGAGACAAGGTCTCCTATGTTTCCAAGCTGATCTTGAACTCCTGGCCTCAAACAATCCCCCCACCTCAGCCTCCCAAAGTGCTGGGTTTACAGGCATGAGCCACCACACCCAGACTTTTATTACCTTTTCTAAAAGGGTTGGTGGTTGAAAAAACCACCTGCTGGGGCCACGCTGAATGAGTTTGCCAGAGTCAGGCATACTGGGCCCAAATCTAGCTTACCTGCTTATGAAATGGATAATAACAATAGCAATAATAGCAGCTATCTTCATCGAGTTCTTACTAGGTACCAGGTCTTTTATAGGCATAATCTCATGTGTTTCCTATTATATATTATCTCATTTATTCTTTATAACAACGCTATAAATTGGATCCTATTTCTATTCCTATTTTACACATGAAGAAACTGAAGCAGAGAGGGGGACCAACTGAGTTACTTAAAACCACCCACTTATTTTTGCAGTGGAACCCAGATTGTCTGATTGCAAAACCCAACTCCTAAATAGTGAACTATGTGGCCTTCCATAAGGAGATCATGGTATCAAACCAATGGGGTTGCTAAGATTAAACAGTAGGACATTTTCAAAAATGCCTATAGGTAGGCATTCAATAAATGGCATATGCTGTGATTATTTACAAGCTTCACCTTCCAAGAAAAACATGCTAAATGCCTGTTAGCACCCTATGTCTCTCTCTAACACATCTCTGATTCTACCGTAGAACCATAGGTTAGAAATGAAAATAAATTTCACCATTTATCAAGCCAGTGTCAGGTCTTGGAGGCAGAAAATCCCCAGGGTTCTTCCTTGATAAAATCACACTCTAGCAAAAAGGACTGACATCTAGTATATTCAAAAACTCCAGGTTATAAAACAAAGGTATGCCTAAGATGCCACAGGATCATTCGCTCCAGAAACACTTGGCCCATATTGTTCTAGGCCTTGGAGAAACACAGGCTATGGAAGTATAGGGAATAAGGGATTAGTTTTACTCACGGAAGTGGGAGAGTCAAAAAATTAAAAAAAAAAAAAGAATTATTTCACAGAGAGAATATTCAAGGTGGGATTTTAAAGACAAAAAGCAGTTTGTTATGGTGGGAGGGGCATTCCAAGGTAAAGGAACAGTCAATGTAAAGGCATGAAGGAAGGAAAGTCTACAGAGTGTCTGGGGAGTAGAGAAGTTAGGTGTGGCTCGGGGTGTGGAGGTGCTTGTGGGCTGGCTGAGCAGATGGCAGTAGGGCTGGCTGCAGGAAGGGAATTACTATCCACCAAGAGTCCTCCAGGAACCAGTACTGTGCTGAATGCTTTATGAACAATGCACTTGACCTTCAGAGGAGCCAAGTGTAGTGGGTACTAGTAGGTTAAACAATGTGGCCAAGGACCCTTCCTAGTAAGAAATGAAGCCAGGATGTGAAACATGTCAAGCACCCTCTGGGCCCTGCTGCCTCTCAGGTGGCAAATGAGGGACACCATGGGGCCAAACAGCCTCCTCCGACATGCCATTTTGGCTGGTCGTGCCACCTCTGCATGGGTGCCCGTTCGCTGGGGGGTTGTGGCATTTTGCCCTCACCATTTATTTACCTAGCTCTTGGCCAAGCATTAGAAATGTGTGCTTTGGGACTGCACCTCTCAACACATCATGGGAATAAGTGACATTTGACTTTCCTTTGTGTTGGGAGTGTTTGGCATTTCACAATTAAGACTTGTAAAAATTGCATCACACTCTTTATATTGGTGTCTGGGCATCGCTCTCTGTGGTAGCACTTTCATGATGGCTTTCTGCCTTTTCTTTTCAGCTTCCACATGCCTGTTGTCAATATTCAAATGTAAGAAGAGCTTTTTTGATTGGGGAACATACAACATATAAATGCCCCAACCTATGAAAGGACTCAATTGAGGGTGGGAAAGACTTTTCCAGAAGCCAGTAAATGAATGTTGGAAGATGTTAAAATAAGCAGACTTTTAATTCCTAGTTCTGTGGAAATCAGCCTCAAGAGGCATTGTAAATTTAAGGAAGTTCTTTGGATTACGGTTGAGGCAAAGAAGAGAGAATCTCATTGAGCATAAGCTACATGCTCATCATTGTGTTGGGTGAAAAGGCTCAGCTCATGGAACACTTACTGAGGGTCTATATGAGATGTTAAGGGCTGAACTGTGGCCTCTGCAAATTCGTATGCTGAAGTCCTAAACTTCTGTATCTCAGAATGTGACTGTGTATGGAGATAGGGTCTTTAATCCCTAGTTCTGTGGAAATCAGCCTCAAGAGGCTTTGTAAATTTAAGGAAGCTTTGTAAATTAAGCAAGTGGTAATTAAGTTAATATGAGGTCATTAGGTTGGCCTCTAATCCAATATGATTGGTATCTTTATAAGAAGAGGAGACTAGGATAAAGACATGCACAGAGGGAAGATCACATGAACATAGGGAGAAGAACCCCATCTACAAGCCAAGGAGGGAGGCCTCAGAAGAAGCCAACCCTGCCAACACCTGGATCTTGGCTATCTGGCCTCCAAAACTGTGAGGAAATACATTTCTGTTGTTTAAACCACCTTGTCTGTAGTACTTTATGGCAGTCCTGCCAAACTAATGCACCAGAGATTAGCAAACTCTTTTAAAATTAATTTTAATTTTTGATTTTTTGAGGCAAGGTCTCACTCTGGCATCCAGGCTGCAGTGTAGTGGTGCGATCGTGGCTCACTGCAGTGTTGACCTCCTGGGCTCAAACGATCCTTCCTCCTCAGCCTCCCTAGTAGCTGGGACCAGTGCTACCATGCCTGGATAATAGCAAACTTTTTCTTAAAGGGCTAGATAATAAGTGTGTTAGTTTTTGTGGGCAAATGGTCACTGTTGCAAATGATCAGTTCTGCTGTTGTGCAAAACCAGCCATAAATGAAATGTAAACAAATGGTCATAGCTGTATGCCAACACAATTTTATTTACATAACCAGGCGCTGGCCAAATATGGCCTGCAGGCCATAGTTTGCTGAGCCCTGATCTATACTGACCAGGTTCTGTGCTGGGAGAATGAAGCCTCACTCAGCCTGAAGGAGTGCACAGTGTGGTGTGGAAGACAAACAATGAAACAATTCTACACAGGATGGTTAGCGTAGAGTGGGAAACTCAGGACAGCGAGGGGAACAAGGGAGGGGTGTGTGGTCTAACTTGGGGGTGGCTGGGTAAGGATGGGGATAGTCTCCTTGGAAGAAGTGAATGTGTGAGCTATGTATGGACTGAGACACATTTTACTTGATAATTCTTTTTTATCCTCCGCAATGAACTTATGGTCCTCCAGGCCTCAGGTTAAGGTCTTGAGCCCGCTGGCTGGAGTCTCTCCAAGGGTAAGGTGACTGTGTCAGTGGTCTCCAAGGTGCTTCTGGCTCAGTCAGACAAGGACCCTGGGGGATGTTGCCCTCTCAGTGTGGGTTCCAGTCCCCTTCCTGAGCTTTCTCATTCTGCGGCCCACTGAGCTCATAGAGTGACCTGGATACCCTGGCCCCAGAATACCACCTCCCTAGCTGCTGCATTCCATGGCTGTGCTTCCCAGCTAGCCTGCCTGCATCCAAGTCATTGAAGGATGACACACCAGAGAAGCCCCTGTGATCATCAAGGCTGAATGGCTGGAGGCTGAGGGTGGCTCACACTTTGGGTTTGGGTCTTTCAAGCAGCACTGCTTTTCTACAGGATGCTGGAGTGAGGAAGAACCTTAGAACTCAGAAAATTCAGCTTCCTTATTTTGCAGATCTGGGGAAAGTGGCCCAGACAAGGCAGTGGCTTGCCTAGGCTTCAAATGGGCCAGGAAAGAATTCAGACTTCCTGCCTCCGGGGCTGAAGGCCGGGGTTGCCTCTTTCAACCACTCATAGGGTAGCCTGTGGGAAGCTCAGCTCTCAGAAGACATTACCCTTTTCCACAGTCTTCATCTCTATTTTTTCAGCAGGGGACATTATATTTTTTCTGGCAATAAAATTAATATATATTAATTGCAGAATATTTCAAAACTATACAGAGGTGTTAATAAACAGAAACATTCATTTATGATGTTACCTCTCTGAAATGATCACTATGGACACATTGGCCTATTTTCTTTAAGTTACTTTGCCATTTTTTTAAACCATAATTGAATTCTGATTTTTAATACAATTTTGATATTTACTTTTTGTGCTTTAATCTTTTAAGCATTTTCCTTGCCATCAAAAATCCCCAACCATCATCTTCCTTTCCCTTTGCTGAGCTTGAATCTACTTGATTCACGCTTTCTCTGGGCAACAAGCTATTTATGAGCCAAACAGGATGGAAGGAGCCCTTGGGATGGCATCAAGAGCTGGAGTTCTGTCCTGCCTCTGCTGTTGACTTGGTGGTGAAGAGAATCTGGTCTCACCCATTGACTGGTCCTCATTTTTTTCATTTTTATGTAAGAGCGCTCGTCCGAATGCCCAGGGTACCTTCTGGCTCCAGAATGCTGCTCTATGTATTGCTTTTTTCTGTTAATGTGCTTAGATAGATTTGCTGACAGGTAGTTAAGAAAACTTTCAAACTAGCTTTGCTTAAACACAACATGACTCTAAATTCACTGCATCAGGAATGCTTTGAACAATTAAAGAAGACAGATTGCTCCATAGGGACAAACAGCTGAATGTATAAATTGGAGATCATATTTCAATTCATGGCACTATTTAATGATAGTTTGAAGATGGGGAAGGTAGGAGGAGTGAATGGTGGGAAATCAGTCTCACTTCAGAGGGTCTACAGATAACGCTTCTCTTTCTAACCTTCTTTCTGACCCTTTCCCTCCTTTGTGGTTCTTGAGGCTCAACCCTGGTCTTTTCCTCTTTCTCTGGTAGAACTGAGAGTGAGTAAGCTTTCTTTTATACTATACTCCTGTGTGTGTGATGGCTGGGGTGGTATACTTTGGATTTTATCATAAAGCTAGAAGGAAATCCAAGCTGAAGGGTTTTGATTTGTGTAAGTGTTTCACGGGCTTTGGAGGTGAACTGACCTGGATATGAAGCTTGGGTCTGGCATTTTTACTTTGGGCAACTGCTCTGAGTCTCAGTCTCCTAATCTGAAAAATGGAGATGGTAATGTCTAGCACAACAGAATTATTGAAGGGAATACATGAAACAACATTTATAACATACCTAGTATATTTAGGAACACTAGAAGGCATACTATAATTATTATAATGTACTAGGCTTGCACGTGTGAATAATTTATATATTAGTTGTAAAGAGTGTGCTAACATTTTCAGACATAATTCTCAAGACACACTACCTGTAGCCTCTAGCATGAATGTGTGCATTCTCTGTGTACAGAATGCATAGCAAATGAAATTCCTTTATAATCATCTGATAATTTTTCCTTGAGCAATGACAGAATTTTAAAAACTTTCTCTAGGAGAGATTTTGATAAGAGCTTTAGGTTGATTACTTTTTATATCCCATGTCCTGTTTGGCTGATAAGCTCCCAATCTCTGCATTTCATATTGTTTTTATCTTCCTGGGCTGTACCCACCTTGTGACTGTCATCTTTTCAGTAGTCAGAATAAAATTGAAGGAAGACAGAGCGGGAGTGAGGCATTGGGAAGGGGTGGCTACACCCCCAGGCAAGGGTGACAGGTCAGTGCTTCCTTAGAAAAGGCTGTTCTGGTGGCAGGCATTAAACATAATCTCTAGGACACAGGTCCTTTTACTAATTTGGTACACAAAGTGTGGCTCTCTTATTATGTTGAAGCTGTAGGCTTCCTCTTTCTTGAGCTAATGAAATCCTGGATTTTCACAATAGCTGCTTCAGTTCAATGTACCTTTTAACCCCATTATTTCTTGGGAACCAATATATTATGAGAGTCAGAATTTTACAGTGGAAAGGGACCTCGGAAAATACTCAGTTCAGACTTTTCCTTGTCAAGAGGGAGCCAAGTCTAAGGGAAGACAAGAGACTTTCCCAAGTCACTCATCAGGTTAGCGATAGCAGCACAGAATGTTAGTGCAGCTTCCTGTCTAAGGGTTTCATAGGGGCCTTACTGTAGATGGGTTTGCCTTTGAGTTATTCATAATTGCACTGACATATTTATGGTTAAGTGATCTATTCTGGGTAGCTCCTTTCATAGTATGGTTTCAGTTATCAATAATTACTTGAGCTTATAAAGCCATGATTTTACAGAGCTCCTTCAGAGGCTGTTGGGAGAGAGATTCAAACAATTTTGGAACCATTATGCTGGATCCTCATTTGGAAAGCCTATAAAACTAGCACTTCTTATGGAATGGAGCCCAAAAAGAACCTGTTCCTGATTGAGAACTATTACGGATGGAATATTTGTGTTCCAATTCATGTGTCAAAATCCTAATCCTAGTGTGAAAGTATTAAAAAGTTTGGACTTTTGGGGGTGATTACATCATAAGGGTGGGGCCCTCATGAATGAGATTGGTGCCCTTACAAGAAGGAAGGGCTAGGAGAGCTTCCTCTTCTTTTTTCTCTCTGCTATGTGAGGACACAACATGAATACAGCTGTCAGCAAACCAGTAAGTGTCCTCATCCAGGACACTGGATCTGTCAGCACCTTGATTTTGGACTTGTCAGCTTCCATAATTGTGAGAAATAAATGTTTGTTGTTTAAGTTTCCCAGTCTATGGTAATTTGTTATAGCAGCCTGAACTGACTAAGACAATGACTGTGATGGACACTGGTTTGCTCAACATCCATTTCAATCTCCTTCTATCATGCCTTCTTATAATATGGATCTCGGAAAGCTACAAACTACATTCCTCAGAATGCCTGTGGCTGGATCTCCACCATTAAGATACATCTATACAAGGGTGAAATGTTATACAAACGGGCTTCTATTATTATTATTATTATTATTATTATTATTATTATTATTATTATTATTATTTGCTGGCAAGGATAGTCATAGAGGCATTTGATTTTTTATGTGGCTACAGCAGACGTCCCTAGTGGGACATCTGTTTGAATCATAGCAAAGGTAGAGTACATTCTGGAGCCAGCACAGGCAGTGGTGGCTTCCTCCTCTCTTAGGCAACTTCCTGTTTCTACATCTTCCTGATTATAGTAGGGGCAGCCACTTTCTTAGAAGCTCAATTCTGCTGTAAGACTTTAAGAATTATTCCTGGAAGCTAAGCCTAGGTTCAGTTTCTTCAGCTCTTAGTAATTCTGCAAGCCAGGGGTTGGCAAACGTTTTCTGTAAGAGACCAGACAGTAACTGTTTTAAGTTTTGCTTGCCATATGTTCTCTGTAATAACCCTTTAACTCTGACATTGTAGAAAGAAAGCAGCTTTAGACAATGTATAAATACATGTGTACAACTGTGTTACAATAAAACTTTATTTATAAAAGCAGGCAGATTTGGTCTGTGTCCTGTAGTTTGCTGATCCTTGTATAATACATCCCTTTCTGCTTTCCAGCTAGAGTGAATTCTTCTTCTACCGTTGAACACTGACCAATGCAGAGATCTCCAAATCCAAGAATGGATGAAGTATGAGAAAGGATGAAAGGGAGTTTATGCCACAGATTTCTGGTTCAGGGGCTAATAAGGACATAAAGTATGCATAAAGCTAGGTGTAAGCTTGACAATGATCTTTTTCTATTGTACTGTGCCTTTCTTTTTCAAAGTGTTTTCATGTGCAATATTTCATTTGACCTTCACAACACCTTGTGAAGGTCAGGGATATGAGCAGCTATAGTTGGAAAATCTTGGAAATACTCAGAAAGGTTATAACTTTCTCAAGGCCACCTGGCTTATAAAAAAGTGAGGTAGAACTTGAAACCAGGCTTACTGCCTCCCAGTCCAGTGCTTCTTCCAGGGATCTATTCTGGTCTTAGGAGCTTGCTACTGAAGCTGGAATGACTTCAGATGAAGAGCCTGACAACATTTGGGATGCCACTTGTGGAAGTTTTGACAGTATTAAGAAACTTTGTGTAGAAAGGCCTGGTAGGAACTGTCTACACTTTTGCTAGTCAATTTGTGGCCTATGGCCAGCAGCACTTGGGAGCTTGTTAAAAAAGCAGACTCTTAGGCTTCATGTCAGATCTACTGAATTAGAATCTGCTTTTAAACAAGATCTCCAAATGATTCACATACATGATAAAGTTTGAGAAGTATGGGTAGACTATTCTTCAAAAAGAAGTGCTTAAAATTGAATTGCCAAGGCTCAGGAGATATAGTGTACACAGCACAGTCAGAACCCAAGGCCATGGGAAGTTAAGTAGTATTAAGAGGAGATATTAAGATGTCACTGTTATGCTATTTCGCTAGGAGACCTGGGGATATCTGAACCTCCCTTGACCAGCCATTGCTCCTTTTCAGGGGGAGATGTATGCTCAAGGAGGAAAAACAAAGTAAAATAAATCCTAAGATAGAAATGGAGTGAGCATGTTCCACATAAAATATTTTTTATGTTTGCATTTTCTTATTTAATATTGCCCCAACAATCCTGTAATATAGGTGTGGTTATTTTGTTTTCCATTTGAGGTGTATCATCATCATCATCATCATCATCACTGCCACAAACCCTGCATAGCTTGTAATACTGTTCTAAGTCCTTCATACATATAATAGACTTCATCCTTAGGATAATTTTATGAAGCAGCTTTACTTTCCAGATGGGAAGACTGAGGCACAGAAAATTTAAGTAACTTGCCCAAGGTCACACAACTAGTATGTGATAGGGCTCGGATTCAAGCCCAGGCAATTGGTCTTCAGAGCACATTCTTATAATTCCTATACCACATCCCTTTGCTGAGCAGAATGGCCAACTTGCTTGAGATCACACAGCTAACAAATGGTGAAGGCAAGGCTTATACCCAGCATAGTCTCACTCCAGACTTGGTCTCTTTACCACAACACAGTGTTCTCAAACAGGGAGAGACTCCTGGAATCCAACTTGGACTTCCTGCATCTGCTATATAATTTTAAAAAAAAACAAACCGAGAGATGATTCTATTGCCCAGCTCTGGTCAAGCTGCATGGTACTATCCTATTCTGCCTTTTTGCTCAGTTAGACATCTTTGTAATTTCTACCGGATTGTTAGTTCATTAAAGACATATTGTGTGTTTTATTTATCTCTATGTCTCCAGTGCCTAGTTCAAGACTTGTCTCACAGTAGGTCCCCTATCAATGTTTGTGATTATAAGTGACCTGATTACTGCCCAAAGACCCCTTACTTTGGGGCAGTGGTTCTCAAACATGAGCATGCATCACCTGGAATATTTGTTAAAACAGCAATTACTGGGCCCCACCTCCAGAGTTTCTGATTCAGTAGGGCTTAAACATTTGCATTTCTAACAAGTTGCCAGGAGATGCTGATGCTGCTGGCCTGGGGACCACACTTTGAGAACCATGGGCCTAAGAAAACTTTAGAGAGGAAAAAAAATTGGGCAGGGCTTTGAAGCTTTCACAGGGAACACAGACAAGTGAGGAATGTTATTGTTATACTATTTAAAGTGCATGTTTCAAGAGATAACTCACTATAGCTTTTTACGAATACCTGACCCCATAAATCAATATGAGAAAATATGACATATGATAATATTCATATTGAGACAATTGTGTCTTTAATTTTATCATATTCAGTTATGTGGAACAGTGCAGATGTAGACATTAGTAATCATCAACTAATTGGGAATGCATGGTCAATCTTTTAATTTTCTAAAAATCTGTCATTATTAGAAATTCATCATTACAAGGTAGAGTGCATTTACTTGGTATTGATTTGAATGTAAAACATTTCATTAAGACATATTTGAGTTAGAAATTAGAAAAGGAAATCTTATTTAAAACATAAATGGACAAAATAGACAGGCAAAAGGCTACATGCTATTATTTGCTCCTACTGATTCCTAGCAGAGTGGAGACAGTTGGTCATTGAGGCCAATAGTGCATGTGTAGAGCAAACTAGCATATAACCTAGGAGATCTGAGATCCCTTTAGTCTTCTTTGTTTGAGCATTTTATCCCAGAAAAAGGGATAGGAGGTGGAGCAAGAGATGTTTCTCTTTGACAGTCTTTCTCCTTTCTAATCAGATTCTCCCAGGAATCACATCCTGAGAAAAATGTAGATAACCTGGAGCTACCCAGAGGATGATGTCCAGTCTGGAAAATTACAGGTAAGAAGGAAGCAGAAGTTCCTCCTAGAGAAGGAAGCAACCTTTGTATCTTTTCTTGAATTTCTAAACACTCTTGGTGTGTTGCTGTCTGACAGAGCACATTGTAATCTATGAATTTGCTAACTTATCTCTCTCTCCTGTCTCACCACTGAGTTCCTTGAGAGATGGGATTAGGTCTTATTTACCCCTAAATCTCTAGCATCAAACATAAATCTTTGAATAGTATGAGACCTCAATAAATGTTTGTTGACTTTAAATATTGGAATGTTGTCTTGGGAATAGGCAGTGCACTTGGTCTGTGTGACCCCACATGACAGAACTGGTTGAGAGTGGATATGAAGAGGGAAATGTATTTTGGTCCTATTCAATCAGTTTTTACATCTACATTTATATGAGTAATAATGGTACTTGGGAAGAGTAAATGAGATGATTTTGTAACAGGCTTGCACAGTGCCTGGAACATAGTAAATATTCAAAGTTTTCTATTATTATTACCATTATCAAATAGCCCCTTAAATTTCCATAGCTTAAATTCTAAGTTTTCATGGACATCATGGTTTTGGGCAAAATTTCCATTCCTCCTTTTCCCTTCTCTTCTTCCTCCCTTTCCTTCTTCTTTCAACTATGATTCATCCTATCTTTCTACTAATCTATCTATCCAACTGCCTAATTGCCTATCCACTCATTCTCTCATCTACGCTTTCATCCATTCACACCTCTATTTAATTACTTACTTACTTAACCTAGCCATTCATCTTTAATTGCATGGCTGTGCTGTAGTGGAAAGTGTCTGAATACAGCCATATCACACCCTATTAGTTGAATCCTTGAACAGTGTTGGCTGTAATAGACAGTGGGGGACATTGATATTGGTATTTAGTATGGCTGAGAGGTAGACTGTGGACCCTGTCCAAGTGACATTTCATGGCATTTCTGAGAGCCATTGAGGTCTGCGGTCCCCATCAGGGCACTCCGGGAAGCCACTCAAAACAGCAGTATCTGAGCTGTGATGTGCACATTTACAATTAGATGGTATTATTCATCATAGTAATATTTTATTTAAAGAAACCAATAAAGCAGATGGAGACTGCTGAAGATGTGACTATTTTAGCTGGCATGTTTGTTCAGCAACTGGCACAATAACAGAGATGCAGAAAGGAAGATGAGATGGGAAACACCGATTATTTTTTCTTGGAGAGGGGAACTGAGATCACAGTTTTGACCTTCACAAAGCTTAAAATTATCTGGATTCTAGTAATTTCAAGATGATCATGAGATACTTGGTAGAGTGGGAAAAAAAATAAGGCTGTGACTTTTACATCTGATTCCCTTGTGCAGCTGAATTAATTGAAGTGCAATATCTAGAGCAAGTCCAATGATCCTAAAAATGTAGCAGAAAGAGCATGGGTTTGGTGTTGTTCAGATCTGGGTAGGGATTCCTGCTCTTCTGCTTGCCAGCTGTGTGTCCTTGGGCAAGTCATTTAATCTTTCTGAGCTTCAATTTCCTTATAGGTAAATGAGATATAATAATACCGTTATATTATTCAATGAAGATTAATGTGAAATAATGTTGATAAAGCAGATGACAGAATGCTAGATGTAGCTCGATACATATTGGTTCCAACACTACATGCTAATCAGGTCACACGTGGAATATTGTGTGCTTTTCTGCACAAATGCTATAGTAGTTTAGTGTGTGCCCTGAAGAGTGACCAGGATGATGAGGGACTTGAATTCACGTCCTGTGTCCAGTTGGAAGGGGATGAAATATCTAATCTGAAGAGGATAAACTTGAAAGAGGCAATACTGAGGTCTTTAACTATTAAAGTTGTTGGAGAAAGAGTGTATAGACTTATTGTAGATATTTCCCCCAAGAGACAGATGAGTGAAAGCTACAGGCAGATACATTTCAGCTCAAATATGAAATAAATACTCCAACAAGAAAACAACTTGTACAAGTGAGTACAACATAAGGGAAGGGAAGAGGCTGCCTGGAAGAAGAGATGAGCACTCTAGATCTTGAGAGTGCAGTGGTGTCCCAGACAGCCTGGGGACATTGGCAGTGTTGGATTATCCTGGGCAGGGAAACATGAGATGTGAAGGCTTGGTGAACTGGAACAGCACAATGTACCTAGGGAGCCACACTCTGTTGGCAAACTCTTGAACTTGGATGAGGTGGGGTTGAGGCAAGTGGCAGAATGTGATAGGTATTGAGGGATCAGGAATATCTGAGTTTAGAGATATTTCTGAGATAATGGAAGGTTTTTAGCTGGAGAATAGTATGTTTGGATTTATCTATCATAACAGAAAAAAAAGTCACAAACAGGACAGACACAACAGCCACTTCCAGCTCTACCATTCAGTGTGTAATCTTGGGCAAGTCATTTTAGGCCTCTAAGAAACACATGTAAAATGGAGTTCATAATTCTGCATTGCTTTTGGGGGGCACAGGGGCGCTGACATAAAAACTGAATGCATGATGGATGTTGAAACACATGAGAAGACTGCACAGTGCCCTGACCAGTTAAAGGATGATTAACTTCTTGCTATTTTCCCTGACTCCTGGTGAAGATAAGGAATGGGACAAAGGTCTGAGAAGAGTCATCTCTAAAGATCTTGGTTCCTTTTTTGCAATTTTTTTTTTTAACTTTGACCAGCTCAAACCAACCATAGTGATATCCTGATTCCCTATCTCATTTCATAGAGCCAAGGGGAATCAAAAATGTTCTGGCTCTTCCTTGTGGTCTCTGCCAACACTTGCTGTGCAGCCAGATGTTGGGGTGCCTGAGCTGTGTAAATTGCAAAGTGCTGTTGCATAGGAAGATGCTGTATCCACATCTCACATCTGTATTAAAGCATCAGTCTCATGGTATTATAAGATGAAGCCTGAGAAAGATTATAGTGTGCTATGGTTCCTAGATCCTCCATCTAAAAATTGGAAATCAAATTCCTGACACCCAAGGCTATTATAAGGATCAAATGAGATCTAATAAAGTACCTGGTATATAGCATATATAATTAAAAACAACAAGAAGAAAAACAAGAATACAAACTGTAAGAAACAGTAATCATTTAATGGGATATACAAATTAACATAAATATATAGTTTAAATATATGTATATGTAGCATGTAGCCAGGTACTTTTGTTGTTTGAATTAGAAATAAAATCAAGAAAAAAAAAGGACTGAATAAGCCTGTGTGAATATGTTTCTTCAACACTAAGACAAGACTTGCACTTTGCATTAGAATGTTCTCCAGCCCAGAGTGTGATTGTGTCTCAGCCAAGCTACAGAACAATTCTGGAGGCACAACCTCTACAAAGTCATGGAGGTGGGCCCTGTAGCCCAAGGAACATCAATACAGACTTCAATTACGGCTCCTGGGTACTGGTGACAGCCACAGCTTTGAATGGCTCTTCACAGCTCTTCCACCTTATTGAGCTCTCGATTGCTTTATTTCCTTGGAAAGCTGTTGTATCTTCTCTACTTGCTCCCATTGTGGACTGAACCTGCACCCACTCTCCAGGTGCCTGCCTTTTTAAATGGAGTCTGAAATTCTACTTTTCCATGGAATGGCTCCTTATCTCTCTGGAAGAGGCTCCTGGGTGGTCCTACCAGAGGTAGAGGACTGGCCCTGGTAGCTATGACAGAGCTCTCTGAATTCTGCTTATGAGTGGCTGTGGGACAGGAGCAGGGACATTCTTAGGATGAGCACTGACTGCTTGCTTTCTCAAGGTGGCTTCCAGAGTATCCTCAACTTCAGCTCATAGAAATGAATTTTGGGGAATCCCCAACATCAACCTGGATACATTCTTACCATTTTTGGAAGGATTTTTCCTCATACCATCTGGAATTTGACAGTATTTATAAGAGGTCATAGCGTTCTCTTCAATATTATATAGTAGCAGTATTATACAGTAGAAACATTTTGATACTTAAAGTTAGACCATCACTAGAGTTTGAGTCTGGGATCTACTCCTTATTAACTTATTCTAGGAAATTCTTTCAAACTTTTATGCCTCAGTTTCCACATGTTAGAAGTGGGAATGATAACCAACTTTTTAGAGTTATGATTTCTGAAAGATAATGTAACTTGCCTGAAACCTAACCCCATTCAATGTTATATTTCAAATGTCAAAGTAATTGACAAGCCATTTAGCTCTTTGTCAAATACTCTCTCAAATACATGAAGTGTAGGATATATTTATAACAAACAACAAACTTTATTGAAACATTTCTTTCTCCATCACTCTATTTCTCAATATCTTTCACACATCACCATTTCTCCAAGACTTTCTCCTTCTGTACACCATTGTGTCCAGAGTCTCTCATAAAAAACAGCTTGTGAAACCTCCCTGGTCTCACTTTTCTCCTATTTCTGCCTTTCTTGGCTTTGCCCCAAAAAAGGAGGGCCCTGGAACTAATATTACAAACCTGAATCCTTCTACCATAGGAAAGGGAAAGGGAGGGTGAGGTACAATCACAAACACTTACAACCTGAATAACTGAATGGGGAGTGAAGAATTGGCTACCAGAACCCAAAGCTAGAAGCAAAGGGATGATGAGTGCCACATCCTAAGGAAAATTTGCGGTGGGCACACATCACACATTCCAACCTGACCTCCTCCCCCACTCACCCTGCCAGCTGTTTAGAAAGACTAGGGAGACAGAGGGAAGTCCTTCAACTGTGTCATTAGCCTAGCCCATGCACAGGGTGAAAGAATCCTCTGTAAAGACTGGGGGTATGAGCAAGAAGCAGAGACACATTTCTCCTTCTCTAGCTGTGAGTCTGTTTCGCTGCAGAAACAGACTTAGAACTAGGGAAGTCTTTCACTGGTGTACTACATGCCCATCTGAGCAGGAGGTACAGACAATTGGAGAGGGATGGAGTCAATAGTAGAACAGAGAAGGGGTAGCAGCTGGGCAGCTTACACTCTCCGTGCGTGGAATGGTAAGGAGGGGTGAGTTTTCTCAGAGTCAAGGGTCTACCATGGAAAGCAGCCAATCTACAGCCATCTGGTATGTCTTATCTAAAAGACTGGCTGCTGGGAGTGAGGACTGGCTGTAATAGTCCGTGGGGTAGATCACACTGGATGGAAGCTGGGGCAGAAGGGCAGGTTTCGAAGAGGTTGGCCAAGGTGTGAGTTTCCTTCCTCACCAGAGAGCTGCCCCTGCTGGCTCCTGAAGAACTCTTACCTGTGTCCACAGAAGCTCCAGTGTTTGGACATCTGCCATCTACAGGACATTGTGCCCAGCCTGAGAAGCTCACAACAGAACCCAGATAAGTAACAGAAACTTGTTTCCTTCCATCTTTCATTATGGGCATGCTTACCTCCCTGTTATCTCCATGACAAGTTGGTTAGGCCAAGGCCTGGCTAGCCCTTGTGGGGAGAGGATGAGATAAGCATTAAATAGGAGATTAGATTGAAGTTTAAAATGAGGCTGGGCACTTTTAGACCTGAAAGCAATGAGGAAAGTATGAAATCTGCCTCAGGTGTCATTAAGGGGTGAGAAAGGAAGATTTGACAACATGGTTGAAGGTGGTGATTAGAGAAAATATAAAACCTGTTTATATTTGTGGCCTGCTGAGTTCAGACTGTTCAATAAGCCAGTTACATGTGATGAATTTTCTTTTATCTCTGATACAATATAGATGAAAATTTTCTGTAAACTGGGATGTACTATACAAATATTAGTTATGATTAATAATCATTATAAAAGAGTAGAGAAATAACATGAAGTTTTTCTTGACATTCTCAATATTATTTTAGAAATCCAAAGCATAATTCCTGGTCTGGAGTGAGGTAGAATTAACCTAGCACATGGCCATTGGGGAGCAGGGCAAGTGAAGTTCTTTTGATACAAGAGCTGTTTGGCTCAGGATTCTGTCTGGGCAGGGGGTATCTAATTCCACATTCTCCTTGATGACATCACCGTTTCTTGCAGACATTGAAGATTCTTTGAATATCTCTCCTACTCTTATCTCTTCAAGCTGTAGCTAAAATTTTAAATTCTACTTCTGAAATGCTTTCATTACCAATCCTCTCTCTCTACCTCTATTTACAAAATACAAACCACTCAATGAGTGTCAGGTACTGTATAGTCGTGTTCCTTCATGCCTCACAGCAGCTCCATGAGGTATGTACTACATCATCTCCAATATACAGATGAGAAGACTGAAACTCTGAGAGGGGAAATAACAGACCCACACTCAGATGGCTAGCAGGTGGCAGGTGGCAGAAGGGAATCTTGACCAAGAGACTTACCATAGCCTAAGTGGTTCCCCATGTGTATTAGTCCATTTTCATACTGCTGTGAAGAAATACCTGAGACTGGGTAATTAATTAAAAAAAAGAGGTTTAGTGAACTCATAGTTCCACATGGCTGGGGAGGCCTCACAATCATGGCAGAAGGCAAAGGAGGAGCAAAGCCATGTCTTACATGGTGGCAGGCAAGAGAGCTTGTGCAGGGGAACTGTCCTTTATAAAACCATCAGATCTCATGAGACTTATTCATGATCATGAGAATAGCATGGGAAAAACCTGCCCCATGATTCAGTTACCTCCCACTGGGTCCCTCCCATGATATGTGGGGATTATGGGAGCTACAATTCAAGATGAGATTTGGGTGGGGACACAGCCAAACCATATCACCATGTGAATTCTCTCCATTTCCATCCATCCTCCACACTGCTGCCAGAGTGCTCTTTCCAAGTCTGCTGGTGCCATTGTCCTGATTAAAACCCCTAAATGATGTTTTAATGTCTTTGGGCATATTCCACAATCTCAGCTTCATGTGTGCCCTCTCCATGAGCCAACTCTAGCCTCTCTCAGGCTCTCTACTCCACAGAGCTCCTGGACCACATCACAGCATCGCAGTCGTGGAATACGACTGCTTTTTTTTTTTTTTTCCAACTTGCTTTTTCTGCCTGGATACCTGATGGTCATTCTCTGTCCTTCTTCAAGTACTGGAGAAGGACTGTCCAAGCACAGCCTGATGCACATACTTCACTCCACTACAGGCAGTTATGTGTGATGGCCAAAGCAGAGGCTCAGGAGAAAGACAGAACTGAGTTAAGCCTCTTCCTAGCTACATGAACTAGGATACTTCGTGGAAGAAAATTTTTCCATGGGGTGAGGAGCAGGGGGATAGTTTTGGGATGAAACTTCCACTTCAGATCATCAGGCATTAGTTAGATTCTTATAAGGAGCATGCAACAGAGATCCCTCACATGCACAGTTCACAATAGGGTCCATGCTCCTATGAGAATCTAATGCCACCACTGATCTAACAGGAGACAGAGCTCAGGTGGTAATTCTCGCTCACCTCCTGCTGTGCAGCCTGGTTTGTAACAGGCCAGAGACCCATATTTGTCCATGGCCCAGGGGTTGGAGACCCCTGCTTTATAAGACAATGAAGGGAGACCTGAGCTGCCACACTCAGCCTCCTCATATGGGATGCCCTGTGCCACCTCAGGACCCTGCAGAGAGTCCCCATCAGCAAGAAGGCCTTCAGCAGATGCGCCTCCTTAACCGTGGAATTCTCAGCCTCCAGAGAAATACATTCCTTTTCTTTATAAATTACCCTATTTCAGGTATTTTATTATAAGCAACAGAAAATGGTCTAAGACCTTTTGCACCTTCCGAGAGCATTTCCTGAGATGTGGCTGGGGGGAATGGGAGTTATACTATCTTTTATAATATGTAATCCCGAGGGGTAGGCATTCTACAATTGAGGAAACCAAGGCCTGGAGCAATTAGGAGATTAGGATTAGCCTCAACCTTTCAGGATTCACCAGGCAATAAGGAGTTGAAGACAAATCTGGAACCAGATTCATTTAAATTCAAACACAAAATTCTTTCTTCTATACCAACCTGCCTTGTATGGTGGATGAGATACTTGACTACTCTTAAAGAGACTTTCTAATCTCTTGCTCTCAAATGATGAGATGATTAAGTGAATGAATAAATGAATGAGTAATAAAGCATTAATTGGTTAAAAGTAAACAAGAAGACCTCGCAAGGTAGCAAAGGAGAGTATGACTTTAAGTGCAAGTATTCAAAGCTAGCAGAGGCCCTTCCCAGATCCCTTAGAGGTAAGATGCAGACTTAGGCTATTCAGAACTCAAGTATTTAAGTGTGTTAGTGTCTTCAGAATAAATGGACAAATATTTTAACTTTTGCGAGTTAGTTCCTAAGAAGTTAAAAATAAAGATGTGGCTTTGTCCCACCTCCCCACTATCTAGACCCAATCAAAGCAATACTACTGTTATCAAGTTGATACTTGGGGTCTCATTAAATATTCCTTTATAAATAAGGATTCTGTGCTTTAAAAGAAATAGTTGGAAACCACAGCTCTAAGTGATCAGCTGCCACAAGATGGCTTGGGACAATCTCCAGAGCAGGGGAGGGAGGGATGGTTGACAGATACTGTTTAGCCGAATGCCACTATTCCTCCCCCACTTCCAATCTCTTTTTACTCAAACACATGCCTGGCTGATGTTCATAGCTTACAAACACCTTTCACACACATTATTTCAGCTGATTCCAACAATGACTCTGAAGATTACACAGGAGTGTGTCCCCTCCAATTTAAAGATGAGAAAACTAAGGTTGGAAACAGTGAGCAGCTACAAAGTGGCAGAGCCTAGGCTGGGACATCCATGTTCATCTCTCTCTGATTTTGTCGGTCAGTCTTTGTGGTAACTTTTCGCTAAGCAGATCCAATTTTGCTATAAAGTTATTTAGAAGAAATACAAGCCAGAAGTTTTGCCTGGTCTAAATTCGGCATCCTCTACTCTAAAAAGCATGTGTCTAATTTGGGGATGGGGCCCTAGAAAGAGAAGAGTGCCACCAGACTTGGAGCTCAGGGAGAATTGCATTTCAGAAATGTAACCCCATATGTGTAAAATTTCTTGCATCTCTGCTGGTCACAGTAACTTGGAGGGGGAGGGGGAGGGTCTAACCCACTGAGGAATGTGGCATCTCTTGGGTACTTTTCTGTCCAGGCAACCTAGCATTTGTTACAGCTTTTTCCACAATAATCCAAGGACCAACTCCCTCCTAACAAAATATAGGCACAATGCAGAAAAAGCACTGGATGTGAGTTGCGGTATCTGGTTCCCACCTGGCCTCTACCATTAAATGCTTGGTATTCTTGGATGGTCACATTCCTTCCCAGAGTCTTCTTTGTCATTTATAACCGAGGTGTCCACTCTAACAGTCTATGACTGCAGCAGCCTCTTACTTCCTTCTAAGCTCTGCTTCTCTTGGCTGTGATTGCCAGACTCCAGTCTCTTTGATCTGAGCTAGATAACAACCGGCCTCTCTTGGTCCTTGACAACGTATGGAATATGTCTGGATCTAAACTGAGTCATGTTTCACAGAGATATTTGATGGAGGCCCTTGGAAGGCCACTTGAATAATTTTCTGTATGTCCAGTGAGTTTCTTCATTCCCTGCTCCTGAGCTAATAGGAAGTCATGTGACCTCCCTGTTCAGAAGGTGACCACCACTCATCACTGCCCCAGACCATTTCCTACATGCACAATCAAATGGAGCTACTACAAATCACCTCAACAGTCTCTCTCTTTTTCTCGTGAGGGCTTGGCACTGAGCTCAAAGCCATGATGAACTTTAGGGATCAAATTCCTGCTGCTAGGAGGTTAATTAAAATTCTAGGGCCTGAGGTAGCTTTACTTTCCCTGCTGGGTTGGAGGAGAAGGGTCTAATTGCAATCAATGCAGCCTCCCTTCTATTCCTTCCCCAGGTTTCTCTGACCTGGAAGATAGCTTTAGAGGATGAGAAAGAGGTAACAGGGTAAACAGGTGAAGTTAAGAGGAGGAGAGAGAAAATAAACACAAAGTGACCAATGCAGATAGACAGTTCCTGCATACTCTGTTGGTGGAGTCTACTCTGGGCAGCATCACTTAGAAAAGAACCTGACCTTGAATAGCAAGAGCCTTAAATGTGTTCATGCCATTTGACCCAGTAATTCCACTTCTACAAATCTGTCCTAAGGACCTGATCAGAAATACAAATAAAGCTTTATGCACAGGCATGCTTATCACAGGGCTGTTCAGTATAAATGAATATTGGAAATAATCTAAGTGTCTGATCTGGGATTGGTTATGTAAATTGTGACTCATCTATATAGGATGGAACATTCTGTAGCAATTTAAAATGATGTTAAGGAAGGCATTTTTATGGCATGGTTAAATGCTTATGATGTAATGTTAAGCAAAATCAGGCAGAACAATTTTTAGAAAGAAATTATCAATAATATTATATGCAGATAAAAAAGTGCTTAAGTATCCTGGAAAGAAATATACCAACATGTTAACAGTGGTTGAATTATCAGATGGGATAAAATTTGCTTGAATTTTCCAAATTTTTATAATGATCATGTAATTTTTTTATAATTAAAAAGGAAGATAAAATTAAAGAGAACTAAAGAGCTATTTTCTCCCTTGAAATCACGAATGTTTTGGACCAACCTCTATTGCAATGGCTGTTAAGTCTATAAGCTTAGCCTTAAGCCAGTAGGCTATTTGTTCTATCAACAACCAAATCAAAAAACCCTGTTTAAAGGCTAAAGATTACGTCTGGCGTGGGTGATATTCTGAAACCTGAAGAATCATCTTCTCTAAGGAGCCTTTCCTGGCTCATGTCAGGCACCTCTCCATGTTCCCAGGTCCCTCATATAGACCATCTGTGCTTTACCATTTAAAGGATTTTGTGGTGTTTAGGGATGGGAGGGATCTTAGAGATGATTTAGTTCATATATTAATTCTTTTATTCATGTATTCACTCATTCATTATAAATAACATTTCTTGAGTTCTGAGTTAGGCATTAAGGATCATAATACATGGCCTTTACCTTAGAGCCTCTGACAGTGCAGTGGGTGGGGGCCAGGATGGCCAGCACAGAGTGGGAAACAGGTAATGATAATGAAGTGTGGGAGAGTTTATTCATCCTCTCTGGCACATAGTGCCCACTAAATGTTTAATGAATGGATGAATTGTGCACTGAGAGGGGTCACAAAGGGTGCTATGTGACTTTGAGGGAAAGATACTCAACACAATTCAGCGCTGGTAGTATTCAAAAAATAACTACTGTAGGGGTATCCCATCTTACTAATGAGGTCCATATATTATACAACTTGATAAAGGTTCAAAGTGCTTTGGTGACAGGGCTGAGCTTTGAATTCAAGTTTTAGAACTCTCAGTTCTTCCAACTATACAGAAGTCTGGATTCACCTTCAGGACTTAGCTCAGGGGTTCCCTTATCTGGGGATCCTGTCATGACTTCTTCACAGATGGTCAGGTGGCCCCCATCAGGGATCCCACAGCCCCCTGTCCTCACTGCATCATAGCACTGCATGTCCAAGTTGGAATTGTTGTTGACTTACCTGCCCCTCTCCCCAAAACACATTTCTTCAGTGCAGGACTCTGTCTTGTTTGCCATTGTATACTTAATGCCACGCCCAGAGCCAGAGCTCGGTAAGTATTTTATGAAACACTTCTAATTGTTCCTAATTAGCGCCAATAAAATAAACATCCTAACTATCCTGGGTGTTGTCTTAAAGCTTAGTTTTCAGGCAAATCGCCCCATTGGTGCTGACTCAGGTCTTGCTGGCTTCTGAGGCTCACTCATCCCTCATCACTTCCAAGTTTTTGCCCTGAGAGCCAACTGTCACCCTGGCTTCCAGTGGTCACACTTTAATGGCAAAACTCAACTTCTTCCTCATGTTCTTGCCACATTTGTTCCTTTCCCAACTCTGCTTTTCTGTGGTAGATGCCGGGGTCACATGTGCCAGGGATATGAGAGATGATAGAGCTGTCCATGCTTGGAGCACCTGGAGGGGTGTGTTTCTTTCATTCTATCCTCCTTCTCTAGCTTAGCTTGGGCTGCGCTATCTCCTCATCAGCATGGTTCTTATCATCACTCTTGCTCCAACACTTACATAAACCTCTGTCTCACACCTAGACCCAACTTGGTGGCCAAAAGTTTGCCTGGGACAAGTAGCTGAGGAAAGAGTAGAATATGGGCAGAGTGGGGGCTTGGAGTCAGGCAAGCTAAGTTTGAATCTCCTTTTGGCTGTGAGAAAGAGACTGCTGTGCAGCTGTGGTTTTTGCCAAGTGGCTTCCATTTGCCTTCTTTTTTGGTAATGGTACCTTGGCATTTCCCTGGGGAATTGCTCTCTCCCACACTGGTCTTCCAGGGTGCAGCACCTGACCAAGCCTAGCAGCACAGAGCCTTCTTCTGGCCACAGTGATGGGCTCAGGGAGGTGCAAGTGGCATGCTCAGAACCAATAAGAGGAAATGAGAGTTCTGATGATACTTTCAGGAAAGAGAATCTCATTTTTTTTTCCTATGGGTTCTGAAACTAAGAGAATCGCATGGGGCTGCAGCTGTTGTTACCATGCTAAAACTTAAAACCAAGCAATGGGCCGGGTGTGGTGGCTCACACCTGTAATCCCAGCACTTTGGGAGGCTGAGGTGGGCGGATCACCTGAGGTCAGGAGTTAGAGACCAGCCTGGCCAACATGGTGAAACCCTGTCTCTACTAAAAATACAAAAAATTAGCTGGGTTTGGTGGTGGGCACCAGTAATCCCACTTACCTGGGGGGCTGAGACAGGAGAATCACTTGAATTTGGCAGGTGGAGGTTGCAGTGAGCCGAGACTGCACCACTGCATTCCAAAAAACCAAAAAACAAAAAAACAAAAAAACACTGAGCAATTTCCGTTCCAAGATGGCCGAATAGAAACAGCTCCATTCCGCAGCTCCCAGTGTGATCAACACAGAAGACAGATGAGGTACCTGGTTCCATTTCCAACTGAGGTACCTGGTTCATCTCACTGGGACTGGTTGGACAGTGGGTGCAGCCCACGGAAGGCAAGCTGAAGCAGGGTGGGGCATCACCTCACTGAGGAAGTGCAAGGGGTTGGGGGATTTTCATTTCTTAGCCAAGGGAAGCCATGACAGGCTGTACCTGGAAAAATGGGACACTCCGCCCAAATACTGCGCTTTTCCAAGTCTTAGCAAATGGCACACCAGGAAATTATATCCCCTGCCTGGCTTGTTGGGTCCCATGCCCACGGAGCCTTGCTCACTGCTAGCGCAGCAGTCTGAGATCCACCTGCAAGGCAGCAGCTTGGCAGGGGGAGGGGTGTCCCCCATTGCTGAGGCTTGAGTAGATAAAGTGGCTGGAGAAACTCGAACTGGGCAGAGCCCACTGCAGCTCAGCAAGGCCTGCTGCCTCTGTAGACTCCACCTCTGGGAGTAGGGCATAACCGAACAAAAGGCAGCAGAAACTTCTGTAGACTTAAACATCCCTGTCTGGCAGCTCTGAAGAGAGCAGTGGTTCTTCCAGCACGGTGTTTGAGCTCTGAGAATGGACAGACTGCCTCCTCAAGTTGGTCCCTGACCCCCGTGTAGCCTAACTGGGAGACACCTCCCAGTAGGGGCTGACTGGTACCTCATACAGGCAGGTGTCCCTCTTAGACGAAACTCCCAGAGGAAGGATCAGGCAGCAATATTTGCTGCTCTGCAATATTCATTGTTCTGTAGCCTTCACTGGTGATACCCAGGCAAACAGGGTCTGGAGTCGACTTCCAGAAACTCCAAAAGACCTGCAGCTGAAGGACCTGACTGTTAGAAGGAAAACTAACAAATAGAAAGGAATAGCATCAACATCAACAAAAAGGACATCCACACCAAAACCCCATCGTAGATCACCAATATCAAAGACCAAAGGAAGATAAAACCACAAAGTTGGGGAGAAACCAGAGCAGAAAAGCTGAATATTCTAAAAACCAGAGCACCTCTTCTCCTCCGAAGGATTGCAGCTCCTCACCAGCAATGGAAGAAAGCTGGATGGAGAATGACTTTGATGAGCTGACAGAAGTAGGCTTCAGGAGGTTGGTAATAACAAACTTCTCTGAGCTAAAGGAGGATGTTTGAACCCATTGCAAGGAAGCAAAAACCTTGAAAAAAGATTAGACGAATGGCTAACAAGAATAAAAAGCATAAAGAAGACCTTAAATGACCTGATGGAGCTGAAAAACATGGCATGAGAACTACGTGACACATGCACAAGCTTCAATAGCCGATTTGATCAAGTGGAAGAAAGGGTATCAGTGATTGAAGATCAAAGTAATGAAATAAAGTGAGAAGAGAAGTTTGGAGAAAAAAGAGTAAAAAGAAATGAACAAAGCCTCCATGAAATATGGGACTATGTGAAAAGACCAAAACTACATTTGATTGGTGTACCTGAAAGTGATGGGGAGAATGGAACGAAGTTGGAAAATACTCTGCAGGATATTATCCAGGAGAACTTCCCCAATCTAGCAAGGCAGGCCAACATTCACATTCAGGAAACACAGAGAACACCACAAAGATACTCCTCAACAAGAGCAAATCCAAGACACATAATTGTCAGATTCATCAATGTTGAAATGAAGGAAAAAATGTTAAGGGCAGCCAGAGAGAAAGGTTGGGTTACCCACAAAGGGAAGCCCATCAGACTAACAGCACATCTCTTGGCAGAAACTCTACAAGCCAGAAGAGAGTGGGGGCCAATATTCAACATTCTGAAATAAAAGAATTTTCAACCCAGAATTTCATATCCAGCCAAACTAAGCTTCCTAAGTGAAGGATAAATAAAATCCTTTAGAGGCAAGGAAGTGCTGAGAGATTTTGTCACCACCAGGCCTGCCCTAAAATAGCTCCTGAAGGAAGCACTAAACATGGAAAGGAAAAACTGGTACCAGTCACTGCAAAAAACATGCCAAATTGTAAAGACCATCAATGCCAGGAAGAAACTGCATTAAATAACAGGCAAAATAACCAGCTAACATCATAATGACAGCATCAAATTCACACATAACAATATTAACCTTAAATGTAAATGGGCTAAATGCCCCAATTAAAAGACACAGACTGGCAAATTGGATAAAGAGTCAGGATCCATCAGCGTGCTGTATTCAAGAGACCCATCTCATGTGCAGAGACACACATAGGCTCAAAATAAAAGGATGGAGGAAGATCTACCAACCAAATGGAAAGCAAAAAAAAAAAAAAAAAAAAAAGCAGGGGTTGCAATCCTAGTCTCTGATAAAACAGACTTTAAACCAACAAAGATCAAAAAAGACAAAGAAGGCCATTACATAATGGTAAATGGATCAATTCAACAAGAAGATATAAGTATCCTAAATATATATGCACCCAATACAGGAGCACCCAGATGCATAAAGCAAGTCCTTGGAGACCTGCAAAGAGACTTAGACTCCCACACAATAAAAGTGGGAGACTTTAACACCCCACTGTCAATTTTAGACAGATCAACAAGACAGAAGGTTAACAAGGATATCCAGGACTTGAACTCAGCTCTGCACCAAGCAGACCTAATAGACATCTACATAACTCTTCAACCCAAATCAACAGAATTTATATTCTTCTCAGCACCACATTGCACTTATTCCAAAACTGACCACATAGTTGGAAGTAAAGCACTCTTCAGCAAATGTAAAAGAACAGAAATCACAACAAACTGTCTCTCAGACCACCGTGCAATCAAATTAGAACTCAGGATTTAGAAACTCACTCAAAACTGCACAACTACATGGAAACTGAACAACCTGCTCCTGAATGACTACTGGGTAAATAATGAAATGAAGACAGAAATAAAGATGTTCTTTGAAACCAATGAGAACAAAGACACAACATACCAGAATCTCTGGGACCCATTTAAAGCAGTGTATAGAGGGAAATTTACAGCACTAAATGCCCACAAGAGAAAGCAGGAAAGATCTAAAATCGACACCCTAACATCACAATTAAAAGAACTAGAGAAGCAAGAGCAAACACATTCAAAAGCTAGCGGACGGCAAGAAATAACTAAGATCAGAGCAGAATTGAAGGAGATAGAGACATCAGAAACTCTTCAAAAAATCAATGAATCCAGGAGCTGGGTTTTTGAAAAGATCAACAAAATTGATAGACTGTTAGCAAGACTAATAAGAAAAGAGAGAAGAATCAAACAGATGCAATAAAAAATGATAAAGAGGATATCACCACTGATCCCTCAGAAATACAAACTACCATCAGAGAATACTATAAACACCTCTATGCAAATAAAGTAGAAAATCTAGAAGAGATAGATAAATTCCTGGACACATACACCCTGCCAAGACTAAACCAGGAAGAAGTTGAATCCCTGAATAGACCAGTAACAGGCTCTGAAATTGAGGCAATAATTAATAGCCTACCAACCAGAAAAAGTCCAGGACCAGATGGATTCACAACCGAATTCTACCAGAGGTACAAAGAGGAGCTGGTACCATTCCTTCTGAAACTATTCCAATCAATAGAAAAAGAGGGAATCCTCCCTAACTCATTTTATGAGGCCAGCATCATCCTGATACCAAAGCCTGGCAGAGACACAACAAA
This sequence comes from Homo sapiens, assembly GCF_000001405.40. Classification (NCBI taxonomy): domain Eukaryota; kingdom Metazoa; phylum Chordata; class Mammalia; order Primates; family Hominidae; genus Homo; species Homo sapiens. Next base: position 79,589,799 of record NC_000011.10, read on the forward strand.
AAAAGAGAATTTTAGACCAATATCACTGATGAACATCAATGCAAAAATCCTCAATAGAATACTGGCAAACTGAATCCAGCAGCACATCCAAAAGCTTATTCACCACCATCAGGTTGGCTTCATCCCTGGGATGCAAGGCTGGTTCAACATATGCAAATCAATAAACATAATCCATCACATAAACAGAACCAATGACAAAAACCACATGATTATCTCAATAGATGCAGAAAAGGCCTTTGACAAAATTCAACAGCTCTTCATGCTAAAAACTCTCAATAAACTAGGTATTGATGGAACGTATCTCAAAATATTAAGAGCTATCTATGACAAACCCACAGCCAATATCATACTGAATGGGCAAAAACTGGAAGCATTCTCTTTGAAAACTGGCACAAGACAGGGATGCCCTCTCTCACCACTCCTACTCAACATAGTGTTGGAAGTTCTGGCCAGGGCAATCAGGCAAGAGAGAAATAAAGAGTATCAATTAGGAAAAGAGGAAGTCAAATTGTTCCTGTTTGCAGATGACGTATTTAGAAAACCCCATCATCTCAGCCCAAAATCTCCTCAAGCTGACAAGCAACTTCAGCAAGTCTCAGGATACAAAATCAATGTGCAAAAAATCACAAGCATTCCTATACACCAAGAACAGACAAACAGAGAGCCAAATCATGAGTGAACTCCCATTCACAACTGCTTCAAAGAGAATAAAATACCTAGGAATCCAACTTACAAGGGATGTGAAGGACCTCTTCAAGGAGAACAACAAACCACTGCTCAAAGAAATTAAAGAGGACACAAAAAAATGGAAGAACATTCCATGCTCATGGATAGCAAGAATCAATATAGCGAAAATGGCCATGCTACCCAAGGTATAGAAGGAACAACCTGCTCAAGGTAATTTATAGATTCAATGCCATCCCCATCAAGCTACCAATGACTTTCTTCACAGAATTGGAAAAAACTACTTTAAAGTTCATATAGAACCAAAAAAGAGCCCACATTGCCAAGACAATCCTAAGCAAAAAGAACAAAGCTGGAGGCATCATGCTACCTGACTTCAAACTATACTACAAAGCTATAGTAACCAAAGCAGCATGGTACTGGTACCAAAACAGAGATACAGACCAATGGAACAGAACAGAGCCCTCAGAAATAATACCAGACATCTACAACCATCTGATCTTTGACACACCTGACAAAAACAAGAAATGGGGAAAGGATTCCCTATTTAATAAATGGTGCTGGGAAAACAGGCTAGCCATATGTAGAAAGCTGAAACTGGATCCCTTCCTTACACCTTATACAAAAATTAATTCAAGATGGATTAATCAAGAGGGCCACTTTGAGGGAAACAGTGACCTTGGATTCAGGGACACTGGAGGGAAGGAGCCAGGGAAATAAATATCCTGACTTTGGATTGCTCCTTCCTCCAGGATTCTGTTGGAGATTCTCATTGGCCAAACCCAACGAGAAGCCAGAGGCTGTGAAAGCCCTGTTGATGGGGCCTGGACAATGTGGGCTCCCCAGACAGTGCAGGGAGAAGAAGGGTTGCAAGCGGATCTGGACAGGCAAAAAGAAAAGATCTGGCACAATTCCTGAATCCAGTCTGCCCCTAGAATGTTCAGATTACTTGAGCCTGTAAATTTTCTTTTTTTTTTTTTGAGACAAAGTCTCACTTTGTCACCCAGGCTGGAGTGCAGTGGCGCAATCTTGGCTCACTGCAGCCTCTGCCTCCCAGGTTCAAGTGATTATCCCACCTCAGCTCCCAGAGTAGCTGGGACTACAGGCATGTGCCACCATGCCTGGCTGATTTTCTGTATTTTTAGTAGAGACCGGGTTTCACCATGTTGGCCAGGCTGGTCTCAAACTCCTGACCTTCAAGTGATCCACCTGCCTCGGCCTTCCAAAGTATTGGGATTACAATGCTGGGACTTGGCCAGCGTGCCCAGCTGAATTTTCCCTTTTTGTAAGTCAGTTGGGTTGCATCTTCTGTCATTGGCAGTCAATTGAATCTCAGGTGACAGTGGCTTAACTGAGCTTGTTTCTTCTGTTGCATTTTTCAAAAATGTTCTTTAATTGTGATAAAATATATGTAACATAAAACATGCCATTTTAACTCTTTTTAAGTGTACAATTCTGTGCTATTGATTACATCTACAATATTATGTAACCATTATGGCTATTTATTTCTAAAATTCGTTCATCACCCCAAACAAAAACTCTGTACCCATTAACCAAGAACTTCTCAATATTCCCTCTTCTCAGCCCCTGGTAATCTCTAATATACCTTCTGTCTTTATAAATTTACTTATTCTAGATATCTCATGTTAGTGGAATCATACAATATCTGAACTTTTGTTCCTGGTTTATTTCACTTAGCATACTATTTTCAAGGTTCATTCATGTTGTAGTATGCATCAGAATTTCATTCTTTTGTGTGACTGAAAAATATTCCATTGTGTGTGTGTGTGTGTCTGTCTGTCTCACACAATTTGTTTATCCATTTATCTGTTGATGGATATGAGTCGTTTCCACCTTTTGTCTCTCATAAATTGTGCTGCTATGAGCTCTTGCTCTGTATTTTAAATACCTACACTACAAGAAGACCAGAGGAGTAAAGGAGCTGATGGTAATAAGATGCATAGTGTCTTGTGGAGGGGACTCACAGATGGTTGTCAGAGCTATTGCAATTGAGTGTCAGGGCACTGCTCACTCGGGGGCCAGTCTCTTGTCAGAAGCACAGGGGGTGAAGGGGAGAAGCCATTGATGTCTGGAGTGTGGAGGCCTACTGACTTAGGGTGTTGTTTTTGAAAATACCAGAAGCCCATAGTAACCTAGTAATTAGACTGGCACTGTCGCCGACGTTTGTTTAATGGTTGAGTGATCAGAAGTTTTCTTTCATTATTTTTCTTTCTCCTGTCAACTCTGGCTCATTAGAAAGGCATGTGAATCTTTCCTTACACATAATTTTCCAACTCTGAAGTGAGAAATTGAACTGAACTCAATTACAGCAGCTGATCTAATGTACTTAATTGCACACAGGAGCTGGGAATTTGGAGGGTTCTTTGGGATATGGGGGTGAACAAAGTGGACTTGGAGTTATTGATGTCACCTCTACCTGTGAGTATGCACATGGTCTCCAGGCCACCTCTCCCCCGTCTCTAGCACACATTTGTGTGTACACATAGAGGAAATGCAGATGCTGTAACATCATGTCCTCTGAGGTGGTGGCACTTCCTCTTATGGTTTGGCTTATGAATTTACAATTGCTTTCAAATACTAATTCAGAAGCGTGCATAAGTTTTTTAAAAATATGTTTCCCCGCTGAACAACTGCAGCAAAACTAATGAAAAAAAGTTATGCAAAGAAGGAAAGTTGACTGGAGGGCAGAGCTTCTCTCCAAAGGAAAAACAGTAAACAGGACAGGTTGGAATCCTGCTGCTTCTCAGCAGAGCACACAGCAGCATTGTGGGGTCTGTGAAAGCTGGCGTCCTGTAATCAATACAGCCACCTTGGCCCTAGGGAGCTCATCATCCTCATAGTGATGACCATGCACTGAGCACTGGATCTGTGCTGGGTACTTTGTCCTTGCTTTTCATACCTTAACTTCAGTCTTTAAGACACTCCTGTGCAGCAGATAAAAGTGGTATTCCTGTTTTACAGATGGGGACAGTGATTTTCGGAGGGCACAAAGACTCGCTTGAGTGAGTAACAGCATGGGGTTGAATCTCTGGTCTGAGCCAAAGCCAGGGGTTGTTGCATTATGTCCCAGCGCCACACCAAAGCTTCCGAATCCAAGGCACAGAGAGGGCCAGGCAAAACAGAAACTGTCATCTGCCCCTCCTTCCTCCTTGACCCTTCCCTGCCTTCTGCTTCCATTGTCACTTTCTGTACTCCTCATCCTTCACTTTCCCTTCTCCCTCATTTCCGTCCTTCCTCCTGAAGTCATCCTCCATTCTTTTTCCTTCCTCTCCATTCTCACTGATCTTTCATCAATAATCGGTCATGCAGTTGTCACTCTGAAAACCAAAAAGGGGCCCTAGGCAAGAAAACTTTTCAACATAATTGTGAGGTGCAAGGTTGGCAGGAGCCACTGAGATTGAGCCATGATACTCTGAAGGGCAGCAATGAGCAGCCTAAACATGAAGAAACCCTTGACCTACATCGGGGGCCTGTGACCAGGCACCAGTCCTCTGGCCTGGGCTATTGCTCCAAAATAGGCCAGAGAAATGTCTTTAACTTTCATTGGTGGGTGCTGTCCAAATCCAGGAGCTATGCAGAATTGAGCATCAGATTGTGAGAAAGGAATTGAATTGGCTTGGTTAAGAAGGAGGGGAGCCGGCCGGGCGCAGTGGCTCACACCTGTAATCCCAGCACTTTGGGAGGCCAAGATGGATGGATCATTAAGGAGACTGAGACCATCCTGGCCAACATGGTGAAACCCCATCTCTACTAAAAATACAAAAATTAGCTGGGCATGGTGGCGCGTGCCTGTAATCTCAGCTACTCGGGAGGCTGAGGTCGGAGAATTGCTTAAAACAGGGAGTCGGAGGCGTGCTGCCAGTGACCAGTTCTGATGTGTCTCGCTTTCCTTGGCAAGGGGTATGGCAGACCCAAGCCATTTGAAGCCTGGGAAGAGGGTTACCATTATCTGCTCTTTGGCTGGCATCGCTATTTTCTACTCTTAGGTTTTATACATTTCAGATCCACTTTGGCGAGTCTGATCATGAGGTCAACCAAGGCAAGGACCAACTCTATGATTATCCCATGTTTATAAATGACAAAACTGAGAGTTGAGTTGGAGGATAAAGGATCTTCTTCAAGGTTGCAGAACTGGGAAGTGGAAAAGCCGGGATGATAAACACAGAAATTCTTTCCACTTATTCATGCTGCTTGATACCCTGTTTGAAGGCCAGGAAGAATGGTATTTGGAGACGAGAATAGGATTTGAAGTCAGCGGAATCCTGTTCTGAATCTTGACTTCACAACTTATAAGCCAAGTATTTCCACTCTACATGTTTTTCCACTACACAAAACTCTCTTGGTTTGTCTTGTGGTCTGCTTTATACAAGTAATTGCAACAGAATTCACAGAGGAGGAACTGCTCCATGGTGCTTAAATGTCTGGTCCCTGTTAGTTGCTCTGAGTACACAGAAGGCAGCCTGACAGCATGACTCTCCTGGGAGGGAAGCCTGGCAGAGCCTAATTACGCCCAGAGAACAACTTTCACCTCGTGGGATCAGGGCCTTAACTGATGGGGATGTGTGCTAAAAAGCATTTTCCAAGTGAGAACTTGGATGCTGTAAAAACAAAATGGAATGATTAGGGAGGCGCTGGACCATGGGAGTGTTTTCCTTGAGCAAGTCTTTTAACCTTGCTGTGAAGCTGACCCTCGCTCAGGCACTGACAGCCTTTTTGGAACAGAGGAAACAAGTTAAGTTCTTTTTAATGTATAGTAAATTGAGCTTGTCAACCTTGACAAGGTCCCTTTAAGGAGATGGTCACTAAGAGGACAGCTTGCCCAGAAGACATGCAGCTTGGGAAGCTTTGTAGACGGCATTTTCTCTCATGATTTAAGTGGAACAAAATCTCACTCTTTTCTTCCCTGTCTTCTTTTCCACTTTTTTTTTTTTTTTTTTTGGGGGGGGGACAGGTTCTTGCTCTGTCATTCAGTTTGGAGTGCAGTGGCATGATCATAATTCATTGCAACCTCGACCTCCTGGGCTCCAGTGATCCTCCTGCCTCAGCCTCCTGAGTAGCTAGGACTACAGGCACCCACCACTGTGCCCAGCTTAATTTAAATTTTTTTGTGTGTGGAGATGGGGTCTTGCTATGCTGTCCAGTGTGGGTTCAGGCAATACTCCTGCCAAAATGCTCAGCCTCCCAAAATGCTGAGATTACAGGTTTAAGCCACCATGCCCAGCCCGTTTCATCCTTCTTTAACAAAGTCTATCATTTATTAGTAATTACAATGGGCCAAAACCCATGCTAAGCACTTTTTACATGTATTCTCTGATGTAATCCTCCTAACACTCCTATGAAAAAGGTTTAATTTTATCCTCATTTTACAGCAAAGGAAAGTAAGGATCAAAGACATGCTGTATCACAGTTGATGGCTTTCAATAGGTGAGTCTGACTTCTACCCTTAGATTCTTAATATCTTTGGATAATATTATTTGAACAAGTCAAACTGTTTTCTTTTGCTATGTGTCCTTCCAGATCTTGCCCACGCATGCACATGATTTTTACATAACTGTAAAGTTACTTTATAGCAATTATTTGTATTCTTTTAAGATAATTATTTGTATTCTTTTATGATTAAGTCGCTAAGGCTGGGCACGGTGGCTCACACCTGTAATCCCAGCACTTTGGGAGGCTGAGGCGGGTAGTTTGCTTGAGCTGAGGAGTTTGAGACCAGCCTGGGCAACATGGTGAAACCCTGTCTCTACCGAAAATACAAAAAAATAGCTGGGCATGGTGGCACATGCCTGTAGTCCCAGCTACTCCAGAGGCTGAGGTGGGAGGATCACCTGAGCCCGGCAGATCAAGGCTGCAGTGAGCTGAGATTGTACCACTGCACTCCAGCCTGGGTGACAGGACAATACCCCATCTCAAAAAAAAAAAAAAAAAAAAAAAAAGTCTAAGTCTCATCAAAGTAATACATACATATTTTTACAAGTCAAATAGTATAAAACATATACCTTAGAAAACACAAATCCCTGTTCTTTGTCTCTTCTAACTGTTGCTCTTGGTATTGATCTCCAAATTGCTTAATAACGTGTTTATATTGCTGTTTTATAATTTATGAGCTTTATATATTGACTTCCTTGAGTGTTAGATGAGAATGAGCTCTCTTCCCCCACTTCCTTTTCACACCATCCACATGATTACAAGATAGTTTAATTCCTAAGTCACAAATATTTCTATTATGACATTATGATCATCCTGCGAGCCAAGTTGTGCTTCTTTTCTTGTATTAAACTTTTTTTCTTAAAGGTAATAATTGCCGTTTTATTTGCATACTTTAAACTAGCTCTAATTTCTTTCACATGTTCTAATAACTCTGTCACTTACCTATCAGTAATTTTTCTATAAACTCAAACATATCAATTTCACTTTTTCCCCTGAGGATTATCCCTTTGGATCCATGTGTCTTGTTTCATCTTGAACTGTTTGTTTTCGAGGGTGGCTACCCAGCAGGTATTTGGGGGCTTTTTTCTGACCATCATCCTAGGAAGGCCTTTTGTGGCTCTCATGTGTTGGTTTCTCCATCTTCTGCAGCCCAAAGCTTTCTATGATATAATTTAATGTTTGATTTACTTTCCTAAGATAGGGTGTTTGAGTTAATTTTTTTTGAGTTTTTGATAGTCTGGTTTTTCATTTAAACTTACATGATAATTTTAGCATAAATTTCTAGCTTGAAAATGATTTTCTTTCAGAGTATTAAAAGCAATTCTCCATTGTCATCCAACTACTGGTTTTCCCATTAAGTCTGAGGCCAATTTGATTCCACATTCTTTGTATGTGGTCTTTTATTCACTCTGGAAACATTAAGATGATATTCTCTTTATTCTTTGAGTTCAGGAATTATATGATGATATGATTCAATATAGGTCTTTTTGCATTCTTTGCACTCAGAACCTGATGGGTTCTTAAGAAAATTCTGGCAAATTTTCTAGTCTTACAGTAATTTACAATGGGAAGATTATCTAAAGTTTGACCTATTCTGTTTTATTGAACATGGAAGAAAGGAAATTCATGTTTACTGAACAACTAGTATGTGCCAGACATTGAAATAGAGACTTTTTACATGTGCTGTTTATTTCATCCTTATAGAAAACCTCCAAAAGATTTCTACTCTACATGTTTTTCCACTACACGAAACTCTCTTGGTTTGTCTTGTGGTCTGCTTTATACAAGTAAATGCAACAGAATTCACAGAGGGGGAGCTGCTCCTTGGTGCTTGAATGTCTGGTCCCTGTTAGTTTCTCTAAGTACACAGAAGGCAGCCTGACAGCATGACTCTCCTCCAAAAGGTTTTCTATAAGGATGAAACAGCTGTTGACATTACCACCATATAGGTGAGAACCCTGGGACTCTGAGCAATTAAAAATTTTGTCCGTATATACCCAGCTATTAAACACCACAGTGAGAATTCAATCCAGTCCCCTAAATAAGCAATTCCCTAACTATGTATTTGGGGACACTAGTGTTTTATATGTTTCTGTAGTCTATCATGTTAGGGAAATGCTGAGATAAATAAATGTCTCAGTTACAGGATTTCTCAGAGTTGTTGATATCCTAATGTGCATTGTGAATCTGTTAGTAAGAGACTGTGTAATGCATCCTTTCCCAAAGTAGATGAATGTGATATTGAAGCTACTCCTTGAAGGGTGAGTAGAATTTGAGTATGAGACTTTTGATCTGGTTGCTGACTGGCTGGCCAAAAGGACAACCAACTGACCATAATACTTTGTTTTTCTCCATTTTGCTCCTCCCTTTCTAATCCGCCCTGGCCCACCTTGCTCAATGAGCACCAATCGCAGTGCCCTTTTCTTTCCCCTCAAGTTCTTAATTACTCAACAACCATACTGGCTGTCTTTCATATGAATGTAAGCCCCTTTCTGCCTTGGGAATTTATAATATACTGCTCTTTCTGCCTGGACTACCTTTCACCTCCATCACCTAACTCACACTCGTCTTTCAGAGCTCAGCCTAAAGGCAGCTACCTGGGGGAAAACATTCCTAAGCACTCTAATTAGGTCAGATCTCCCTTTGTTATGTTCTCAAGGTATGTTGTATTTGTGTATCATATCAAGCATAATATGTATCATTTGCATGTGATGCACAACATATCAATTGCAATCATATATGTATTTTTATTTGTTTATCGTCTGTCTTCTTTCTGTAGACTCCAAGATCCTTTTGGGGTAAGGACTATGTCTGTTTTGCTTATCACCATATGCTTAGAACTGAGCATGGTACCTAATACTTGCTAGATGCTCAGTAAACATTTGCTAAGTTATTGCATGAATGATCAAATGGATGAATGAAAAAGATGACTTAATTTGTTATCATCATTAATGATAAAGCTAATTAATAAACTTTGCTTAAAATGGTGGCTCTTGTTAGAATTCCAACAGCTCAATTCTGCATCACAGGTCTGCAATGAGACAAGAAAATAATGCAAAAACATAGCCTCAAATGTGATAAATATTCCATGAAACAAAATCCTAATTTTAAAAAAATTGTTTCCATTCTGTGCATGAATTATTTTGCCAACAGGTATCTCAGCATGAAACTGCCTTCACCTCAGAAATACCCAGCCTCAAAAGCATATTCAAGCAGTTCTTCATGACTCCCGTAAATCAAGCTCTCATCATTGAGCCATGGGAGCAAATGAATATTCTCTTTTAAAGAGTGAACAAGCAAATGCTTGGAATAAAAAGAAAGAATTACATTGAATCTTTTAAAAGACTCAGTTTTCCAACCTGGGCTGGCTAAGCAGGTAAGCCTGACCCAGAGTCCTGGGCCAATGTTTCCATCTTCTGTGAAATTTGTTGGCCACTGAGATGGGATATTTTGGTAGCTGTGCCTTTTGTTTTACCATAGAGGACTTCTGGGAAGAGTAAATAGCATAACATCCCCCAAACATCTAGCACAATGCCTGCCCATACATTATATGCCAGTTCCCTTGCCCTTTCTGTTCTTCTTCTAGCTTGTTCTGACCTTAATTTATTGATTTATTAATTAGCTCTTCCTGTGGGTACCTCCACTCTAGACAGTGGACACTTTAAATGTGGTGATAATGTCTTATTCATCCCTGCATCCCTAGTCTTTCTACAATGTCTGGTACACATGGGACACTAAACAAATGTTAGTTAATGAAAGAATGAATGATCTCATCCACAGTCTGCAAAGTGAGTGTGGGACCTTTTATGATCTCCTGTTACACAGTGGAAGAAATGGAAGCTCAGACAGTTCAGGTGACTTACTTGTCTGGGGATCCAACTGATGACCCACAATCTGTGCAAACCCTCAGTTAAGGCTGGCATTCAAAGCCTTCGCAATGGTCTGAATGTTAGTGTCCCCCCCAACATTCATATGTTGAAATCCTACCTTCTAGGGTGATAGTATTAAGAGGTCTGGCCTTTGGTAGGTAATTAGATCATGAGGATGGAGCCCACACAAATAAGATTAGTGCCCTTATAAAAGAGGCCTCTGAAAGCTGCCTTGCCTTGTCTATCATATGAGGACACAGTAAGAAGGTACCATTTATGACCCAGTAAACCAGCTCTCAATAGACAACAATGTTTCTGGTGCCTCCATCTTGGACTTTTCAGCCTCCAGAGCTGTGAGAAATAAATTTCTGTTGTTTATAAGCCATCCAGTATGAGGTTTTTTTTTTTTTTTTTTACAGCAGCCTGAAGGAACTAAGACAGCCCTGCATGACCTGGCCGCTGCCTGCTATTCCAGGATTCTCTCCTGCAGCTTCTCGCCTCGTTTATTCTCTAGTAATGCAGAATAGCATGTGGCTCTACCCATGTTCTGACAGACTGAATAAATACTGAAAGAATGCTTTTTTTGTGTATGTCTGAGCCTTTGTTCCTTTTGCTCCCTCAGTCTGGCAGGTCCTTATTCAATTTACCTTTCAATTCTCTGTTGAGGCATCTCCTCCTCCTGGAAGCCTTCCGTGGATAGCACTTCCCTGCTCTGAGATGAATGTCCCCCACTCCACATAATTAGAGGGTCCTGTGCTTAGCACAGCACTTGCAACATTGTATGCTGGTTACTTTCTGGCTTACCTCCCCACCTGGAGTGTGAGCTCTTCCAGGGTAGGGGCCAGGGCCACCTGAGGTTAACGCAAGATGTGTTATAGACTACAGCTTAAATGTTTATAAAAAAACAACAAGGAATGCACTCGCAGTCCAGTGCTCTTTCCCAGACACCACGTTGCTTCATAGATCACATAATGTGAGCATCAGGAGAAAAAAAAATAGATCAAATGGCAACACAAACCCAAATTGGCAGCCATCCTCAAGATGCTGAGAGGCCGCGCATCTGCTCTCCTCACATACTAAATCCACAGTTGTGCCCTCCATGCTGAGAGAGCCGGCAGCAGCTGGCCCCCTGCTGCGAGTGAGGAGAGGAACGATTTATGACAAACGGCCCTCTCTGAATCAATCTTCGAATCAGCCCCGGCCTCTAGGAGCATAGGCAAGCTTGCGGGCCCTGTCCTCTCCCTGCTGCTGCTGCCTCTGCATTCCAACCGCATTTGGCCAAAGCCTCACCAGGGCTTGAAGAAGATGGCTGATATTCATTTCCAGGAGCAATTTTGGAAAATCAGATATTACAACATTTGATTCTCTTCAAAACAGATGGGTGTACTGCTGGCATGTCCCAAGGCTGCAGACCCCATGGCTGGCTGGCATCTGGGTGATATACATGATGCTGGGCAAAGGTTTCTGGCCAATGAGGTCTTTCATGAAACTAGTTTCCATGGCTGATGCGTCTGCTTACCTAATGATGTCTCTGGCAGCCACATCTGGGAACATCTCTTATTTGGGAATCACTTACCATATTCTTTTTGTTTTTTAGACATGGGTTTCACTCTGTTGCCCAGCCTGGAGTATAGTGGTACAATCTCGGCTCACTGCAACTTCCACCTCCTGGGCTCAGGTGATCCTCCCACCTAAGCCTCCTGAGTAGCTAGGACTACAGGTGTGTGTCACCACAGCCAGATAATTTTTGTATTTTTTTTTTTTGTAGAGATGGGGTTTTGCCATGCTGCCCAGGATGGTCTTGAACTCCTGGACTCAAGTGATCCTCCCAACTTGGCTTCCCAACGTGCTGGGATTACAGGCATGAGCCACTGCACTTGGCCTCCATATTCTTATTCTCAGAGTTGGAGCTTGCAAGTTGAACCTGGGATATAGTCCTCTGTAGTATGTTAGCCTGAAGTTGGAGGAGGAAGTCAGTCCTGATGACTCAACATGGATCTTTTCTAGAGGTCAGATCTGCTCTGCTTAGAGCCCAGGCTGAAGATGTTGGCCCTCTGCACCCCTGAGTTATACATATGATCCTGTCCTCTGGATGGTGCTGTTTGAAATAATCAAGAGTAGGGAATTCACAGGCTTGTGCATGACCCATTAGCCATTCTGATGCTAAGCTGGGCCAGTACCATTTACTCTCTTGAGAATGTGAACTAAGGAGCCCCCAGGGAATGAGGTTGTTTGTGATGACAAGAGCTGAAGCCGAGCGTTCAGATGGAAAGATGAGAGAGGTGTGGACAGCCACACACAAGCAGAAGTTAGGCAGACACAAAACAATAAGTGAGCTGAAGCCATGGTGTAAATACATGTGGGCGGGCTCAGTGGGAAGGGAGGATGGGAGCAGATCTGTGGAGAAGGGAGGCATCATCCTGAGAGAGACTATAGAGCCCTGCAGGCGTTCAGGCTGCACTCCAGTTCTCATGCCCAATGCAGGTAACTTGAAGGGATGTCTGTTCTTTGAACCACAAAAGCTCCATTTATGCGTTTGCTCATTAAACAGGGTTCAACTAAACCCTGGGCTAATTGCTGCTGGGGGAAAGGACTGGGATGATTGGTGGAAGGCCCTTTGTCTTAAGGAGCTCACGGTCCTGTGGGAGAGAGAAAAGGGTAACCCAACAAGGACGTAGCTCAGCAATGGTTGATAAAACGCATAAATGTAAAAAGTAAAATGGAAATGAGGAAGGAGCACTTGAGTTTGTCACGAGATGTCAAGGCAAGCTTTCCAGCTAGGTTGAGGAGGGGTGGGTACAGATCCTAGGTAGCTGAAATAGATGGATTAAAAGTCTAAGAGGGAGCACAGCATAATTGGAGCTCTAAAGACACTGGGAACTGCTGGAACATAAAAGGAATATTCATGCAGAGGAGAAAGTGTAAAAATAGATATCATGACAAGAATATTCAATAATCAAGCATTGGTGAGTTAGCTTTCAGAAGCAACAATTATAAAATGATGGAGATGAAAAGAACCTTAGAGATCATCTAGTTTATTTTACCAGAGGGGAAACTGAGGCCCAGAGAGAGGGCATCACATTCATGCTTCCATGAGGCTTTCTGGAATTTCCCAAGGATATAGGGGGCAGGAAGAGGACTAGATGCGGGACTCATGAGTACTGGCTCCAGCCTCTGACTAAAGGACAGGTGGTTGGAGTGACTTGATAGCTTTTCCACTTCAGCCTGACACTTGATGGGGAAGGAGAATCCAACCAACTGCTCCCAAACAGAAGCACTGAGAACCCAGAGCAGCGAACAGTGAAAGAGCACATATTTACTCTATGAATAAAGGAATAAAGGAGAATGCTTGCCTTCAATGCATACTGCTAACCTGGAATGCTTTCTTTGTCTTCTCCAAATCCTGTTTTCCTTTCAATATTTGGTTTAACTCCCTCCTCCTCCAGGAAGCCTTCTGTGAACACTCAGAACCTGCAGTTTGGAGGCTTTCTCTCTCCTATGGCCCCTCAGGGTTTACCTCCACAGTGAACTCACATGACTTGTCTGCTGTTGTGAGTTTCCTGCTTGTCTATGGAGTTCTTTCTTCAACTGGAAGTTCCTGCTCTGTGGAGGGGCTACCTTTGATACTCTCTTATACCTACAGCACAGTCCCATGCCTGGTACAAGGAAATATGGATGGATTCTGCTAAGTTTTGCAAAATGATTTTTTTCTGCCTTCCCTCTCATCCTTCCAAAGCTAATTGGACTTAGTATTATTGTCTAGTTTCTATTATTGCCTGCCAGAGTTTCCTCATGTTTTTCACAACACTGAATGCTGATTTTCACATCTCTTTATGTTCACAGTGGGCTTCATAGTTGACAAATACACTCATATATGTGGAGACTAAAGGTTAGGAAAATTAAGTGACCCTCTAGGTTTTGGGGGTGATGCTGGTCAAAGTGATAAATGAGTTCAAAGTCACAGTTACATGAACTGAGGGCTGGCAGGAGGTTAAGGAGAACTGCTGATTTAAAAATCTTCAGGTAGTGAGAGTGTTGGAATAGCACAGGCTATTCTTCTGCATCTCAGAGTCCTCATGTATGATGTGACTGATGCAGACAAGATTAGGGATCTTTGATCTCTGGCTGTCTATGATAATGCAATAGTTGCTTTGTGGGTTTCACACTCATTGTCCTATTATTAAACCCATCTATTTGACCTACCTGGTGTTTATTGTGTTTTGACAGATAATGAGATGCGTTTTCTCATTCTCTTTTACTTTTCTCTTTTTCTTACATCATTCTTCTCTTAATTTGTTGCATATTCAACCTCTGGCCCAATCACATTAATTGTATGCCCAGTATATGTTAAAGGACGTTACTAGGCTGAACCTTTTTCATTTGACTCCCAGATCCACTTTCACTTTTCTCCACCCTGCCTGTACTCATGGAGGTTGCCCCTCTGTGGACTGCAGCAGTGGGCTCTCTTGACCTGTGGTGTCTGATTGGCCTTGGCTTGGCCAGTGGGAGGCAACGACAGGAGGGTAAAGGGTAGGGGTGAAATCGAGGTCAGAGTGTCTTTGCCCTGGCTGTCACTCTGCTGGTCACTGGGCACTGGCTGCAGCCTTTTAGGAAGGGCTCAGCTCTTGTCAGGGGCCCTCTCCACATAGCCATATTTTCTGGGTCCCCTTAACTGTTCCTTTAGGCTTAGGGTTGGAAACAGCTCTCTGCTCTTGCTAGTCATATGATTCATATCCTCCCTTGTAGTTTTCTTAAACCTGTCCAAATCTTTGCACATATGCCTTTCTTAAATTCACCACAATTACCCAATTTGAGTGTGCCATCTGTTTCTTCCTGGGACCTTGACTGATAGTCACCACAAAAGTACAAAAAAGGAAGGATTCCACTTATATCATGTACCTAGAAGAGTCAAATTCATAAAGACATAAGGTAGAATGGTGTTTACCAGGGACTGGAGGAAGGGAAAAATGGGGGGTTCTTGTTTAATGGGTACAGAGTTTCAGTTTGGGATGATGAAAAAGTTCTGGAGATGGTTAGTGGTGATGATCACACAAAAATGTAAATGTATTTACTGTCACTGAACTGTACATTTAAAAATTGTTAAAGTGGGAAATCTTATGTTATATATATTTTATCACAATGAAAACAATAAATAAAGGAAAAATAGATGCCAATTGTTTATTAATGCCTTATAGGCTAGAGCCAAAACAATATCTTTTTTCATTTTCCATATTCCAGTGGAGGGACCATTTTGGGTCAGCCCGTGCATTTACTGGAACGTTTTTTTCCTGCCAAACTATTCATCATGTTCAGAATGCTACTTAATTTATTTGGGCAAATAGATGTGCGTCCGTCTTGGTCTGGAAAAAAAAAAAAATAGCCCTGGTATACAATACTGATAGATAGTATCCTCTAGTCTTGTCCTTACTTTAAAGCCTGGCTCATCTCCTCATATTCCATGAGGATTTCCAAAATTGCTACAATGTGTTTTGTCATTCTTCTTCCTGCCTCTGAACTCCAACAGTACTGTGAACCTCCTGTCTCTGAACTCCAGCAGTACTCTGTAGAAGTTAGTCCATTATTTTACTTCTGGTTCTAATCTCAGACAGTTGTCTCCCAAATATTCAGAGTTTCTTGAGGACAAGGATCATAGCCTTATTGCTATGTACCTTATTACAATATATACTATATTATATAATATTATAATTATATTGTATTATTGCCATAGTTGCCCCATTTACCTAGATTGATGTTGAATGGTCTTCAATACATGCTTGGTGATTGATTACAACCTTACATAAATGATATTGTGCAATTTACATAATAAAATATATTGCAAAACAGAATATGTTTCTCTCTGACTCTGATTTCTATTTCTAGGAAGACTAATTTTCTCAAACTTACACACAGCCCAGACTCTTGACAGAAATCTGGCATCCAGGAACCATGGGGTGGTTTGGTGGTTTGGGTGTTTTTTTTTTTTTTTTTTTCCTTCAGTTTCTCATGCCCTCTAAGCCAGAATTTTAAAGAAAACACTTAAAATCTTTAAGACAGCATGAGCTCCACTCCAGGAACTGTGGAAGTGGGCAGCAGCAGACCTTCCATTTCACCAAAGAATAGACATTTGTTCTGCTGGAATTGTTCTTAGACTACTTGTTGTTTCCTCCTTTGCTTCTCTCTCTTTTTGAGTAGCAAATTATGTGACTTATTTATATCATGATCCTTGTGTCATCTTAAGCATGGCTTTTTCCATGGAAGAAGGAATTTGGTTTTATTCAGAATATGAAAACTGCTAGTAATTTCCAGTTCCATATATGAGCATTGCTCAAATTAGCTGATATGTTAGAGACTCAGGGAGGTGAGCCCTAATAGCCCTAAGGCTTACTTTTGTCCTGTTCTCTGAATTGAATACTGGAATGGAATACTGGAGTCCTGAAATTGGAATGTGACAATAAATTAGAATATTAGTGTGTTCAAGTCCTTAGCTCTTTTATCTATTATGATCTGTGTTTATTTTATTTATTTTACTTTCAGTTCTGGGATCCATGTGCTGAACATGCAGGTTTGTTACATAAGTATACATGTGCCATGGTGATCTGCTGTACCTATCAATCCGTCATCCAGGTTTTAAGCCCTGCATGCATTAGGTATTTGTCCTAATCCCTCCCCTTTCCCCCTATCCCCCGTCAGTCCCCAGTATGTGATGCTCCCCTCCCTGTGTCCACATGTTCTCATTGTTTACCTCCCACTATGAGTGAGAACATGTGGTGTTTGGTTTCCTGTTCATGTGTTAGTTTGCTGAGGATGATGGTTTCCAGCTTTATCCATGTCCCTGCAAAGGACATGAACTCATTCTTTTTCATGGCTGCATAGTATTCCATGGTGTATACGTGCCACATTTTCTTTATCTAGTCTATCACTGATGGGCATTTGGGTTAGTTCCAAGTCTTTGCTATTGTAAATAGTACTGCAATAAACAAACGTGTGCATGCTTCTTTATAGAAGAATGATTTACAATTCTTTGGGTTATACCCAGTAATGGGACTGCTGGGTCAAATGGTATTTCTGGTTCTAGATTCTTGAGGAATTACCACACTGTCTTCCACAATGGTTGAACTACTTTACACTCCCAAGATGATCTGCATTTCTTGTTGATTTGTATAAATGATTTCTATATTAAAGATAGCTTGCCATATTTTATATTTATCACATTTTAAATTAGTTCATTGTCTGTCTCTTAATTTTATTGTGGCACTATGTAAAATTTTCACTTTTATGTAATTCTTATGAATTAGTACTTGACTGGTTGGGTGTCTCATTCCATTGAATTGTCTATTTTTATGTTAGTACTGCATTTGATGCTAATGAGCTAAGTGGCTTTTCATACTTTTTTTTGTGAAAATATAATTGGTGAAACTATTCAGGAAAAGCAATTTTCCAATAGATTTCAAGAGGCTGAAAAAACATGTTCATATCCTTTGACCCAATAATTCCCCATCTAGGAATCCATACTAAAGATAGAATGTAAAATAGTGTATGCAGTATGATCTCAACAATGTGAATAATCTACAAAGAAAGGTTAGAAGAAAATTAAGAGTGGTTACCTCTGGTTAGCAAAATTATGAGTGAGTCCTTACTTTGCTGCATATTTTTGAAAAAAAATTATTGTGATAAGAACACTTAACATTAAATCTACTCTTAACATGTTTTCTTCCATGAGTTTTACAGTTTCATGTCTTAGGTTTAAATCTTCAATTCATTCTGAGTTGATTTTTGTTTAAGGTGTAATAAATTATCCAATAAAGATAATTGTCGAACTTCATTCTTTCTGCATGTTGATATCCAATTTTCCAAGTACCATGTATTGAAGAGACTATACTTTCCCCATTGCATATTCTTGTCACCCTTGTTGAAGATTAGTTGACCATAAATGTGATATTTCTGGGCCCTCTATTCTGTTCCATTGAGCTATATGTCTGTTTCATGTCAGTGCCATGCTGTCTTAATTACTGTAGCTTTGTAATATTAAAATCAGGAAGTGTGGTGCTTGTAGTTTTCAGTGTATAAATCCTTCAGTTTCTTAGTTTGGTTTATTTCATTCCTTCTGATGCTATTGTAAATAGGATTGTTTTCATAATTCCCTTTTTGGTTAGCTTTTTGGTAGTGTATTGAAATACAACCGATTTTTGTACGTTGATTTTGTATGCTGCAACTTTACTGGATTTGTTTATTGGTTCTAACAATTTTTGTGGAGTCTTTAAGGGTTTTCTATATTTAAAATCCAGTCATTGGCAAACAGGGACCATTTTACTTCTTATTTTTCATTTTAGACACTTTTATTTCTTTTTCTTGCCTAATTGTTCTAGCTAGGACTTCCAGCCCCATGTTCAGTAGAAGTGGAAAGAGCAGGCATCTATGTGATCACCCTTCTAGTCCATTCTACACACAGTAGCCAGGGTTATCTTTTCAAATTGCCAACGAGTTCGTGTCACCCATCTGATTATAACCTCCAGTGGTTTCCCAGTTTTCTTAGAACAAGATCAAAACCCTCCATATGGGTTGTGTGCCCTGAAGCACCTGCCCCTAACCCCCACCCTACTCTATTCTCCCGAGAAACCCCTCTCTTTATGCCTTTCTGGGCTCTGGCCCCACTTTCAGTTCCTTGACAGTGTCATGCTCTTTCCTTCAACAGGGCTTTTTGGTACATGCCACAGTGCTTAATGCTGCCATCCGCACACTCTACAAAGCCCCTCCCAATCCCCTCTCCTGCTAGCTCAAGCATCATTTCCTCAGGGAGTCTTTGCCGACACCGGCTCTAAGGTGGCCAGGTCCATTGTCATGTTCTCTCAGTAAACCATGCCCCTTTCCTTTAGACCACTCATCCTAATTTGAAGTATTTGTATAGTTATTTGAAGAAATACAACTTTTCTCCCTAACGGCATCATGATAACAGGAGCCATATCTTTCATTCTTCATGATTATATTCCCAGTATCTGCCACGGAGCTTGGTAGTTGCTTATTGAAAGTCTTTTAAATAAATGACTGAGTAAGATATAACTTCCTCTGTGCAACCTTCCAGACTGTGCTGTGTGGAGTTCGTAACCAACTCCTGTCTTTGTGCTCATCTGGCACTCATATCCAACTATGGCTTTCCCCATCTGTAAAATGGGGCTAACCACATGTCACAGTGTTGAATAGAAAGTGAACTTTGATGATGGACACGCTCATTGCAATGGCTGTCATTCAGAGAGTGCTCAAAAAAGTGCTTGTTTTCTTTACAATCACACTTAGTTCTTTTAAGCATGAGCACTCTAAAGGAAACAGGCCTCACCTCTCTCATTTCATTAGCCCTCAAAAAGCCTTGCACATAATAAGTGAGCCCCCAAGAGTGCTCCATGTCTGAATGATGGAACTGAGACATTAGTTGACACTCTCCCTGGCTGTCTTTTCTAAGACTAAATCCTTAATTGCCTCATCTTCCTGTGAAGCATCTTTTCTGATCACATAACTCTTGGCACTCCCTGGCTAATTCATTTTTATCAGCTGGATTGCTCTACAGTTAAATTCCAGTGCACTGCAGCCTCTGGAGTTCTCCTCAGCACTGGAAGGCAGTTTGGCTCATTTGAACAAATTGCTTAAGATGTTAAATTAGACTTAATTGTATTTAGGAAGAAGAATTAAAAAAAAAGGAAGGATATCAATTGTCCTCATATCTACAATCTTCCCAAATGGCCTTATTTTATTACTGACAGTTCCCAAGGCATGTTTTGCATTGTGACTGTGACTTGTCCTGAGTAGGAGGTTTTAAGTAATTTTTACTGTCATCAGCCAAATCACTGAGAATGTACTAGATGTTTGGCACTGTGCTCACAGCACAATAGAACTATTCCTGACCTCAAGATATGTACACCGTGGTTGGGGTAGTCCATTAATAGACTGTTAACACCATTACTTTGTCTACTCATGCTTTTCCCTTTCACCTACCCGGATCCACTGTGCTCCTAATGAAATCCTATTTATTCTCTAAAACCCAGCTCAGACATCCTCTCTTCCCAGAAATGTCTCTATTATTTCACAAAAAATTAATGACTCCTTCAATTGGATTAAATCTGTATTGTGAACATACTTCTATTTTTATACTCAACAGTCTGTGTTATTTTGTTAAATATTTCTCTGCCTTTTGGGAGTGTAAGATTCTTTAAGGTAGGGGAATAATCAAATCGTCTGCACTTAATACAGTGATTAGAATATAGTACATACTCAATAAATGCTTGTTGAACTGAATTGACAAATTTGTTTGACTAAAAAAACATTTATTGTACATCTACTGTGTGTTAGGTGCTATGGACACAGATATGAATAATATCTATACCCTGCTTTTAGGAGCTTGTGTTGTGTGGGGTTTTTTTGGTGTGTGTGTGTGGAATGACAGATACATATAGAAAACATCAACAAAGTGTCATAAATGGAATCACAGAAGTGTATGTGAAGTGCTATGGAAGCCCAGAGGGGAGTGGCTAACACATAAACTGGAAATAGACACGTAACAGTGAGACTGTGAGTAAATACTTAGAAATGTACCACTAATAATTTAGAGGAGGCAATTGGTGTGACTGGGATGATCAAGGCAAGGTTTGGCCTAATTCTTTGATATTCTAGGCATAATCTCACTTACATAAGCAGAAGTTCCTTTTATCACAATCATGCCAATGTTGCAAATTAAAATATACAATATTTGTCCACACTAAAGAGGATGAATCTAGGTGTAAGGGTGTTTGAAGCCTGGCAGAGCTGACAGCTGGATGGTTCTGGGCCAATTTAGCAACATGAGAGTACTATCAGGGCTTGCCTCTGAAACTGTTGTTTGAGGTTTACAGCTTGAACATTAAAGAATACATAACTAAATAAAAAGGAAAGAGTTCATTCTGGAATTAAACTCTGAATGATAGAACCTGGTTTTGCTGGTTCCCCCAACGTGATGAGGCATGCACCCACTAGGAACCAGGCAGGGCAAATTTCCTTCATCCAGGAGTGGCTGCCATGCGGAGAGGAACAAGAATGAGCATGGCTCAGGCTCCTGGCCTCCTGCTGGAGAGCTGGTGCATTCGCATTGGGCAGCAAGTGGGGTCTGGCACCCTGTCTTTGATTCGGGAAAGGAGGTTCAATAGGAATTTGCCACTGCAACCATAACGAATGGGCTTTGTGGGCTTGGTCGGTGGGGGTCAGGTGGCCCTGGGAGGTTCTGAGCACTCTGTGCAGGCCAACACGCAGAGAGACACACCCCGGCCAAACATACACATGCATGGATGCTCCTCTTCTGTAAAATGATGGCGTTGGCAAGTGGCAAGTGCTGAAGCAGCATCATGCAGTGGAAAAATCAAAAATGGAAAATAAGGAGGTGCAGGCCTAAGTCCCACCACAACCTGATTATGTGGGCTGAACCATGCGTGACTTTCAAATGCTCCTCAGGCACCTGTTGCTTAAGGTCTGCAATAGAGGAAGGGATAGAAGCCCATTCATTTTGAAACCACTTTCCTCTAACCTGTGCCACCTTTGGGTCACTTCCGACCTTACAAAGGCATATAGACTTTTTGGTAGGGGAAAGTGTTTGGGTAAGATGGCCCAATCCTTTTCCTCCGAGACCTGCTTCAGAGCCACTTAATCCTCTAAGCCTTCTGCATTTCCCTTCTCCTGTTCTCCCTCTGGCTCTTGGGAGGGGAAACCCTGTGTCCATCTTCCCCTGCCAGCTGCAGTTGGGGGCATTAGACAATCAGGAAGAGGAGGCATGGTAGGGAAGACAGTGGTAGCTTTGGTCCAGTTCCTTTTATTACCCCTTTCCTCCTTTCCTTGAAAGGCTCACCTTGTTTCCAGACCCCTGATTGTATGTGCCTGCGTGGGTCATTTCAGGGCTCTTCTCTGGAGGGTGGAAGAGGCCTTGGGCTCGCCCAGAGGGTGGGCTGTGCTGCCAACGAGATTGATGCTGAGGCAGAGTGTGGGAGGAAAACTGCAGGGCACAGAAGAGCAGCAGCTGGCTTGTCTTCCATGAAGCATTTGCTGAGCATTTGGTAGAGATCAAATGACTTTTTAATCCTCATAACCTTCCCAAAAAGATAGTATTAGCATTACCTTACAGATACGAAAATGGAGCGGTCAAGAAGTGAACTTAGTTGCTGGGTTTACCCCTTTACTGGGATCAGCTTGCTTGATTGCTTTAAGGAAGATACCAAAAATAGGTCTTTGTGCATAAACCCATGTGCTATGCATGACCTGAAATGGAGCCAGAAGCTGGCAGAAATAAAGGTGGCTGCAGGGAGTAGGCATTCTGACTTTTTGTTTCTCTTTTGTGGAGACTTCCATGCTCTCAGCTTGCCTGCTTCAGTCTTCCCTTGTGCTGACTGGCCAGCTCTCCCTACTTCCCTAGTCCATACCCAAAGGGGCAAGTGAGAATGGTTTGCTCATCTTCACTTCCCCAGGAAGGCAGAGCTCAGCTGCTAGGATACCTCACTGGCCCTTGAAAATGGTGATGTCTACATTTGAAAAAAATTATTTTTTTTCGTCGTAAAAAAGCATGTATTATAACCAGTTGCATGTATACATACATGTCATAAGGTAAAGCTGTAAATTCACACACATAGCAGACACAAACACACAGATATACAATCACACACACCCACATATATATAAACACATTTTAGAAACATATATAACTGAAAAACGTTTTATGAAACAATGTTACATTCAAATTACTCTGATATTTTCCATTCTTTTCTATCCAATTAGAAGTACTGCTCATTATCCACCAAAGTGATTTCATAATCCACTAATGAGTTGAAACCCTTGCATGGAAGAACGCTGATCTCCCTGTTGGAAGGGCCTCGGGGCTCAGTCCTTGGCCCTCTCCCATTCTTTCTCTCACTCCCTTTTGATGATCTCATCCAGTTTTATGATTTAAACATCATATATACTGATGACTCCCAAATTTACACCTCCAGCCAGGGCCTCCTCCCGCACCTCCATCCTCACATATCCAACAGCCTGTTCTTAAAGTCCAGTGGCAGCTCAGACTAGATCCTGACCCTCACCCCCACACCTATGCTTCCTTCAACCCACCTCAGCAAATGGCACTTCCATTCCTCCAGATGCTCAGGCTAAATCACTTGGAGAGATTTCCCTGATCCCACACCATATCCAATCCACTTTCAGATACTCTTGGCTTCAAACTACATCTAGAAATCAACAACTGTTCACCAACTCCACCACCTCCATTCTGCTTCAAGCACCATCATCTCTCTCTCAGGTCATTCTAACAGCCTCTTAGCCAATCCCCTTGCTTTCACCTCTGCCAGAGACCTTTAAACATATGTCAGATCATGTTGTTCCTCTGCTCAAAACCCTTCAGGGAATCCTCATCTTATGCAGAGTGGAACTCAGTCTTCCTTACGGCCTTCGTGGACCTCCGCCATTGGGTTCCTGTGACTCTCCGGCCTTGTCCTTTGTTGCTTTCCACACCTCCCATGCACTCCACCCAGCAATTCCCCACCCACAACAGCCCACACCTGCCTCTTGATATTTGCTCTTACTATCTCCACTGCCTGAATCGCTCCTCTAATTACCCACATGGATCACAACATTAGTCAGGTTCTCCAGAGAAACAAAACCAACAGGATGCATGAATAGAGAGAAGGAGATGTTTGGTAAGTAATTGGCTCATGCAATTATGAAGACTGACAAGTCCCAATATGTGGTCAGCAAACTGGAGATGCAGAAGAGCTGATGTTTCAGTTCAGCTCTGCAGGCAAGAAAAACTGATTCCCCACCTCAAAGGCAGTCAGGCAGGAGGAAGTTTCTGTTACTGGGGGAGGCTCAGCCCTTGTGTTCCATTCAGGCCTTCAACTGATTGGATGTGGCTCACCTACATTAGAGAGGGCAATCTGCTTTACTCAGTCTACTGACTCAAATGTTAACTCATCAAAAAACACTCTCATAGAAATATCCAGAATAATGTTTGACCAAATATCTGGGTACCCCATACCCCAGTCAAGTTGACACACAAAATTATCATGCTCACTTCTTCATCTCCTTTAGGTTTCTGCTCAAATGTTGCTTTATGAGAGAGGCTTTCTCTGGCCATTTAGATATAATGGTATCCTTCTTCCCTCCCATGAGCCTTTAAATCCCTTACTCTGCTTTCTCTTTTTCCAAAGTACTTAGAATTAATGTATTATAAATGTATTATTATTTTTGTTTATTGCAGTCTACTGAAGACTGTAAACTCCAAGAGGGAAGAGATCCTGTTCTGTTTGCAGCTGTATTTCCAGTGTCTAGAAAAAGACACATTACTACATGATGGACATACAATAACCACTCAAATAATATTTATTGAATGAATGAATAACTCTCTAGCTGGACAATGAGCAAGCCGTTCTTGGGTTAGATACTTGCTCTGATCCAGCCAGTGGCTACCTCTTGTAAAAAATAGCTGACTTTGTTCCCTGAACTGGGTCAGTCCCTGGCAGGACTGTTAGCCAGGAGGGGCCTCTGGGCATAGTAAGTCCACATTCATTGAATTACATGTAAAATAAACCACATCTTTTATTTCCTTGGCATGGACTATCACTGTTTTTGTGTTCTTTGTAAAGTTCCATGAAAAACAAAGTTACAAGAGCCACAAGAAACTTGAAGATGGTATGCACATCAGAGAAGGGAGAGACTGAATCCAGCTAGTGGGACAGTGTCTCCTTGTGCAGAAGGGGTATCTTAACTGAGCCCTGATAGAAGGATTCGGGACTGGGGTGGGTCTGAGCAGAAAGGGCATGTCAGGCCAAGAAATAAATATAAGCATAGACAAAGGGGTGAGGACGTGCACTTGTATGTGAAAAACAGTGAGTAGTGCTGCTTAATGGAGCATTTTGTAAGTACCAATTAAAGATAAATCATGAGTGTCAGATCAACAGGAAAATTCCGGTGAGATATAACTCAAGCCCCCAAGTTTTATTTTCCAATGAGGTAGTTTGATGTCCTGGCTTACCCAGATCCTTGCTTCTCCTCACCATTTTGGTAAGCTCTGCATCAAGGCAGGCAAAAGCTTAGAAATCTTTGCCTCTCCTGTTTAGGACACCTTTGATGTTCAGCAGGTCCAGGTGAGATCATGGTAACTCCGAGAAGTAATGGGAGCCTGCATTTGCAAAATGCTTGTCTTCACAGTTCTGAGTGTTTAATTAGTTGATTCTCACATCTTCAATTGCACAAGGGCACCTGAATAATGCTCACCACAGCATCGGCTTTCTCTATGAGGTATAGAGGGTAAGTGTTTGAACAATTTTCAGAGTGACAGAGCCACAATTTCCCTCTCAGTGTTCAGTGATTTCACTACTTCTTCAAATTTATCCAGACTTGCTAAAGAACTGCACAAGCAGTTGGTATCATATTATTTTTCATTCTCCTCTTCCTAAAAGTTACCAAATTTTCATCATTTTAAGGACCTCCCGGAAGAAAAGAGATTAAAAGATGTTCTTAGCTTACAGACCTCTTTCTCTATATTTTTTCTTTCTGTCTTTACTCCTCTGCTTGTCTCTATTTCTGTGTTTGTTTCTTTGCCTGTCTCTATCTCTGTTCACTTTTCTCCACTCAGGATCTCTGAGACGTGATGAAGTGGACTGCATAGGAAAGAATATTTGAGAGACAATGAGGAGAGCTGAGACCTAGGTGCCAGTGCCAGCTTTGCCACTTAATAATTGGACATCACCAGAGAAGTTGCTTAGCCTTTCTGGACGCTGTTTTTCCTGAATGTACAGCAGAGTTGCCCACAGATTAGGGAGGCAGGGTGACGTCATGAAGAGCAAGAAATTCTAGTTGGGATCAAAAGACCTAGGTTCTCCTGTGGTCCCTGTCAAAGCAACCTTGTGGCCCTGAGCAAGTTCTTAAACCTCCTGGCATCTCAAGTTTCTCACCTGATAGAATGAAGGTAACACAAAGCTCTAGAGAGAGAAAAGAGGGAGTAATCAAGCACGGAGCATCACGGCTTTGCATTCAGGCAGGCTGGGGTTCAATTCCCACTCATTACTAGCCATGTGTTCTTGGGTAAGTTACTTAACAATAATAGTTAATATTCCTCTTGCATGTTTCACATACCAGACACTATCCTAAACATTTCTTTGGATTATCTCAGTGATCCTTCCTAATGTGATGAGGAGGGTGATATGATTTTATTTATTTTATATACAAGGGAATGGGGCTCCGGGAGGCTTGGGTAACTGCACAAGCTCAAAGAACTAGGCCGTGGCAGAGCAGGGATGCACGTCCAGCTCTTCTCACTCCAGAGCCCACACACTTTGCCACTGGGCTATCATGACTCTAAGTCTCTGTTTGGGCATGGCAAGTCCACAAGTAAAATTACTTGTATAATAAGTGCTAAATAATTATACAGTTATTGTGAGGATTGAGATGCTACATACAAATGATTTACCACGTGTCTCATATAATTCTGTAGTAAATGTCAGTATGTATATATATTCCACCTTAAATATTTAACTTTGGAACATAATGGGGTAAAATGTGTACACTGCAGGTATGTGAATAAGTGGTTTGCAACATTTTACGTGCTCTGCAAGGCACTGTCATGATGACACTCTCTAATGTTCCTTCTAGCTCTTAATTCAGACCTTTGTGACTCATTTTCTCTAGGTTATCAGCTCCAGCGGAAGTTCCCAGGCCACTTTATGCAGTGATGATGAGTGTTTCCAGAGCACTTTGACTTCTGTATTAATTAAATGTGAGAAAACATAGATCTCCATGGAAA
Organism: Homo sapiens; assembly: GCF_000001405.40. Taxonomy (NCBI): domain Eukaryota; kingdom Metazoa; phylum Chordata; class Mammalia; order Primates; family Hominidae; genus Homo; species Homo sapiens. The sequence continues at coordinate 79,616,601 of NC_000011.10, forward strand.
GACACCTCTGTGGTTTCTTTTTAAACTCTGTACTTCCACCATACCTTGCAGCTATACCACTCAGAACAACCTGCATACAGTATTCTATTTATCTTCAGAATCATGAGTCACAGACTAGTTATTGAAGTTGGGTCATATGTTCTGAAAAGGAAAGATGTATCTTGAGAAGAAAGGGAGGAGAAAAGTGAGTCAAGAGGCTTTGAATAATTCGTTCAAAGGTCACAAGTACAAGGCCAACCTTTACCCATGTATTCCTTCACCAAATACTTATTAAGCCCTTATGCAATACTAAGCACTGGAGAAACAAAGTCAGGTATGCCTTGCTTCCTGTCCTGGAGGAGGGGAAGAGAAAGGGTTCTCAATTTATTGCTTGCTTGTTTTGGGTTGAGCACTGGGCTAGGAGTTAGTTGGGGTGACAGGCCAAAATTGTTACCAAATGGAATGACAGCTTCTGGAATTTCAGTCCTGCAGTACATGTGCGGCCAGCAGGGAAAGTGTCCCAACAGCTATTGTCAGATCTTTCATTGCCAGCCTTAGAGAGGAGGATGATCAAGTTTTCTGCTTCCTGTGTTGTCTTAATCCATGTGTGTGTATCTGTTCAATTCAATGGCTAAAAGCTCAGGAAATCTTAAAGGTCTGGAGTGTAGAGCCACCTCGAAGGCTGCCACAGGTGCTAAAACCTGGCAGACCTGGCCTTCCTCATGCAGATGCAGGAAGGACTCTCTGCAGCAGCCCTGGCTTGGCTGACAAATTGTAGGACAGACTTTTAGGACAGGCTGCCCACAGTATTCCTAAACATGGGTCTCACCACATTGCCCCTCTGCCCAAAACCCTTCCATAACTCCCCTGGCATAGAAAAGAGGCAATGTCCTGAGATGGGTCTTGAGGCTGTCCTCTGTGGGGTGGCCCTAATCTGTCTTTGTAACATCCTTTATCACTCAACCACCGGTCCCTGACATCTCCAGCCATACCTCATCCCACTTCCTCCTTTCAGGAATTTTTTTTCCTTTTGCTCACACAGTTTCTCCAATCAGCTAAGGCTTAACTCAAATGCCTACTGTTCCAGGAGACCTCAGATCTTCCCAAGTGGAATGAATCAGTCTCTCCTCTCCCTTCTCACAGCACTTTGCTGACACTTCTGAAATAGCACAAAGCACAGCCTGCCTTTGATTATGCCTGGTCATGAAGGCACATTCCTCAAGTACGAGACTTGGTCCTCGTGGACTCCTCCTCAGGAATAGAGCCTTGCTCATGATATGTACTAATAAGGGTTTGTGGAATTGACTAGCAAACTGTGAAGTGTCTACGGGGGCTCCAGTGCCTGTGTGGTCATTGGCTTGTGCACCTTCAGAATCATTCTCCTGCTCTGCTCTGGATTGCAGAGGTCTGATCCTTGCAAACCATGCTTTCCAGGCTCCTTTGCAAACCACATTTCCCAGGGTCCTGGCTCACATTCTGAGATCATATCATATAGGCATCAGGAAACCTAGATGCTAATTCTGGCTCTGACCCTAGGTATCTTTAGGTAACTCACAAAATTTCTTTGGGTTTTAGGTGGCTCTTTAACAAAATGAAAATGCTGAATTGATATTCTATAAGAGCCTGAGCATCTATCTATCTATTCTTTTGTCCATATACTCATGAAACATGTATCGAGCCCTTCCCCTGTGCCAGGTGACAGAGATACAGAGGTAAGCACAGCATGGCTTCTACCCTCAGTAAGCTCACCCTGGAGCAACAGAAGTACTTTTAGAAGGAAAATGATGTAAGTGGGCATATTCTTTAGACTAAATGTGTTCTTTAGTCTGCTGGGGGAGGGGGGTTGGCAGGGTGGACAACAGGAGCCAATTTCCCAAGGGCAGAACAAAAGCTATGGATAGAAGTCAGAGAAAGACAGATTTCATCTCAGGATGACAGCGTGGATTTTCTAACAATTAGAGGAACTCCACACTGCATTATAAGGTAGTGATGTCCCTGTCAGCAAACATATTCAAGAATGAGCTGGATGAATCCCTAGCAGGTAGCAGAGAAGCACTTTCCTGCTTTGGGAAGATAGAATAGATAGTTCTTAAGACATTTTCTTAATTCTAGGTTATTCTATGATTCTAAAAGTCAATGTTTCCATGCTTCAAATGTGTTTGACATCCTTTTAAAAAAGTAGGAAGATCTTATCTTTTATTTAAAGATAAGATCTTTATAAAACCACTAAAATTGAAGTTACTGTGGTTAACGTGCAGGGACCCACTCTCTTAACCTTCCCCTCAGTTCCTACAAAAAATACAGCTCCAGCCCCCCACGTCCTCCTGTCTCCCTGGCCTTGCAGCCTGCACATGCAGTCCCCTTCTGCCCTGTCTGCCCTTGGCCGAGAGAGGTTAAGGATCCAGCTTGATGCCATGGGACTCTGCAGCATATGGCCCTGACTCCAGGGCTGGCTCTGACTTTGTCACACTCTGGTGCTGGGCTGCCGGCAACTGCCTCAGCCTCCTCGTCTCCACCTTCCTGACTCTTAGTGGCCTGCAGTCTCTATCAAGGCACCAGATCACTTCTCTTCCTTCCTCATCCTCCCCGACCCAATCCTCTTCTTTTTCCCCAGCCATGAAGGCCTTCATTATTGTGCAGGAACTCACATTTGCTATGTCCTCTGAGCCAGGCTTAATGCTCATGTTTGATCCTCACATCAAAGCTGAGAGTCCAGCATTAATATCTGTACCTATGTCACAAATTTAGCTTCAGAGAGGGCAAGTGACTTGCTCACAGTCACTCAGCTGGGAAGCAGCTGAGTTGAGTTCAAACGATCTGGCTCTGCCCAACCCTGGAGCCTATGTTCATTCCACACTCAGTGGCAAGCTGGTCCCTCTGGAGCCTGGGCCCTGCCTTGCTCTTCCTGGGTGTCCTTTCAGGTGGCAAGACCTCTCATTGCTCCAAGACGAATTTCCCACCTAGTTTTCTTGAGTTTCAGCTCTGAATTCCATTTTATCTTAATTTACTTATATACTCTGACATTTATTAAGCCCTCACTCTATACTAGGAATGGTTTTAAGCACTTTACATGCATTAACTTATGTAATCCTTTTGAAAGACCTGTAAGGTAGGCATAATTGTTCACCTATTTTACACTTAACAAAACTGAGGCCCAGTGAGGTTGGGTAACATGGTTATACAACTATAAAAGGGCAGAGCCAATCCACACCTGGGCATCTGGCTCTAGAGCCTGATTTCCTAATAACTAAGTCACTGTATACAGAATTTTACCTGGCTGACTTATGTCCTTTCCACCACCAGCAGCTGAGATGGTAAGATTCAGTAACACTGGGACTCCATCTGACTTAGTAACTGCCCCTCCCTGAAGGTGTCAAGGTTGTAACTACTCTACATAGCTGCTTTGACATGGGGACATTTTTTATTCAGGCTGATAAATAAATAAATAGTGAAGCAGGTGTGTGTGTGTGTTTGTATTTGATGGAATGGAGAACAGGGGTATCTCTGCATCCATTACTTGGTAAGACACAATTTTTTCCATTTCCACCTAGCCATATCAGAATGTCTTGCTTTGTTTCAGTGAATGGCTGAAGGTATAGGCTAAGAAATAGATTTAATCTCTTGTTCCAAGTTTGGTTGATTTATGGTGGCTGCTTGGAGCCACAAGTTGGGAAGGATTCTGAGGTCACATTTGGTCCCAGCAGGAAAGAGAGCCATGATCTATTAATAATGTCTGCCATGAGCAAGAGAGGTGAAGGTGATGCACACAAGTTGTTTATCTGACATTCATGAACTGATTTCTTATCCTGACTTCCTGACTCTTTCTTGTCTGTTATATCCTTAATCAGTTAAGTGTGGCCAACCCCATTCTTATTGTAAGATGTGACCTGAGTTTTGCCAGGATCTCCATCCAGTTCCTACATGGATGGCCTTGATATGAATATGGTGTAGAATGGGGAGATAAGAAGATGGGGATAAAAGCATTCTTTGGGTAGTATATTTTGTCTTGGCATTCTTTCATAATTCAAACAGAACGTAGAAGTTTTCATTAATAGCTTGGAGAATCAGTAAAGATCTTTCTCCTCAGTTATTGGAGACATGGCTATGAGATTCTTCCCTATAGCACTGTTCTGTATCCTATCCTGCCAGGAGTCATAGCAAAAACAACAGCAGCTCCACAGTTTGCTCTGGACTCCGTTTCTTCCCAATGCTCTTGAACAGGTCCTGGTGGGTTGTGTGATCTGCAATGTTCTTCCCTCAGGTCTTCCCAAAGCTGAGTTTCCTTATCTTTCAGGTCTGAATCCCCATGACGCTACCTTAAACAGGCTTCCCTTCAGCACCTTACCAAATGATGTCTTCCTCAGTCATTCTCTATCATACTACCTTATTGTATTTTATTCTATTCCTATCTTGCATCATTGGCTTGACTTATTTTTCTCATTGATTTGCTTACTTACTAGGTGTCTGCCCCTTCATGTTTGTAATGCAAGCCCTGTTTTAAATTTTCTTGTTCACCCCTCTTTTCTAGTGGTTTTGACCATCTGGCATAAGCAAGACAATGTTCTCTTGCAGTAAAATGGATCTTTAGAATTTCTTGTAATTCAAATGCTTCTCTGCTTTTGAAGATCTTTTCCCGTGATGTGTACTCACCTGGCCTCCAGCCTAAGTTTTCCATCAGATCTGTCACATGCTGGAAATATCAGGTCTATGGTAGTATACTTTCTGAGAGTGAATTGTAGCTCTTCACTCAGGCAAACTTCATGAACAAAGCCTAGGAGTTCCATGAAGGCAGGAGCCCTTGTGCCCAGTGTTGTCCACACTGACTTTCTCGATACACTCCTTTGGTCATATCTCTTCCATATCCTTTCCAAAATCTTCAGTGATTGCTCATTGCCCAGAGACTAAAAGTCTAAGGTCTTTAGAGTAGGAACTTAAGGCTTTTCAGATCTTCCTGGCTCTTGCTCTTTCGACTCAACACAGGAATAAACCTTGGCTTGTTCCCTGAACATGCCTGGCATGCATTCTCTCCTCCATGAGGTTCTTGCTCAAGCATCATTCCTTAGGCAGTCTGCCTTAGTTTCCCTTATCTTAGAACAGATGACTGTCCTACGGGCCCCTTGCAGCCTGACATTCCTGCACACTCACACATGATTTTGAAATATACTGTTTATGTGCATTATCCTAAATAATAAGCCTCTTGGGGACAAGCATTATTTCTAATTTACTTTTGTATCCTAGTAATTAGCAGAGTGTCTAGCCCAAATTACAGAAGTATGAATAGAATCACTCCATCATTTTTTACAAATAAAGAAACTAAAGTGCACAGCGTAAGTGTGTCTTGCCCAAATCCACATAGCTAGTTGCCAGGGGAATCAAGACTTGAACATCAATTTTTTATACTTAGAGAGTACACACTCAAATGTCAAAAGGGGCTGATTACATAAGGGCTAAAGCATATTAATAAAATAGAATTGAAAGTGGGGGTCCTGTCTATCTAGGAGAAGCTGCCCATCAGCTCCAGAGGACAATGTTCAGGTGGGCATATTGGTCCAGCTCTTCCACATAATCAGGTTACAAGGAAAAAGTAGAAAATATTATTTGTATGTGACATCTCACAAAATTTTTCATTTTTCCAACTAGCTATAATGAAAACTACTTCATGGTCTAAGCACATTCCCTCTGTGAGCCAGATGAAGCTTCAGCCTGCCAATTAGTGACCTGTACTCATTTCTATAGGACTCCCTTGAATACAGTATCATGGGTCAAGGAGCTCAGACCTGTAGAATGAGAGAGAAGTTCCAATTTCCTTTGTGGCTGACTTATTTAAAGCCACTGATATTGGGCTGATCTTAGAGCCTTCAAGGTGAGTGGGACGAACACCCTCGAGTTTCACTTGAATGCTCTGGAGCTGTGTCAACTCCAAATGACAGTTTTCCTGGTCATTAAAAATGACCAAGAGTGCGAATGATGGTCTGCAAATGGGCTTTGCTGTGGATAAATGCAAATCAATACAAATTATGAAAGGGGCCCTGTGATGGATTGGCTGGCTGTCAAGAAAGATGAAACGCTGAAGGATTATTGTGTGTGTGTGAAGGGGAGCATATTTCTCTGAAGGCCTGGCTCTTTGGAAATGGGGTGGAGGGTAATGTTCAGTCTTAGAGGAAATGATCAGCTCTGCCTTAATGTAGGTACTGAGAGCGAGGCAATGGGAGTTTTGGCCACATTGACTTGAACATTCATTTATTATGATGAAATGAGCTAGTATTGACCTGGAGAACCTAATGCATAGTATCAGCATATTAATAACAGGTCATTACATGCTATGTCTAACTGCTAGGGTTGAAATGATTGCTGTCCTTTCAAATATCAAGGAAATGGTGTCATTTAGATTTGCAATTATTGCTCCCAGGTTATCACGACTACTTTCAAATTAGAGTTCAGGGAGTAAAGGAGAACAGCATGGAGTCAGCATGGGTTTATATCATAAGTTCACTATTATTAGACTTATATCCTTGGGTATATTGCTTAAACCATCTTCGGTCTCAAGTTTATAATTTGTAAAATGGGGATAACATTTTCTTCTTAGGTGTGTTGGCAGATGGCATTTGTAAATACACCTTGCACAATGCCTGGTAAAAACTTGATGTTGAATGTATGTTCATTTCCCTTCCTCTATCAATTCCCACAGCACTCTGTCTGAGCCATGTTTAGGACTTCGTTGGCTTTCTACCTGAATTTCTCTAGTCACTTCTGTCCATATAATCCTTTGTTAGGCAATGAATTATCTCACAGCTGAGTTTTTAAAAATGTTTTATCTTTTCATCTTCCACAGGGTCTGCCCACAGTAGGTACCCAATTAATATTTGTGGCATTAATGGATCCACGACTAAAGGCACAAGGGCTGTGGAAGTCTTGGTCAGCATTTTCCCTGCCAGTCATCTGTGCCATGAAGTTGCTCTATTATAGCAGGCCAAATGAATCAGGAAAAGCAGGTGCATCTGCTGCTCCTGGTGCATGTAAGCTTTCCTAACTCATCACCTGTTCTAAGTGTGGACTAATGGCGGCTGAGATGCAAGTAGAAGCTATAATTTCTGTGACTAAGAGTGGAAGATAGAACATAGTAAACTTCCTTGAATACATGACTTCTGAGCTGGGCCACATAATATCAGGGAGATTTTTCTAGGTAGAAAATAAGAAATGACATTCTAGGCAAAAGAAACAGTCTGTGCAAGGGCAGGAGGTATGAAAATAGAGGATGTGTAACTACACAAGGGAACTGGAATTTTTTGAGCACCTACTATATGCCAAGAGCTTTTTTTCTGTTACCATATTTCATTCTCTAACTCATCTTGCTTGGGAAGCATTGTCCTTCCTATTTTAAGGGGAGAAAAAAAACTGTGCTAAATGTTTAGGAATTTGTTGAGACCACATAGCACAAAAGTGGCTGAGCTGGATTTTGAACCTAGGCCTGTCTTACCATAACCTTTTCCTTCCCATGATATGTGGTGAAGGACAGGAAGTGGAGGGCTAAGGGACTAGAATTAACTGACAATTCCCCAACATACTATTGTCAACTTCAACCCTGAAGATGAGAACAGGTGTCTGCTCCTCTGAAACTGTATTCTTTTCCAGTTTTGAAAATTTCCCATTGGCTTGAAAAGTGATCCTCAAATTTTCAGAAAGGAATGAGATCGGGCATGTGAGGAAAGAGATCTATTTTCATACACGGGGCTTGTTTCACTTTGCAAGTTGTAGCCAAATTGCCTGAACTATTTTCATACTTGGATTTCAGACAACTTGCTGAGATCCATATTATCTGATTCAGGATGTCTTTGTGCAAAGTCTTTTGATTTTATCAGGTGCATTTCACTCCATCAAAGCCCAGGCTATTTGCCCTGGCGATGCCTTGAAAAACTGGGTTTGCAGTTTGAATCGGAGCTGGAGAAAGGCACTTCCACAGGTCGTGTGAGTCCACGTGCATAACGGCTCCTGATAGAGCATCCCTGGGGACTGATTTGGGGGACCATCTTTTATCTGATGCAATGATCTTTTGGATTACATAGGCCCCCAAGTTCTAATGGCAAACCGAATTGTCACACTATCTTTTTCTTAAGTTAAGCTCACTGCTTGGAGTGACTTTATTAAATTAGATGTAGAGATTTCATTCAATAAGGGCAGGTAAATAAATGGATACTCAGCAAAGCATATGAAGTCAACAGAGCGCCTACCCTTTTCAGGAGAGCAGACTTTAAGGACAGACAAACTGAACTTAGAATTCTTCTTCTCCCCTTTCTAATGTGTGACAATGGGTGAACATTTCAACTACTATACAGCTTTGTCTCATCAACAAAAATATAGGATTAATAATACCTTCCTGTGAGATTTACATGTAATAGCATTTGTGAAGCTCTAAGTACATTTCCTGGTATATACTGCCCCCACACCCCAATCCCTATTTGGGAAAAAAGTAAGTTAACAAGAAATAAAGTGTTATTTTTATATCAAAACAAAGACATGCTTTATGCAGTAGATATCAAAATTTACATGACATTTTAGCTTAAATAAAAGAAAAAAACAAATTTCAAGCTTGCAGCCATTGCTTTGAGCTAAGCCTCAAGACCTCTAGAGAGAGAGAGTTTTGTCTTTTGAAGGGATTTGGTGGAAGAGTTCAAGTGCAGCTATGGTCCAGTCTTCCAACCTTTGGTGGATGAGTTCAAGTGCAGCTATGGTCCAGTCTTCCAACCATTGATGGAAGAGTTTAATTTGTGGCCTCTGATTCTGTTTACACATTTAGGTATCCTTTTCCTAGATAGAATGTTAAAATTGTCTCTATGAATAGTTACACAACCACTTCATTGAATCACAGGATTACACAGAACTCAAAGGAAGCTTTTATCACACCAGATGCATTTTACTCTACCTGCCACATGCCATAATGGGCTCAGATAAGTTCTGGAAATTGGTCTGCTGCTTGGCAAGAGACCCAGAGACAAGCATTTCCACAGGTAACCATAGTTCAGGCACGAGGTGGAACTTGTTTAGGGTCTAATGGCAGGAATAGATACAATGAAATTTGTGACAATCTCAGTGAAAATGTGCTTTCCACAGAATTTAGATGGGCTTTTGAGCCAGTCTCATATTAATGTTAAGGGGCAGGGGACTCATAGGTGATCTCTTGGTCACACAAATGTTTGATATAATAATTAAATGTGGAGACTCAGGAGTCTATGTTGGATTTCATATTTTGGTTTGGAAATATTGGCAAGTTACTTAACCACTCTGAACCTCTGTTTCCTCCTCTGTAAGATAGGGCTTATATTAGTAGTTACTTCATCAGGCTGTGGTGAGGATGAGATAGGAGAAGAACAGAGCTCTCAGCATGGAGAGTGGTCCGTGACAAGCACTCAACAAATAGTAACATACCTCCCCACACCCCCCAACTACTAATACTTCACCTAACCATAACAACAACATATGGCTGATGGTATTCCTCCACATCTGCAGCACTCTGTACTCGTGTCTCACTTAAGATTCTTGTTGTATTCTCCTTTGAACCAGTGGTGTCCATGTCCTGTCTTCTCCAAGCCACCTTGAGCACAGTGACCTCAGCCAATTTTTCACTGTGCACTTCCAGCACTGGGCTATCCTGTTTGGGGACTCTGGACAAACCCCTTTTGCTACCTGTGTCCTCACCCCCAGACAAAGAGCACTTGGCCATGGCACTTCCTTTCTCTGGCCACCAGTTGCTTCTTAGTTGAACCTCTAGACCTAACACTTGATGCTGATGTAACAGATTATATCTCAGCCTTTCCAATTTAGGCAAAGCATGTTTTGAAATGTGAGTGAGAAATTGACTTTAGTTCTCTATTTTAGTATGGTTAGTGGTTTATACTTGTATCTGGGTCATTCAGTCCTGACTCATGGATACTTTTACTAAGATCAAATCCACACCCAGATCACTCATGAATTTTTCTCTGCAGCCTGAGCCACAAGGCATGCACCAGATCTCAGCTCTGGCAGTAGCATTCAAGACGGGTTTCAGAAATGCCATTTCCTTCCTGTTGATGAGACGGGGCTGGTTTCTTGGGGAACTCCAGGCTGCCAGGACATCTCCGCAGCCCCTTTTCTATCATAAGAGTGGGCAGTTTGTGTCATGAGGAGTGAGAAGTGGAACCCTTAGCTCTATGTTCTGGCTAAAGATCCTCCTTTTCTTCTTTTTAGGGCCTGAGGAGGGAAGGAGGCGCCTGTAAAGCTGTGTTCTCTGTATAAAGCCCTTCACTTGGAGGAAAAAGAACCTGCACCTGGGCCTCTTTCTGGAACTCAAAGGTTAATCTCTGATGGACTCACTAGGTCATCTGCAGGAAAGGTCCTGGCATGCAGCAGGAACTCAGAGAATGGCAGCTTTTAATGATCAGTGCTGATTCTCATTGGTAACCCTTCAAAGTTGAAATAATATTATAATTCAATTTTACACATAAGGAAAGGAAAGTGCATTTTAAACATTAATTATTATAAAAATACTTATCTCTACAATGATTACTTTTCAATGTTTGGAAACCAATCAGAACTAGTTTATACACATTTTGTATTCCTTTTCTTCAATAACAGTCACATGAAACTTAATAAATTAAGCATAGTTATTAGCAACAGACACTTCATTGCAACCAATGAGAAATTAGCAGAGAGTTCACCTATATGGGGTGCTGTCAGAATCCACCATGCACAATCCCTTTCAGGCGTGTGTGCTGCCCTGAGGGACTTCTGGCTGCTCAGGAGCTCAATCCTTATCAGTGTGGCTTTTCCAGCTTCTTCCATAAAAAGTAGTAAGTGACAAGCCTGCTGGGGCAGGAAACAGTTTTGCGCTAATGAGTTTGTGCTTCACTGACGCTTTCCCATTAAAATGATGTTAACTTTGCCCCCCCCCCGTTAATCATCCCAAAATCAGTTTATTAATTAACTCATTTTGGGAAATCGCAATTTAGTCAGATCTCTCCAGCTCATTAGCATGTTACCACGACAGAGAAAATAGATGTCATTGAAATCCCTCCTTGCATGTTTAGCTCACTGGGGCACTGAGTCTTCTTCAGTCTTGTTGGTTTGTTCTTCCATTAACTCATTTGACAAATAATTATTGTATATGTCCTAGGTGCCTGACTCTGCACTTGGCTTGGGGATAAGAGATGGCAGGCCCAGCCTCTGCCTCAAGAATATCAGACAGTTGGGGAAGCAAGATTTGTGAACTGTAAACAAGTGATAGGAGAGAAGAGCGTGGGCTGGTTTTGATTCTAGCACTTTTTAGACCCTTTATCTTTATACCAGGTGTTGTCTCAGAAGCTGGAATTGCCTTACAAAGTCACATCTGAGTCAGTGAAAACTGGCTAAATGCATTTGTCTAAGGAACTCTGAGGTTTTCCAGCCAAATCTCCAGTTGTATAATAATATTACAAACAATAAGAACTAATATTAATTGAATAATTACTGTGTTACAGGCACTGTCCTAACTGCTTTACACATAACTTATTTAATTAATAACAGTGCTTTAATAACTTATTTAAACAATAATAATGTCCATGAGTTAGTAATTCATTTTGTCTTCATGATAGCCCTATAAGGTAGGAACTATTAGTATCTCCATTTACAGATGAAGAAACTGAGGCATCTTGCATAGATCTGAATACCGGCAGTTTGACTCCAGAATCAGGTAAGAGAATGAGACCCAAGAAAGGAAGTGTCTTGTCCCAAGTCACATAGAGAGCAGTGAGAACAGAACTCAGCCCTCCCCAATGGCCAAATCAGCACTCTTTCTACCATTCCCTCCTATCTGTTTCTAGAAATTCCCACCTCTGGATCAGAGCACCATCTCCTGAAGGTTTCTCATAAAATGTAATACAAAGCCTGTGCTCTTTGGGGGTAGGGTCCAGAAATAAAGGTTTGTGGTAGATTTTTTTCTGGGGTCTCTATTCTGTCCCAATGATCTATGTGTCTGTTTTCATGACAGTACCATGCTGATTAGATTACTATATCTTTGTAGTATATTTTGAAGCCACGTGGTGAGATGCTTGAAGCTTTTTTTTTCCCTTTGGATATTTGGGGTCCTTTGTGGTTCCATACAAATTTTATAATTGTTATTTCTATTTTTGTGAAGAAAGTCATTGGTATTTTGGTGGATATTGCATTGAATCTGCAGACTGTTTGGGTAATATGAACATTTTAACAATATTATTCTTCCAATCCATGAACATGGAATATCTTTTTATTTATTTGTGTCCTTTTCAAATTCTTTAATTAATGTTTTATAGTTTTCATCGTAGAGGAAGACTACCCTACTTACATCAGGTACCATAAAAAGGTATGTGTAATGAGCCACTGAGGTTTGGGGGATATTTGTTATTGCAATAAAAGTTGACCTATTTTAATTAACTCAGATAAGTTCTATTGTAATCATGTTTTACAGATTATAAAATCAAGGCCTACTGAGGTGAAAAAGCTAGTAAAGGGGCAGAATCAGGATCCAAACCGAGGTTGGCATGATGTCACGGCTTGTGGTTTTTATATTATATCACAATTATGAGATAAAGGGAGAGAGGTAAGACAGAGAAACAGCAAGGAACTACAAGACATGGATTACACTGTGTAACTTTGGGTAGGGCTCTTTAGCTCCCTGAGTTCTGTGTGCTGGCCTATGAAAGGGAAAGCTAAACATTTCTCACCCCCTCTTCCCATCATCTTTGGATGTTGGCCAAGAAATTGAGTGGTGGTGAGGAAAACAGCAGCGGACTAGGGGTCATGAGGTACCAAACAAGGCACCGTGATACCTATCAGGCCTTTGAGGGCTGATGAAATGAAGGCTTTCTGTTAGGCTCCCACCTTAACATTTTCTTAAGAAACCAGTGATTCAGTAGCATCTTCTCCTTCCTTAGATATAAATGACATGTGGGATATTGACCCCATCCCCCAGCTGCAATTATGAAAACCCACTTGAGTGGCAAATTAATATGCAATTATGATTTTGGCAAGCATTCCAAGGAAAACCAAAAGGGCTTAATTGACTGGCACTTTCACATGTGCCCATCCCCAAACAAATGGCACAAAACACTTTCAGATGTGATCTGGCCCCTGAAAGCATAGGGGAGGCTTTTGTGATCTCAGGAGGAGAAGGGTGCTGACATCTTAAATGTGGTGATGGGAATTCAACCCAACAAGTATTTGCTATTTGGGTTTGCTATGCTTCAGTGGGAAATCACACCATTAAGAAACTTACAATGTAGAGGAGAGAACAGAAAAAAAATCCTACCACAATTAAAATAAAATGTCATAAGTCTTCCCCAGTGGGATTCTTTTGGATCTAGTCAAAGGCTAGGGATTCAACCTATGTGGGGGAAGGTTGAGAAATTTGGGTCCAGCTCAGGGTTTTGAACTTGAGCTGGGCAGCATGGAAGGCAGAGGCAAGACTCAGGGATGAGCTGGTAGGAAGGCAGTTTGGGGCTCAACCCCAGCAAGCAATATGACTGTGAAATCTCCTACTTCATACCATGTATGGTGCATTACAAATGCATTAAAGATTTAAATAGGATTGGGCGCAGTGGCTCACACCTGTAATCCCAGCACTTTGGGAGGCCAAGGTGGGTGGATCACGAGGTCAGGAGATAGAGACCCTCCTGGCTAACATGGTGAAACCCCATATCTACTAAAAATACAAAAAATTAGCCAGGCGTGGTGACAGAGGCCTGTAGTCCCAGCTACTCGGGAGGCTGAGGCAGGAGAATGGCGTGAACCCGGGAGGCCGAGCTTGCAGTGAGCCCAGATGGCACCGCTGCACTCCAGCCTGGGAGACAGACTCGGTCTCAAAAAAAAAAAAAAAAAGACTTAAATAAAAAAGGAAAGAAAATTAGTAGAATATTTTTACAACCTTGGGAGTTATGGGAACCTTCCTAAGCATTACAAGAAATTCAGAAGCTTAAAGGAAATTATAAATATATTTAAGTGCATAAACATTTAAAATTTGTAATGTGACCAAACTATGAACAAAGGGCAAAAACTCAAAACAAATGATAGTCTGGAAGAATATTTGTAACACCTATGAAATAAGGTTATAGGGACCTAAGTTAATGTGCCTGTGTACAAAATGATCTCATGAATTGACAGGAGAAAATCAAATTAATTTTTAAAAATAGGCAAAAGTTATGCACAAGCAATTCATGGAAGAGATCATCTAAATGGTCAATAAGCATGTGAAGGATCATTTTGACTTGCCAGGAAAATAAAAATTAAAGCAACAATATATACCACTTTTCACTATCTAGATTGGCAAACATTGTAGACAGCAAAAATATCTGCTTATAGGGAGAATGAAGGGCAACAGGTAGTCTCATACACTGCTGGTGGGAGGAGGAATTAGAAACAGTTTTGTAAAGTTACCAAACAATATCTTTTAAAATTAATATTACACATATCATTTGTCCCCAGATGTGGGTCCATCCTACATTAAAAAATACCAGCATGCAAAGATTTATGTATAATAAAATTTATTGCAGCAAACAGCACAAAACAACAAAAGAAACTTGAAAACGATTTGACAATCATTATTCTGGGAATCATGAGTAAATAGTAGTATATTTATATGTATTATGGAATAATATATAGCTATTATATGAGTTAGTTATATATCTTCTTATAAATTTTGACCTGGAGCATTCTTGCAAGATACTGCTAAATGAGAAAAGCAAAAGTAATGCATATTGTGATTTTGAAGGTAAAAACAAATAAGAGCAACAACACTTTGTACACATATGTATAATTTTATGGTGTAAGGTGTTGAAACGGGAGTGAGATGAAGGGTAAATATTAGATTTTTACTTATTCATTTTTCATTAGAATGCATATAAATTGCTTCTGTAATTAAAAACTTAAATAATGGGAATACAAAAAGAGAACCCCTGAGAATGAATAAATTATAATAGTTATTAAACAGACAAAGATAATGAAATCTTCATCACAGGGAGAACTCTGGAAGAAGCTAGTGGACTATACGTTGGGATGATGTGAAAGGGATTCCTGCTCTGGGTGGGAGGGAGTTTCATTTCCAGACATTTAAAATCCCATCTAGTTCTAAGAATCTTTGGTTGGGTTAGAGGACAATGCAGGGTCACAGCAAATCAATGAAGGGGCGATGTTCGATGGGGTGGAGTGACTCAGGTAGAGGTGATTCCACAGTGAAGTCAGTGAGGGTAAGGCTACACACTCTCATATTTCATGAGCAGTAGTTCGCTGGTGGCCTTTAAAGGAGCGGCCTCAGCAGGTCTGTAGCAACAGAAACAGGATTGAAGGGAATGTAGGAATGAGGAGGGCAAAGGGGAAAGAGTAAGTTAAAGTCAGCAAGCTTTGGACTGGAAGGAAGGAAGGTGAGAGAAGGCTGCTAACTAGAGAGGGGGTAAGACAGAGGGAAGGTTAGGCTTGGCTAGACCTGAGAGTGTTTGTGGAAGGGGCACCCATGTGAGCAGATAATCTATTAAATGAGGTCTATGAGGGCCTGGGTTGGGTTACAGTGCAAGGGAGGGGTGCTCGGGTCTGCCTTGTGGGGAGAGCCCTTGCTCCCTAAAACAGTAGGGTGGGAAAATGTCAAGATCAAGGACTTTGGATGGTTTAGTCTTTGGAGATAAGCAGATCTTCAGTTTGGAACTCAAGTTACTAGCTCCGTGGTTTTACCTGTCCAAGCCTTAGTTGTACTCTTGTTAAGTGGAAATACTTAATTTCTCAGGCTTGTTGTATTAGGGAAAAATACTTAATTTCTCAAGCTTGGTGTATTATGGAAAAAACGCACACATTGTGTCTGGCCCACAGTTGTTACTGATTAAATGACAACTGTGGCTATTGCTTAAGAGGCAGCAGAGCATAGAGGAGAGGAGGTACGCTTTGGAATTAGACAGACTGGGGTTGACTGGAATCCAGGACTCCACACTTAATATTTGATGACCATAGATATCCTACTTAAGGCTGTATTCTTCATCTATCAATTGGAGCTATGGACATAAGGCTGTTGGGAGGTTCAGGGATAATGTTTGGCAAGTACCATGCCTGGAACAAAGAAACTGCTTACTGCAAAGAAGCTGTTATTGTTTATTTTTCTCATTGTCCTTTTCATAGGTGAGGTCATGGGATGACAGTCTTTGCAACAGATTAGGAACAGTCTGAGAGGTAAATAAACAGTTTTCCAAGTAGCAGAGAGGCCCTGCTCAATTAATATGGTGTTCTCCGGCTGTTTCTGGCTTCCTGGAATTGGGATTGGAGAAGGGCGATAGAAGGTGGCAGTCAGAGTAAAGGAATAGGTACCCCTGACTGGACCACCTAACTAAGCCTCTATTTGAGCATTTCTGTTTTGTAATTATTTTTTTGCATATCTGTGATATTTCATGGGAGAAGCAGGAAACAAATCCAGGTGGACCTACAATTTGATCACTTGCTTGTTGGGTGATACTGGGCAAGGTGTTTTATGAGCTTCAGATTCCTATCTGTAAGATAGTAATAACTCCTACATCAGGATTCAATAAGCATTCGTTGATACAGAGCTGGGCGTAGGGTGGATGCTCAGTACATACGAAGTTTGTTTCCCTTGGATGCTAATCAGGGCCCTTGTCTCATTCATCTCCCATTTCTCACAACCTACCATGAGAACTGACTCTAACAAAGCACATTTCATAAATAAATGGATAAATGAATGAACAAATGAACTAATGAACACTGGTGGGGGCAATGTCAAAATGGATGATCCTGCAAATATGGGTCCACTGCATGTAATAGAGCCATGTGGTTCTAGCCTCAGGAAGTACAGGACCTAAGAGACCTTTCTTCCTGCCATCAGAGATAGTGATAAAACAATAAATTACCTTACAGCCGACAGTAATTAGACAAGAGGGTTGTTTCAGTCTCTCTCTCTTTCAGCTCTCCAGGAACAATTATGGGGCTCCGAGGGCAGCCATTTCCTACCGCCCCTGCACCTATGTTAGTTCCTGCATTCATGGGCCTAATGGACCCAGAGTTGGGGGAGAAGGTACATGCAGGGCTAGTGCAGGGTTGGCTGTCACTGCCTACTCTGGAGATTTCAGGCTGACTGGAGGATGTGGGCAGGGTTCTGAGGCCCCTTTGCAACAAGTCCCATTCTTTCTCCTTTTTTTTTTTTTTTTTTTTTTTGAGACAGAGTCTCACTCTGCCACCCAGGCTGGGATGCAGTGGCACAATCTTAGCTCACTGCAACCGCCTTCTCCCGGATTCAAGCGATTCTCATGCCTCAGCCCCCTAAATAGCTGGCATTACAGGTGTGTGCCACCATGCTCAGCTAATTTTTGTATTTTTAGTAGAGATCTGGTTTCACCATGTTGGGCAGGCTGGTCTTGAACTCCTGACCTCGAGTGATCTGCCCACCCTGGCCTCCCAAAATGCTAGGATTACAGGCATGAGCCACCGCGCCCAGCCCTCATTCTCTTTCTTGTTCTTGGTTCTCTCTTCTATAAAGTGGGAAGTTTACGTTAAACGACTGACAATGCTCTTTCCAATTTTGAAATCTTATGCCTACATTGATCATTTTGAATCAAGTATTTAGCTTGACTTCAGGTTCAGGGATATCCACAAGAGTGAACGCCTGTGTAGGGTTTCTGAAGGTCCATTCTGTAGTCCCCACATACTTACAGATGCTGCACTAACTTTAAGATGCTCATTTGGTAATTAAGATTGCTTATGTAAGAGCTAATTCTAAAAGGATCCTTCTAGTCTAGAGCTTACACTGGCTTTGTTATCATTCCTAAATACTTAAAGTCCCCTATTATCTATACATTCTGATTTACTGATTCTCATTGCTGATCTCTTCCTCAAGGCATTTGAGTTTGTGACTCTTGAAAGTCAAGACTTTTCATTTTATATACAAATCATTAACTCAGAAGGAGGGGATGTGACTTGTCCAAAGCCCCTCGGCTGAGAGTTCAACAAGAACTTCTGACTCAACCGTGAGCTGTTTTTTCCACAGCAATCTAGAGAGAGGTTCCAGTTCAAGGCCACAGGGAAGGGCAGTCCTTTGACATAAGCGTCTTAGGGGTGTCTGATAGTGGAGACTTCCCTGAAGCAGATTTTAAAGAGAAGAACAGATAAATGTTTCAGATGATATTGGCCTCAGTTTTCTCATTTATAAGAAGTACGGTGATCCTATTGTGCTCCCTGCCTTGAGGAGTTTTGAGGGTTTTAAGTGAAATAGTGCCTGAGAAGGAGACTATAGGTGTCAGGATATTATATAGCTACCTTTTCTCTGAGAATTTCCTGAATATGGGTGAGGGATTGACTGGGCCTTATTCTCCTGATCTCCCAAATTGTAATAATCACATGCATTTTTGCTTTTTGTTCCACAAAAGTGAAAATTTGCATAAAAATGCATAAGAAGGCCTTGAGAGACTTGGGAGTGCCAAGGCCCAAGCCCTGAGGGCAACCTCAACACCTACCTTCCCTTCTGTGGTCCAAGTGTCTGAGGCCAGCTCCTGCTAGGATGGACCATGGACCTCACCCAATTTCCCTGAGTTTGCATAATGCAAAAAAGCATTTACTTTAATAGTCCCACCCTCTCTAGGCTGAGATGTGTTTTCCTTTCCTGAAAATATCCCAGTGCGGATACATCACATTTCTGACAACATATTCTCTCACCCAACGGATCGGAATGATCATTTAAAAGCTCTGAGTGAAAGCTTGGGCTTCTGATTGATCCGATAATATTGTCTCATTCCCATTTTAAACTACCTGTTCCTTAAATTGCATATAAAAATACAGTCCATGCAATATTAATACACTAATGAATAATACACTAACAATTTGAAGCATGCCAACCCACCCAAGGATTTTTCATCTCCTGCATGTTTCATCAGAGACACTTGGTATATACTGAATAATCGTTAGGATGATGAAAATGATAATAATAATGAAATAAATATGGAGCAGTTTTACTATGGTGGGGAAAAACATGAAAGGTAATTTTCAATTATAAGTGAGAAATGGACACCTGTGATCCACGGATCGGCCTCTGCTTTTGATGTATCACAGGTAAGGGCAGCTGCAGCTGCGTGTGAGGGTATGTATAACACAGTCTCATCTGTCTAGTGCTGTCAGAGAAGGTGTGATTGTACAAAAGTGGGATTTCTAGATATCAGAAGTGAAGTGGTTTGAGAGAAAAGGCATGGACTTTGGAGACAGCTGGCTCTGGATTCAAATGCTGGTTCCCCCACTTCCCTGCCCTGTGAGTTCTTTCTGCTTTTTATTTTCTATCTGGAAAAGAGGATAATAACTGCCCCACGGGATTATAGTGAAGATTAAATCAGATCATGTATATGAGAATGTCTGGGCCAGGGCCTGAAACCTGAGGGGTATCCACCAAATGATTTCCTTTCCCAAAGCACAGTGGACACTACCTGTAGTGGCTTCATAAATGTTAGTCCCTTCCACCTATACCTTAATAAACTTTGAGGCAGCTCGCTCAAAAATTCACAGGCTTTTTCTTCTTATCTGTGGATTTGGGAATACACTCAGGCTACTGGAGTTTTGGGGTCCCAGATCTGCAAATCAGAGAGGTGTTATGGCACGTCTATATCCAATTATGGATGTGTAAGCATGGATGGTATGCCAAATGCTCATCAGGAAGAAACAGTCTATAGGTGTATATAAGCTTTCTTTTAAACATGAAGGTTTATGGGGGAAATAATATCTATTATTTTTGGAAAAGCATTTTATGCATGTATTTTTGTTTTAGAGACAGGGTCTCACCCTGTCACCCAGGCTGGATTACAGTGGTACAATCATAGCTCACTGCAGCCTCAAGCTCCTGGGCTCAAGTGATCCTCCCATCTCTGCCTCCCTAGTATCTGGGACTACAGGCGTGAGCCGCTGCGCCTAGCTAATTTTGGCCTTTTTTTTTTTTTTTTTTGTAGAGATGGGGTCTCACTATGTTGCCCAGGCTGGTCTCAAACTCCTGGGCTCAAGCAATCCTCCTGCTTTGGCCTTTCAAAGTGCTGGGATTACAGGGGTGAGCCACTGCACCCACAGGGAAAAGCATTTTAAATGGGATTTATTTTGTAAAGTTTTCTGAGTTTTTTCTTAAAATTGAAAATAGGTGCTTTTATTCGTTCATTCATTCATTCACTCATCAGTCCTTTACTGACTGTTGACAGTGAGCTAGTCACTATGCTGTAAACACTGAAGATGCAAAGACATGATCCAAGGGGATGACAGGCCCATGAACAGCGACTAGTTAAGTGGAATGAAAAATGCTAAAATGGGATACAAAACACTGTGGACATAGCGTACAGCCAGAACCAAGAAAAGTGGTAAGTGTTTCAGGGTAGTGGATATACAGGTTGACTATCCCTTATCCCAAATGCTTAGGACCTAAAATGTTTTGGATTTTGGATTTTTCTGGATTTGGAATATTTATGTATACATAATTAGATATCTTGGGGATGGGACTCAAATCTAAACATGAAATTCATTTATGTTTCATATATGCCTTAAATACATAGCCTGAAGATAATTGTATACAGTATTTTTAATAATTTTGTGCAGGAAACAATGTTTGACTGCACGTTGACTGCTGCTGTCACGTGAGGTCAGGTGTGGAATTTTCCACTTATGGTGTTGTGTCAGCACTCAAAAAGTCTTAGATTTTGGAGCATTTTGAATTTCGGATTTCAAATTTAAGGATGCTCAACCTGTATAGAGTATGTGACGTGTTGTGTGCATGTATGTGTACCAGAGTGCTCGAGGGGTACGATGCCAACCCTCAAGCTGGCCGCTATTAGTCATTGATTGCTGAATGTGTTCTAACCCACTTTGCAAAGCACTTACTCATGTTTTCTCATTTGGTCTTAACAACTCTGCAGGCTATGCATGGTTGTCCCCATTTCACCCTTGAAGAAACTGAAATTCAGAGAAGAATAACCAGACAGTATATACTCGGAGTTTTATTTTGTCTTTCTAGCTCAAAGGCTATGTTTGAGCTCTGCTAAACTCCAAGCCTTTGCCTTAACGGAGATGCAGAAGAGAGTAAGAAAAGACCTTGCGCCTAAAAAGCCAGTTGTGAGACTAAGACTTAAATGGGAACTAAAGTTTTAAGATTTTAGGCAAAATATGATCAGTCCCAACCTGGAGGGAAGTGAGCTGCCAAGTTCGTGGCTGGGGTGAAGTTTAATAGAGGAGGAGCTTTTTGAGTTAAGTCTTGAAGTAGGAATAGGACTTTGAGAAGCTGAAAAGAGGGAAGGGCACTGCAGTCAAGGGGAACTAGAGATTCTGGAAAGCACACACCTAATGCTGGGGTTAGAACAAAATAAAGAGAAGGAGGATGTGCCAGGGGTAGAAGAAGTTAAAAAAGAGTTTTCAACTTGTCTTCAGGATACCAAGATTTTTGTGCCATTTCCTTTTCTGACTAAATGTGACAACTTAGGCAAGGCTTTTAACTTTTTAAATTTTAATATTTTTTCTCCATATGTCAAAAGTCATCCAAGGAACTATCATAAGAAAAAAGGTAATACTATGAAAAAGCCATCAGAAGTCCTTGATAGAAAAGTGCTCTGTAAATACGGGAAATTAGATTGTAATGGACAACAATGACCTGGCCCAGAACAGTAGACCACCACGGTAGGAGGAGAGGAGCTGACTCTCACCTGCCTATCAGAGTCACTTCCTCCCTCAGGCAGATGATGTCTTCTGCCTCACCCTAAAAGTCAGCTCAAACTCCTTAAACTGCCACTGTTTAAGCTTTTAACCATCTGGGGAGAATTGTAGACATGTGATAGTAACAGACTACTTTTTGACCAAAGCAACCAGAGGATATGCCACTACTTGTGCTATACAACACAGGTAATACCGTTTCACCACCCTGGACCTCAGTTCCCCATCCGTAAAATGAGGAAGTAGGAGGAGATGTTCCCCAAGGTTGTCTCCAGATGTAATGTTCCATAGCAATGAAAGATGACAATTCATCCAGAGTGCTTGGGATGCTAATATGTATCAACTAAAATTCAAAATAAAACAAAAACCAACCAACAAAAGCAGACGAGAAAAACAATAAGGAGGGAGGGATTCTATGGTCAAATTTTGTTCAAAAAATTAAACACAGCTCATTACTGAAAGCCTTCAGTAAGTTGAAATGCATTGATAATCTAAAGGAGGATAAGATATAGAACTCCTCCAAAACTTACTTGTCCACATAGTTGTTTTTTCCCAGATATATTGTCCATTGGAATATACTTTTAAAAAAATTACACTAGGTTTGGCCTAATCAGTTCAAACCCAAGGCAGTTCTCTCCTAGGCTCAGGAGAGAAGGTTAGTACGTAGAGAAAGCCCTGGATTAGGGCTGTCCAGACCAGGAATACTCATGTTTTAAGGCCACTTCTGTACTCTTTCTTACAGTGTGACCCTGGACAAGTCATTGCTTTTCTTTTACCTCATAATTAAAACAGTTTGGATAAAGTGGTCTCCAAAGTATCTTCTGGTTCTAATAATATTTTGTGAATACATAATTTTCTGTAGCTTGTTCATTCATTCAGCAAATATGCACAGAGGAGAAGTTGTGTGCCAGCAACTCTAAGGAGACTGAAAGAAAAATCGAATATGTGCCATGTGGGAAGTCTCAGGCCACTAAGAAAGATAGACACATGCACAGTGACAAATGAGTGTGATCAGTGCTTGTGTCCAAGCGTGGCTCGAAGAGGGCATCTCACCATTCTGGGGAAGGGGATGGTTAGGAATGGCTTGTTGGAGGCAATACTGGTGGAAGGATGAATAGGAATTAACATGGTGGTAAAAAGAGCTCTGGGTGAAGAAACGTCATGGATAGAGAGAACACTGAATGCAATGTATCTGGGAACCATAACATCAACAGCAAAAACAATAGTAATGATGGCATCAGCGGCTATGATAGCTCCAGCAAATATTAGGTGTTAGATCAGAGCTAAGGGCTTTACATTCATTAATCTCTAATTTCTACAACCCTATAAAGTAGTTATTATACTGATTTTATAGTTGAGGCAGTAACAGCCAATTCATTATGTTTTGGGGGGATGTTTCCTTGAATACAATTAACTTTCAGCTAACCCTAAATAATCTATCTACTTAATCTATTACTCATATCATTTTCAGTCTGAGATTTTTTTTCCCCTTTAATTCAAGTTCCTTCTGGCTGCTTCTGATCAACTCCAGTGAGGGCATGAAATGGAAACTCTTTTCAGTATTGGCTTAGGCAAAATATTAGGATGTGCAAACATCATGATGGATTTTAAACAAAAAATGAGTGATTTTTAGAAATTTCCATGAACATTTCTCCCCTCCATTGGGTGAATTATTGTGATTAGGACTTAATTAATTCAGTTGTCCTTCCTGACTTTGGAAAGTCTTGAACTTTTTTTATATTAATGCATTCATTCATCAATCATTTATTGAAAACCAATCCCATGCCAGACACTGAATAAAACACTTTGGGGATTACCTTGAATACCACATGACTCAATGGAGGTGGTACCTCTTCCAGGAAGTCTTTCTGGCTTTACACCTTCACGTGTGCAACAAGCTGGGTCAAATGACTTTGTCTGCTCCCAAACTGCTCTGCATCTTGATTAATCATAATACTTTGTTCATTGTAGCACAATTGTCAATTTGCTTATTTGTAATTTTTGATTTGGTATCTTGATTATGTCTATGAGGGCGGAGATGGTGTGTGCTGTTAACTGCTGTATTTCCAATGCCTAATATACCACTTGGCTGCATAATAGGTCCAGCACATGGTTGTGTATTGAATGGATGGACTTTCAGTTTTTTGAATACAGAGATCTATCTAACATTTTAAAAATCCAAAGTGCTTATCAAAATGCCTCAACATAGTAGGGGTGCCTTAGAAATTTGTTGAATGAAATGAATAAATAAAAGATGACAGGCATAGTCTCTGTCTCAAGAAGCCTACAATCTAGCAAGGGAGATAGGTTACTTGTGGACCAGCTTCTACCCTTTCTACTGAGGAAGAGAACTCCATCTTTCTCTATTCATGGGCCGTGTGGCTTGCATGGGGCTCCACCCGCAGCTAGGACAGAGAAGATCGCTCCAGAAATTGATTCAGAGGTGGCCACCTGATCCAACCAATTCTTGCCAGAGAGAACATATGAATCCCAGGTCTTGGAATTGAAGAGATCTTGGTTTCCACTGATGTTGGAAGTAAGGATATAAAGCTTGGAGCTTTTGCAAACAACTGGCTACTATGAGGGAAGCAATCTGAGAGTGGAGCCAGCCCAATGGAAGGAAAGCTGAGAGACTGCCTATTGGTCAATATATTTCCTTTTATCACTGTATGAGTTGGAGTTATCAGATATTTGTAATAGATCATTTTAACTGATATAGGCATGGGCCCATAACATTGTAAAGGAAGAGAGTTCCCAATAATTTAGAGAACTCAAAAGAGAGATTTGTCATTTCAATGAAGAACTCAGGAGAGAGGTGGAAATGTTTAATCCAGGCCATTAATGCAGGTGATTACTTGAATTCTCAGGTAAAAGTTAAGTGGAAGTACTTGAATTAGGCCTTGAGAGATGAAAAGGATCTATCTATTAATGTAGGTGAAGCACTTCCAAAAGAGGAAGCAATGGGAGCAATGTGATGAGGCCCAAACATAGGGAACACTTAGGAATAAATGCCTGGCTGGAGCCTGAGTTCCATCTTAGGCAATGACAGGAGAGAAGCAAGGACAGGTGGGTAGGATGGAAGACCTTGAACACCAGGCACTGCAGTATGGGATCTGTAGCAAACGTGCATCTCCCTTCCTGGGAGGTAGGGTGTGGAGTGGAACTGTCCATCGAATGCCCACCAGATGGCATCCCCTGGGCCTACCGTAGACTTTTGGGATCAGAAGCTGAGCCCGCCTTTCTGCTTTATGAAAGATGCCTTAGGATCTCCCCTCATTCGTGATTATTTCCTTACACCATCTGCAGATTTTTAACTGGCTATTTGTAGGGAAAGGGAGAGAAGAAGAGAATAGAGAGGCACCAGTGATAGGCCCTTTGGAAGCTTCAGGTCTCAATATGAAAACTGCATCCCCAAGACACATCTCCTCACAATGGGAGTGAAAGGAGAGGTGAAGGAAAGTATCAGAAAAATAGTAACATGAAATTCCTCTTCATTTGCCAGGGCCATAGCAAGAAAGAATGGGGCCTTGGTAAGAGACATTTCCAAACTGACAATCAGGGTTTCATATGGGATTTTACACTCCTCTAAGGCGGAGGGCAGGTGTTCACCTTCCATCCTCTCTGCTGCCAAGACCAAAGTGGGTGTTTCAGGCTAATTCTGCTCTACTCAAATCAGCTGAAAACTTAGGCAAAATAAGCTTTCTATGTAGGCCTGGCTTCATGAGCATGCGATCTATTTAGCTGCATGAAGCGTCCATGCTTAGAGGGGCCCAAAGCTAGATTTAATGCTCTTCTGCCATCATTAAAATTTTTAATATTTTTTGAACAAAAGTCTCCATAATTTCATTTTGCACTGGAACTTGCAAATTATGTAGCTGGTCCTGCTTCTATGTCTCAGGGAGTGGAGGGAAAAAGTCAAAGGTCACTTAAATTACTAAGATTTGGCTGCTTTCCTTTGGCCATCTCGTGGTGGTAACTTGCCTTACCTGGTAGGTTGTTGCATACGTCCCACAGCTTCTGAACCTCTCTCCCCTGTCTCCTACTTTACCACTTTAGAAAGTGCAGCCTCTACTTCCATCAGTGTGTGTCCCATCTGCCTCTCAGGAGCAGGCAGAAATGATTCCCATCCCTTCATTATATTTTCCCTGATTCTTCCTGTTAAAAGGTATTTCCTTTTTTCTGTCATCTTACATTGAACTTTTATCACTTTTGTATTGTATTATGGTTACTTTCGCCAGGTAAGATGGAGCCAGCATAAGCTTTTAGAGAGAAGAACCTAGATTGAATGCACAGCTTTGGAAATACAAACTTTCTGAACCTCAAGGTCATTATGGGTTAAAATGGGAGGAAAAACTACTTATCATTTAGGGTCACTGAAAACATTAATTGAGATACAGCTAGTGAGTCAAATCTTTTGGTTTGCCCAGGACAATCCTGGCCTATGCCTATTAGCCAAACATTATTATTAATATTGCCCCCTTTTAACTTCAAAGCATCCTGGTTTGAATAAAAAGTTATATGGCTCTCAAGTTTCATATTTTAAAATGCCCAGGAAGGCATCTGACACATAGTAGGTGCTTGAGACATGTTTGCTGAATCAGAAGCTCTTTTTTTTTTTCTTACAAGAAATTTTCTTAGCTGTGCATGGGTGTTACACCTATATTTCTAGCTATTCAGGAAGCTGAGGATGGAGAATCACTTGAGTCCGGGAGGTCAAGGATGCAGTCAGCCATAATTGTACCACTGCACTCCAGCCTGGGTGACAGAGGGAGAGAGGGAGGGAGGGAGGAAGGGAGGGAAGGAAGGAAGGAAGGAAGGAAGGAAGGAAGGAAGGAAGGAAGGAAGGAAGGGCAGGAGGGAGGGCTGGAGGGAAGAAAGGAAGGAAGGTAGGGAAGAGGGAGGGAGGAAGGCAGAAAGAGAGGAAAGAAAGAAATAACGGGAGGGGGGAAGGAAGGAAGGAAGGAAGGGTGGGAAGGAGGGAGGGAGGGAAGAAAGGAAGGAAGGGAGGGAAGAGGGAGGGAGGAAAGGAGGGAGGCAGGAAGGGAGAAAGAGAGGAAAGAAACAAAGGAAAGGAGGGAGGGAGGGAAGGAAGGAAGGAAGAAAGAGAAAGGAATTTTTCCTTCCCTTTTGAGGGGCATGTGCATACATTTTTATATCTCTACCAAACTTTACAGATTTATAATTAATGACAAAGTACGCAGAAGTTAAAAAAAACCACTGTGTGATGGAAAAAAATGACAAAACCACCACTTTCATCATGCCTCTGATTCTTCAAGGGCTGCCATGATGGCTCTTTTGCCCTTTGTGTGGCTTCATGGGAGGGAACAGGGCATGCTGCTCTTTTGTTTTATTGCTATTCCAGTGGTGTGCAGGTACGCAGAGGTGCAGGGACAGTGGAGTGCTTTTAGTTTTACATTTACACTGAATAAAGCACATTCATGGCATCCCCATCTCCTTTGAGGAGGAGCTCGAGTCTGGGGAGGGGGGGAGCTCTGACCTATTAGTATTGAGGGAGTATCTACTATGTGATGAGTGCCAAGGCCAACCCTTTATATCAACTGCAGTGGGGTCGGTGTCTGCTCATGAGCATCCCTGGAGTAATTGGCTTCATGGAATCTTGCTTTGGCTGGCACAGTTTCCTCTCACAGTCTGGGGAACCTCTGAACTGTGGAGTTGATTGTCATGACTTGCCCAGCTCCCCGGCCAGACACCTCACTCAATATCGCAATAGCACAGATGCATTGGAAAACACGGCATCTTGATCTTGTTGTTTGGGTCATAACACTTTGCCCTCACTGTTTTGATCACACTTGGATCTTTTCTCCATCAGCAGTGGGGGCAATTAATCTGTGGTATGCAGAGCGGTTGGAATTATGGATTAGAAATACAATGTGGCCAACCTGGACATAAGTATGATCCTGAAATGTCTGCCAGGTAGGTAGACAGTAATGAGTAATATTGTTAATTCATTAGTTATGAATTAACAACAAAAAAGCTTAGTTTCGTTATCTAGTTCACAATGAATATTACTGGTAAAAAGACAAACTTGAAATAAAACTGATGGCCATCAAAACTGAACTCCCCACAGACTAGGCGCTCCTTTTTTGCACTCCCTTAAAACTTGTTGCCTGTCTCTGCCTCGCCAGGGGTCACACTGTTCTCTAATGTGTAGGTGTATTAGTCTATTCTCACACTGCTATACAGAACTGCCTGAGACTGGGTAATTTATGAAGAAAATAGGTTTAATGAACTCACAGTTCTACAGGCTTAACAGGAAGCATGATTGGGAGGCCTCAGGATACTTACAATCATGGCGGAAGGCGAACGGGAAGCAAGCATGTCTTATCGTGGTGAAGCAGGAGAGAGAGAGCAAAGAAAGCCACACACTTTTAAATCATTAGATCTTGTGAGAACTCACCCACTATCACAGGAACAGCGAGGGGGAAACCCATCCCTATGATCCAATCACCTCCTACCAGGCCCCTCCCCTGACACACGGGCATTACAATTTGACATGAGAGTTGGGTGGGGACACAGAGTCAAACCATATTAGTGGGCTTATGTGTTTTTCTTGCTGACAAGACTGGGAACTTGTTGAGAGCAAAAATGATCTTCTTCATGCCTGTGTCAAGCAGCAGTCCAGTTCAGACCAGTATTTGTCCAGAAATCTAGCACTTGCCTCACATAGGAAAAATGAAGCAGCTTGGCCATCAGTACCTTCACCCTCATTTTAAAGTGTGCTTTGTTTGTGGAGGAGACACTGAAAGTCATTGTAAGGTCATTGGCTGAATTTTAGTTGGATTTAGTTGGGACCCCTTAGAGAGTCTTGGGCAGAGGAATGACATAATCTGACTTAGGCTTTAAAAAGATCGCTCTGGCTGCTGGGTCAAGAACAGATTGTGAGGGATGGAGGTTCAGGAGACTGGCTGGGGGGCTACATCAGCCACCTAGGTGAAATACGAAGTAGGGCTTGAACCAGGGCAGAAGCAGGGGAATGGTGCCATATTTTGAACATGAGGCTGATGGGTTTGGCTCATGAAGCAGATGTACGGAGTGAGGGAAAGAAAGAGGAGGCAAGGACGACTCCAGTGCTTTTGGTCTGAGTAATGGAAGACTGGAGTTATTATTCATTGAGTTGAGGAAGGGTGGGGCTGGGAGCAGATTTGGAATACTATCCACTGTAGGAAGGGAGACTGTCACTGGGCTTGTCCCCAGCCTCTCCCAACTCCCCATTCCTGCCTTTGGGAAACCCCAGTCCTGCCCAGGCCCCGGTCTTGCTCCCATAGCACCAGCTTCTAACCTCTGCCTCCTTCAGCATCCTTTTATGTGCTGCTCGTACCCTAGGATGTCCTCATGTCTGTCAGATGCATCGGGAAGGAAAATCAGGTTCTACCCAATTAGCTCATCTTAAGTGGATTTCACTGTGCATTTAATTAAACCTGTTATAATCTTGAAGGGTATTTTGATACATGGCACTTGATACAGAGTAATTAGACTACTGTGGGCATGCACATAAATAACTCTGGGCTGAGGTTTAAGCTGGGCTCTGCTGCTATGGGTTTGTACCAGCTATCTTGCCAATAATTTCAAAGCCAATAATGTTTACACACTCTAGTTTGCAGCCTTCTTAGTCCTTCTGGCTGGTGGATCGATTGCAAGGTCATCTGGTTATACTTTGCTCTGGCATAGAAGAAGCATTCCTGATCTTGTCACTCCCACTCAAATGAATTTATTTTAAAAAAATTGACACATAATAATTGTACATATCTATGAGTTACATAGTGATGTTTCCATACATAAAACGTATGTATCAGATCAGGGCAATTAGCATATGCATCATCTCAAATATTTATCATTTCTTTGTGTTGGGAACATTCAATATCATTCTTCTAGTTATTTGAAACTATATATTATTACCTACAAAGCTATAGAAGACTAGAGCTTACTCCTCCTATCTAGCTGTATCCTTTGACAAATATCTCCCCATCCTCCTTTCCCCTACTGTAAAAACTCCTTGAGTGTGCATTCTTGGCCATGCAAAATTTTGGTGGCCCATTACTTTTCCAGTATATACTCAGTCCTCAAAACTTTATTCTACCGGACAACTATATCTCAATCTGCCTCCAAAACTTTGCTTCAGCCACTTCCTCTGCATTGAGTTTCCTTTGTCTTTCTTTTATTCTGTATTTGTCAGAACAGGATAGATTATGCCACAGTAACAAATGACCCCGACATCTCAGTGGCTTACTGTACCAAAGGGTTTTATTTTTCTTTCTCTCTCTCAGTCCTTCTGTACAACCACTGCAGGTCAAGTGCAGCTCAGCTCTATGCTGATTATTAGGGTAGAGGTAAAAGAGAACATGGGTAATCATATACTGGGTCTTCAAGCTTCTACTGAGAAATGGCATATTCATTTCCAATAACATTTCCTTGGTTAAATAAATCACATGACTGAGCCTGCCATTAATGGGGTGGGGAAGTAAAATCCTCCCCTGGACAGACCGTGAATGTTGTGAACAATAATATGGTCTGAAGTTGCACTATGAATCTTTCCAAGATAACTCCTCATTTTTATTTCCAAAGCAGGGGTCATTCTGTACTTTCCATTAGAGTTTCAAAAGTTTGTGTTTTTCTCCTTTAACAGATATGGAGCTGGCAGACGGGGCAGTGCTTTTTGTATCTTTCTCACCGAAGGTGTCTAGTAGACACACATTAAATGTTATATGAATAAAGGTGGCCTTTCCAATTGTGTACTATCCAGGAGGCAACATTAAGAAGCAGAAAAGCCTGAGAAAGCTAGAACTGCTCCCCTTAGAAGCGCATATGGTTTTGTTCAGTAATAGCTTTATTTCATTCTATCCTTATGACAACCTTAGGGGACATAGGTAGTATTTTTACCCCCATTATATATATGAGAACACAGAGGCCCAGAGAGACACAAAGATGCTCACTTTCAGGGTGAATTAAATTATTGTCGGTTTAGCACTTACTTTTGAACTTAAAGTGATGTTTAAAAATGAGGATTACTGTTTCATGGCCAAAAGGATAGGCTCAAGCCTTCTGTCTAACAGGAGCATGCCTTTGCCAACACATATGCCCTCCAGAGAGTAGGGATGGGTTGCGTCGGAGAAAATCATTGGGTTACCCAACAAGATTCAGATAGACTCACTTAATTGCTGGAGTTTATGCTTTCCTGAATTATTACATTAGGCTATTGTGTTAGGGAGAGCCAGAGATTTAAAATCGATTCCTTGGAATGAGTGGAATGGATTAGTGTTTACCCAATACTTGTACCCCATTGTATTAGGAAGTAATCAGCTTACTTTTGATTTTACAGGATCATAGGCAGAAGGCACTTGCCTTGTCTCAGGTAAGACTTTGGACTGTGGACTTCTGGGTTAAAGCTGAAATGAGTTAAGACTATGGGGGACTGTTGGGAAGGTATGGTTAGTTTCAAAATGTGAGTACATGTATTTGGAGGGGCCAGGGACAGAATGATATGGTTTGGCTGTGTCCCCACCCAAATCTCATCTTGAATTGTACTCCCATAATTCTCACGTGTTATAGGAGGGACCCAGTGGGAGATCATATGAATCATGGGGGCGGTTTCCCCCATACTGTTCTCATGGTAGTTAATAAGTCTGATGACATCTGATTGTTTTATCACAGGTTGCTGTTTTTGCATCCTCCTTATTTTTCTGTTACCACGGTCATGTAAGAAGTGCCTTTTGCCTCCCACCATGATTCTGAGGCCTCCCAGCCATGTGGAACTGTAAGTCCAATTAAACCTCTTTTTCTTCCCAATCTTGGGTATATCATTATCAGCAGCATGAAAATGGACTAATACACCATCTCTACAAAAAATTTAAAAAATTGGCTGAGTACCATGGGACATGCCTATGGTCCCAGCTACTCAGGAGGCTGAGGTGGGTCAAAGATCGCCTGAGCCCAGGAGGTTAAGGCTGCAGTGAGCCAAGATCGTACCACTGGACTCCAGCCTGGGAAACAGAGTGAGTGAGGTCCTGTCTCCAAAGCAAACAAAAACCCAAAATATATAAAAATATACACAATGGAAGGAACAAACTCATTTGTGGAGACAATAAAAATGTATGCTTAAAAAGTTGTCATTATGTCAGTTCATTATACAGAGCTATTCATTGCCAATACCTATGCTAAGTATTGGAGAAAGAGAGATGGAAAAGAACTAGTTCCTAGACAGGCGTGGTGGCTCTTGTCTGTAATCCCAGGACACTGGGATGCCGAGATGGGTGGATTGGTTGAGTCCAGGAATTAGAGACCAGACTGGGCAACAGGGCAAAACCCCATCTTTAGTAAAAGTGCAAAAAATTAGCCGGGTGTGTGGCATACGCCTGTAGTTCCAGCTATTCGAGAGGCTGAGGTCAGAGAATCACCTGAGGCTATAGTGAGCCGAGATCACGCCCCTGCACTCCAACCTGGGCAACCAGAATGAGAACCTGTCTCAAAAAACAAACAAAAACAAAAACAAAAAAGAAAACAAACAAACAAACAAACAAACAAACAAAACTAGCTCCTGCCCTTGAAGAAACCTCATACCTAGGAGAGGAAGCATCTTTCATTGCAAGGCAGACTAATAACCGTCAGGTAGGAGGCACAAACCAAATATTTGGGAGCACAGAGAAAGAGAAGGGGAAGGCAATACCGGAGGGAAAGCTGCTGATCCCAGCAGTATTACTCTAGTCCAGGTGGCTTATTAACCAGATTGTCAATAATGTCATGGTAAATGTTTCTAATGTTTTTTTAAAAGCCTCCAAGCATTTTATTGCATTTGACCCTTCATCTAATAAAACTATCTGCCTACACCAAGTGGTGTCAGCATGTCACTTAACATGAGCGGCCAAGTCCATTCCAAGGTCCACAAGGGAGAGGGGCTCCTTATGAAAGCAGTTCTTCCTCCCCGCATGCCTGATCCAACTCACACCCTCCACTATAAATTCCACCCAGGCCATGTCTGATCTGTGTTCTTGAGTATGTTGTGTATGTATCCTAGTTCTGCTCCAGACTCTGGCAAGTATTTCTACCATGGAGGCTAAATAGCATCAGCTAGGAGTCAGGGCTCTCAAAGCAGCCAGTATGTCTGGATTCACATCCTGGCTCCATCACTGAGCCGTAAGCCCATAGAGAGGATCAGTTTTCTCATCTTTAAATCAGGAATTATGAACATCTGCTTTGCTGACATCCTGTGGATATTGTGAATGCTTTAACAATTCCCTATTATTAGCCCTGCCACCACCACCAATACCTAACATATACTAAAAATGTCATTTGTGCCAAGCCCTAGGCTCAGCATTTTGTGTGCAACATCCTATTTAACCCTTACAGTTCTCCGAGGTTAACCATGTATTTATCTCCATTGTAGAGATGAGGTGACTATGGCTCAGTTACCTCAAGCAACCTGCCCAATATTATGTAGCTCTGGAGTGCCTGGGACAAGACTTGAACCCAGGTTAATCATGCTACCAAGGTAAACCCTTTCCGACCACATTCTACTCACAAAGGAAGTGGAAACATGGTGCCCAAGTCAGGGTATAAGAATTACTTAGAAAAGACACACCTGGCCAGATGCGGTGGCTCACACCTCTAATCCCAGCACTTTGGGAGGCTGAGGTGGGTGGATCACAAGGTCAAGAGATCAAGACCATCCTGGCCAACATGGTGAAATCTCGTCTCTGCTAAAAATACAAAAATTAGCTGGGCATGGTGTCGCGCACCTGTAGCCCCAGCTACTCAGGAGGCTGAGGCAGGAGAATCTCCTGAACCCGGGAGGCAGAGGTTGCAGTGAGCTGAAATTGTGCCACTGCACTCCAGCCTGGTGACAGAGTGACACAGTTGGCCAGGCACAGTGGCTTATACCTATAATCCCAGTGCTCTGAGTGGCTGAGGCAGAAGGATCATTTGAACCTAGGAGTTTGAGACCAGCTTGGGCAACATAGCAAGACTCCATCTCTTAAAAAATTAAAAAATTATTTGGGTGTGGTGGTAGGTGCCTGCAGTCTCAGCTACTCAGGAGGCTAATGCTGGAGGATTGCTTGGCCCCAGGAAGTCCAGGCTGCACTGAGCTATGCTCCCACCACTATACTCCAGCCTGGAAGACAGAAGAAGACCCTGCCTCTATTTAAAATAAAAAAAAAAAAAGATACACTGCAACATACCACAGCACAAACACACACCACAACACACACACACACAACACACACACACACACACACACACACACACACACACACACACACACAATCCCTGGTTCCGCTTCAGCAGATTCTGGTTCAGTGCATCTGGGGCTAGGGAAATTATGTATTTTTTTAAAAAGCAAATGGCCTAGGTAATTTTGATATAGCTGGCTCTTAGAAAGACTTTTGGGACCTCACTTTGAATTAAAGGATGTCTCATTCTGCTCTTCTCTGGTACTTGAATCTGGTCTACATCCTCAGACTTTTCAAACTAGTTAGAAAGCCATCCATCCATCCACTGACTCCACATACCTGTGTGCTGGCCATCAGTGACAGAGACCAATGTAAGGCACAATTCCCAATTTGGAGGAGCTCATGGCTTCAGTTCTCATCTTCACTGGAACTCTGCCTCCTTTCTGCTTCTGTGAATTAGTTCTAGCCATACATTCTGGAGGCCTTGTGGAGAAAGCTCTCCTTCGCCCCTAGCCCTTCTTTGGTCCTTTCTTCTTCTTCTTCCTCCTTCTTCCTTCTTCCTCATTCTCCTTCTCCTCCTCCTCCTTCCTTCTTCTTCTTCCTCCATCTTCCTTCTTCTCCTTCCTCCTTTTTCCTTCTTCTCCTTCTCCTACTCCTCCTCCTTCTTTCTTCTTCTTCTTCCTCCTGCTCCTCCTCCTCCTCCTCGTTCTTTCTCTTCCTCTTCTTCCTTTTTCTTCTTCTTCTTCTTCTTCTTCTTCTTTTTTTTTTTTGGTGACAGAGTCTTGCTCTGTTGCTCAGGCTGAAGTGCAGTGGTGTGTGATCTCGGCTCACAGCAGCCTCCGCCTCCTGCATTCAAGGGCTTCTCCTGCCTCAGCCTCCTGAGTAGCTGGGACTACAGGTGCATGCCACCACGCCCAGCCAATTTTTGTATTTTTAGTAGAATCAGCGTTTCACCTTGTTGACCAGGATGGTCTCGATCTCCTGACCTCGTGATCCACACATCTTGGCCTCCCAAAGTGCTGGGATTACAGGCGTGAGCCACCACACCCAGCTTCTTTGTCTTATTGTGTGTATTTAAGGTGTACAACATGATGTTTTGATATACATATATGTAGTGAAATGATTATTATAGTCAAGAAAATTAATGTATCCATTATCACATATGGTTACTTTACTATACTCCTCTTGCAGTCTGTTAGATCTCTACATCTTACATGACTGCAACTCTGTACTGTCTCACTTACATGCCCCTATTTCCTGTTATCTCTTCTTTTGTCACAATACCTCTGAAGGAGAGGATGGAGAAAAGAGTGCTTTGTAAAGGTGTGTTAGGTCTCACAGGACTTGCTAGCTCACACTCTCTCTCTCTCTCTCTCCCTCCCTCTCTCTCTCTTTCTCTTTCTTGGTCCCCCTCCCTAATAGCCAGTTTGGCGCATACCTGTGGTTGCTCTGTCTACCTTCCTGTTGTATCCCAGTAGATCCCCAAAATAAGCATCAGCAGCCACATTGGGACCCTACCCTCCACAATGAGGAAGAGATTGAGAGGTTTGGAGACAGGACAGGGAGGCAGGCAGGGTCAAACCAAAGGTTCCCTTGGAGAATCATGAGTGGGTTTTAGAGGGGTCAATGAACCCTTGAAATTGTACACGTATCCCTTATATGTATTGCGTGTGTGTGCAGTGGTGGTGGTAGGAGAGCTCATGACTGTCCCTGAGTTTGCAAAGTGTTTGTGACTCATAAAAGGTTGAGAGTGACAGCTATCCATTACTTCAAAGGGGGTAAATAGTTATCTTCAGAGAAGAACTTTCATGAGGGCCCACACATTCCCTTAATTTCTTACCCAAGAGTCTTATTTGATTTTCGACATAACCATGTAGAGTAGTTATTAGTTTCACTTAATGATTTGAGAAACTGAGATCCTGCTAGGTAAAATAACTTGGCCCAAGCCCCATAGTTACCAAGTGGCAGAGGCACAGCCCACACCCAGATCATTCCACTAGAAGAAACAAAAAGTTCTCATTCGCTCTCAGGAAAAATTAGGGAATTAACCAGTTTTAATTGGTAATGAGAATTCAATACTCACTTTTTGAGTATCTACTATATGCTAGTCAAACACATATACACACACGTGTGCACGCACACGCACACACACACACACACACACACACATATATATATATATTTCACAAGAGCCCTGAAAATCCAGGCAAACTTTTTGTTCTACAAATGAGGAAGATTAATCCCAGAGAGGCTAGATTAAATTGTTCAAACTTCCACCACTGGCAAGTGAGGATTTAAACCCTGGTCTACTGAAGTCGTCAGTTTTGTCTCTTTTGATATCTTTCTCACCTCCCTGGGTAATTTGCAGAACCTTTGTGGGAACTGCCTGGCTGCTGGCTGAGGCAGAGTTGAGGGAAGGGAAAGGAAATGATACACTGCTAAATATCTCTGAACCTCAGTTTTTTCATCTATGGAATGGGAGAAAGTCATATTTTAAAAGGAAACTGTGAAGATCAAATGAGATAATGTATTTAAGTGCCTGACATGTGGCAAGGCCTTGCTACATTTAGCTGTTATTATCTGACTGAAAAGAGAAGGACACGCTGCCGCGGTGGGACTGTCTCCCTCCTCAGGGCTCTGCTGTTCAGCAATGCCTTAGTGGCCTTCTGTGAGGTGGAACCAGCTTTATTAAAGAGTTTCTCTTTTTCATCCTGCCAGGAGATTTGAGGAGTTCAAAACCATTTTTCAAAATATGTTTTGACATTTAATTATATACATCTTCCTCTTCGGTTATAACTTCCCTTGCCATGTCTGCAACAAACAGGGATTTTTGATGTACTAGTATAGTTCCTATCCCTCCATAATCAGTTTCCTGCCTTTAACAATTAGTAATCTCAACATCGAAGTTCAAACACCCAGGTAACTTAATTATTTCTCTTTCTACTTCCCTTAACCAGGAAGAACCAGCAAATGACACATTGGTTTATCCAGCATTTTTTAAAATGTGACTTTAGACTGCACACTGGAACCAGTGACCCTTCTCTCAGACCACATTCAATTAATATGCAAATGAATTAGACCTTCTGGGTCAGCACTGAAGTTTAGAATCAAAGGAAATCCAGGGGCAGAGGAGGGAGGAATTAACTACTTAGAGGAGTAGTTCAGAGAGTACAGGATTTGGAATTAGATCAAACAGGGTTTGAATCCTAGCTCTACCATTTACCTTCTTTTAACTATGGTCATGAGCAACTCATTAGCCCTCAATAGCTACCTCTAAGCAAGCTCTGGGGACGTGAGTGTCCATCTCAGGTCTATAAGCAAGATTTCCTAAACAAAGAACAAGCACTGTGTTCCCTGAGATGAGATCCCAGATTGCAGCATGGGGGAGAGGACTGCAGACCTCCAGAGAGCAACCTTAGGACCCGGAACCCACTTCTAGCCCTACCACGGGGTAATTGTGTGGAAAGGTCACTGGAGAGGCTTGTGTCTTGGCACTTTCATTTGCATGATAGAAATAATAACAAACACCTCCCGCTATCCTCCCTCCTTCCCTCTCAGATATAGTAGAAGATCTAACAATAACTCAACAGCATTTTCTGAGTGCCTGCCCTAGGTTAGGCCATGCGGAAGAAGCTGAAGATACTCAGATGAATGAGACCATCCTTGTTTTCAAGGCATTCAGAGCCTGATGGGGAAACACACACTAATGACCATTTGTCTTAGAATAAGGTGATTGAACCACAAGATAAATGGACTAGGACAGTGGGAAGGAGGAGGAAGGGGCCTCTAAGCCCTCTTGGGATAAAGAGTTCGGGACATGTGACATAAAGAAAAATAATTTTTATTGGTGGGGTGACAGAACTAGTAAATGTCTTTTCTCAAACGTCTGTGATGTTGTAGAAAGGTACTAGAATTTCATTTGGTGTGTTTACTGCTTATTCATTTATTTATTCATTCAACACATTTCCTGAGTGCCTACCACATATCTGTTTCTGTGCTAGGAACTTAAGTTTCACTCTCTCACTTTATATGATGATAGATCAATCTGTCTGTCATTTCCAGTCAATGAGATGGTATTTGTATTTTTCAGCCCCTAGTTGGGGCCATTGAATATTTGTTGAAAGTGAGCAAACAAAGGAACACATGTTTGATGCAGTCTAAAAACCTTAGAATTGACTTCTAAATGTCTTTGAAAGGATAAATCTTTTGTGATTCTATTAAGGAACTTGAGTCAGCTTCTGTCAAATGCACTGTGTTTGGGAAGCACTTGGGTGTTCAGAACTCTTCAGTTCCTGGGACTTTGAAAAGAATACTTTGACTATGTGGTCAGTTTACCATCTACTTAATCAATTTTGCCTGGAAAAGACTTAGGATACACAGAGCAACTTAGAAAAGTGGTACCCAGTACTAGCAACCTTTTCTTCCCTGCTCTGTTTTCCTAATCTTGCTTCATTGGGGGAAGGAATATCATGTTCATTTTGGCCGAGGGAATCAGTATTGTGTTTTAATAGGCAATAAGGTATGTCTCCCTGCATTCTGGAGCCAGGTGGAGCTCCCAGCAAAGTGGAAGAGAAAAGGCACAGGGCAAGGGAACTATGGGGTGGGGACTGATGAACTAGCAGTGATTCAACCTGAGACTGTGGGCACCTAGAACTTTGTGCAGATGTTCAAGACATGTTAGGTATAACAGGATGGCTTTCTTCTTCTTGACCACAAAGCAAAAACTTCATCCATCCGTCTACCCACCCACTCACTCCTCCCTTTCCCCACTGACCCATCCACTTGTCCAGTCAACCAGTCTCTACAGGCAGGCTCATTTCTAGCCACGAAGTATACAGAGATGAATGAGGAAATACAGACACATGAACAAGCCAATTAGGATACACTATATCTACAGCAATAGAGACATGAGGGAGCTGCTGAGAAAATCCAGCAGCTATAACTAACTCGCTCAGCAGGAATCATGGAAGGCTCCCCAGAGAAAGTGCCAACAGAGCCTGGAAGAATAAATCTGAGATTGCCAGAACAGGTAATGTGGAGAGTTGTACCAGGAGGTGTTAAGAGCAATCTCAAGGTCATGGAGGCAAGAAAGAAATATTCTGGGGAGTGGGAGAAGTTGAAAGTGTGGCTAGAATGCAAGTTTGTGGCATTTGCAACATATTTTGCAGGATGGTTGGTTTCTAATTTGCTGAGTTTTCAAGAGCTCACCTTAGATGGCATCAGCCTTGAAGACATATGAATGCATTTTAATATCAAACAAGATTAGGTTAAATATACTGGCTCTATGCTCTCATATGCGTATCTACTGTATGTCCCCAGTTGAAATGCCCATTATACATCATTCATTCTTCTGTTCATTCATTTTAAAAAACAAATGTTTATTGAGAAACTACTCTGGGCCAACAAAGGCACAGAGAGGTGAGTTTTTCCAC
The DNA here is from genome assembly GCF_000001405.40 of Homo sapiens. NCBI lineage: Eukaryota > Metazoa > Chordata > Mammalia > Primates > Hominidae > Homo > Homo sapiens. The sequence continues at coordinate 79,655,884 of NC_000011.10, forward strand.
ATTTACCCAGCTAAGTTCATCATAGCAACTGATAGAGGAGAACTCAACTCCCAAAGCCCACACTACCTCTGCTTACACCAGGCATTATACAACATGAATTTCTCTTTGGAGAATAAAGAAAGGAGCTAGCTGTTCATGGAAACTGAATTATTTGAACTCTGAGTTTTGCTTGGCTTTGGTAATAAACATTACTAAGGAAGTGTCTCTTCCTGGGTCACTTCTGCCTGTTTATATCAGAAGGCTTCATCAATGAGCAAAACAGATGAAGACTCCTGTCCTTGGGAAGCTTACTGTACAGTGTGATTACTTGGAATTACCTGTTCAAAATGGCTTTGCCTTCCAGACAGTAAGCACAATGAAGTCTAGAGTTATGTCTGTCTTGTTTGATGATGGACTTATTACAGTGCCTGGCACAGAGTAGAACCATATATATGTATTTTATTACCTTTCCAATCTGCATCCATCATCCCAGAAGTAAATGACAACTGGCAAGCTATTCCTTGCAAGCTAATCTCATGTCCTTTGAGAGGGCTCTTAATGGATTCCACACTCATATAGCAGCCACAGTCATAAATGCGCTTAAAAATAAACAGAACTTTGTTCTGCCAGGCTTTATGAATGCCATGATTACATGGGCAGAAGTGACCCATGAGGAGAGACTTCCTTGGTAGCATTTACCACCAGGGCAAAGTGAGGCTCAGAGCTGTAGGAACTCACGTTCCATGCATAGCTAGTACTTTACATTCTTTCCTTCATCTATCTAAGGAGAAATTCACACTGTATGATGCCGAGCCATAAGTGGAAGAAACATGGGTTTGGGGGTTGGTGCTCTCTTCTTTCATTTGCTATGATGAATGTGGCCAGATACACGTGGAAAAATTAATCTCTTTGTGCCTTTGCTCTCTCATCTGTAAAATGCCTGACTTGAAGCTCAGGTGAGAGCATTGAATGAAATAATATATTGAAAGCATCTGGCCCAGTACACCTAGCCCAGCATCAGCCTGTAAAATGATCATTATTATTACTGTGGTTCAGACTTTTGGGGAGATGTGTTAGGCTGTTTGGGTTTTGTAGAAAGAATCTAGGACCTAGAGACAGGGAACTTAAGTTCTCATCCCGGCTCTGTCACCTGTGAGCTGTGTGATATCAGCTTAGTTACTCAGCCTCTCTGGGCCTTGACTCCTTATCTCTTAAAAAAAGAAGTTGGTCCAATAATTTCTACTTATAATTTTTTCTTAGCAAAGTGCCCTCCTCTCAATCCCTACTTGCTAATGGCATCATTCAGCCTCTCTTGGATAACAACTGCCAAGCCTCTATAGCTACCAAATTAGAACATGGTGATCCATCTGGGCAAATTGGAAGGAGCTGCGTTTCCCCTGGGTAGACCCAGCCCCATGCTGGAGCTGCCTGGGGAGCTATTTGGGGGCTGGATTTTGGTCCCATTTTCTCCCAGCCAGGGACTATAGTGCAGTGTACAACCTGACCCACCATACGCCGTGGCCCTGGCCTCCTCACTGGCCTCCAGACATACCTGTCCTATTTCAGTCCTTGTTCCACACTACTCCTAGGAATCACTTCCACTCTGAACCCTAAGCAGGATTCACTCTCCTTCCTGCACAAACCCTTCACTGGCCCCTCTTGGCTTCGGCATAAAACCAAGCCACTTTGCTAGGCCTCATACAAGCTTTTCCTCTCTCAGTGGGGCACCATAAGTGCACACATGCACCGTAAGTCTGCAGTTCCCTGGACATACAATGCTTTTCCTCACTGCAGAACCTATGCACACAAGGCCCCCTCAGCTCAGAATGCCTTCTTCAAGTTCCTCCTCTGTACTCTTCACCCATGCTAATGCCCAGACACCCGTCAAGACTCAGCTTTGTGTCAACTCTTCCAGCAATCTTTCTGTAACCCCAACCCTTAAGACAGACTGGGAGCCCCTGTACTGAGCCTTCATTCTTAGCACAAAGCTACCTCTTCTAGTGAAGGGCCTCATGTTATAATTGAGGAAACTGAGGCCTAGACAAGAATCACAAGACCAGCAACTGGCACTTATTGACAGCTGTGTGCCAAGTGCTGACAGCCACTCTAGGATGTGGGTATTGGCATTTCTAGTTTACAGCTGGGAAAGCTGAGGTTCTGAGTAGCATCTAGTCTCTGTTGCAGTGGTTCTCAAAGTACAGTCTCAGTCCTGCAACAGAAGCATCAGCATCAGCGGGGAACTTGGGAGAAATGCAGACTCTCCAGCTGACTCCAGACATATTCAATCAGAAATTCTTGGGGTGGGCCCAACCATATGTGTTTAAAGAGCCCTCCAGGTAATTCTGATGAATGCCAAAATTTGATTAAAGTTTGCAAACTACCGGCCTAATATTATCCAGCTGGTCATGGGTGGATCTGGGATTTAGAACCATATGACAGATAGCTAAAAAAATTAATAAGCTTATGCTTTTAACTTTTATGCTGTGTCTACCTATGGGTTTTTCTCAGTGAGGCCTCCCCTGGTCGCCCGATTTAAAATCACTTCTCCCCTCCTACCATCCACTGCTAAGCATTTCCTATCTCCTGCCCTTTCTTTTACTCAATAATACTTCCCAGTTGGCATACTACACATTCTAAATCTTAGTTTACAATTTACTATTTGTCTTAGTAAGATTGCACTGCCATAACAAAATAGTACAGACTGGGTGGCTTAAACAACAGAGATTTAGTTTTTCACAGTCCCAGAGCCTGGAACTCTGAGGTCAAGGTTCCAGCATGGCCAGGTTCTGGCGTGAGCCCTTTATCTGGTTTGCAGACAGGTGGCTACCTTCTCCCTGAGTGTTTATATGGCTGAGTGAGAGGGCAAACAAACTCTCTGATGTCTTTACCTAAAAGGGCACAAATCCCATGATGAGGGCCTTGTCCTCATGACCTCATCTCATACTAATTACCTCCTAAAGTCTCCATCTCCATATGCTGTCACATTGGGGTTTAGGGCTTCAACGCATGCAGGAGGTACACAAACATTCAGTCCACAATGATCTCCTTCTATCTGAATGTAAGCCCCAGCTGGGCAGGCATTTGTCTGTGTAGTTCACTTGCTAACTGCTAAATCCTTAGTGCCTAGAACACTGCCTTACACATAGTACGTACTCAACGTATACTTAGAAATAAGTGGTTACATAGCTGGTTGGTGACACAGAAGGGAAACTCACTGAGGTCTACTTATTCACACTTCAATACATTCCCTATGCCTCCTCAAATCTTTGCCTCCTTTTTAGTGATCTCCTGATAGCAGCTCTCTCCTTCCTAGAGAGGTCATTTTCCAGTATCATTCTTTTACCAATCATCACTTGCAGGAAGAGGGTTTTTTTCCAGCAAGCCCTGCAGTGCGGTTACCCTAGGCATGATTTAGCTAATTTACTCAGCGCTTTGTCTTAATGGTTCACCAAGTGGACATTTTTTTCAGTAATGACAGTAAATGCATTTGAAATGTAGATATCGACCCAGGCGATGCTGTATATTCGGCTCATCAAATTTTCATGTTAAAATTAAAATTCTTTTTTTTTTTTTTTTTTTTTGGTGGGAAGGGAAAAGCTGAAGTGTTGATTCACTGTGGCATACATTTTTCCAAATGAAAAGAGAAGGCTTTAATCTTACATACTTCCATGGCTACTGCCACATAATGGGCGATGATAGCAAGAGAGAGGGAAAGAAACCAGACTCCTTTTGGAGCTATAATGTTCCACTCATGGCCCTCAGCTATACACAAAAATGTGCATGGGATACTTTGCCCCACCACCCTCAGCCAAAAGAAATGTCATCATCATTCCATTATTTCTCTCAAAATCTTTCCAGAGTTCCCAGCTGCCTCAGTCATCATCAGAGATTCTCCAACTTCTGCTACAAGATTAAAACAATCCCCACTGTTTTTCACTTGATTTATCACCTCCTCAGTGGTGCTTCCCTGACCACCCTATCCAAGTAGGCATCCCATGTTCTTCTCTATTATCATCCTGGTTCTACTTCCTAGTACTTATTATAGTCCATAACTCTTCATTCATTTTTTTTTACTAGTTTATTTTTTACTGGTTTGTTGTCCACCCTTAGATAAGCCAAGACTTGTAGAGCCATAGCTAGTCTTTCCTTCCTGGAGCAGAGATGGGGGAAGAAATATCAATTTATTTCATATTAAATTTACCTGCTACACACACTGACCCAATTTACTGTTCGCAACAACTCCATGGGGTGGGGAATGGCACCACTACTTTGTCAATAAGGCCACTGAGGTCAGAACAGTTAAAGGATTTGGCTTGCAAAACATCAGATAAGTGAACGGTCTTTAGTTAACAATCAGTTCTGCCCATCTCCAAAGTAGAGCTAAGCAGCAAAGCCTATAGTACTTGGAAGCCAGCTGACTTCTGTTCAAATTCTGGCTCTGACCCCTACCAGCTCTGCGGCCTTGGATGAGTTATTTAACTTGTTTTAGTTTCTCCACTTGTGAAATGGGAATAATAATAGGACCTACTTAATGGGGAGGTAAAATTTGAAGAATTGAAAATATAAAGGATGTTGAACAATGTCTGGCACATGACAGTTATACAATACATTTTAGCTAGGGTTTCAACTTCGCCATGTTGGCAATTCATAATTGCTCACATTTGAGTAGGTTTTACAACACACTCTACTTTAAGACAATATTGGCAACAACCCCCACCCCCACTCTTAATACACACACACACGATTTCCCCCATTTTCCAGATGAGGAAACTAAGGACCAGAGATTTTCTGCCACTTGCTCAAGGTCAGAGAGCTAAGAAACTGGCAGAGTGAGGACGAGGTCCAGGACCCCTGGCTCCTTCTCCAGTGGTCTGCCTCCTCAGGCCAGAATTTATATGGGCTCTATGCTTCGAGGTTGCATTTGTGGCCTTAGGCTGCCAAGCCTTTTCCAGTTCCTTGAAGGAACTGACCTAACAAACAAACAAAAACTATTAAATGCAGTAAGTCATTTATCTGCCAAAACAATGTGGTGAAAGAGAGATCCAATAAAAAGAGGGGCTGATGAGCAGATCAGAGTATAGAGATCTGAGCACCCTGTACACTCTCCCAAGTGGGCAACTGAGGTTCTTTTGGGCCCTGCTGGCATCTCCCCATTGGCTTTCTGTTATCCTTCATTGCAGGACCTTTGTGTATGGGCAGCAAGACTGATGGCTTCCTGAACAGTGTGATTGGAAAAATTCTGCCTTTATCTTTAACACAGTTATGTCCAAAATAATTTCCTCAATCAGACTCTCAATTCCACCATTCAAGACACAGTCAGGATAAACACTGCCCCTCAATTATCCTGCCCATGGGGCAAGAAAAAGTTTTCAGACTCACTTTTGAAAGGTGGCCTGCCTATTGGTGGCTTTCCTTCACTGCATGTGCCAAGTAATCCTACAAAGTGAAAGGGAAAGAGACTCATGTTTTACTTTGGGCAATTCCTATGTTCCAGGGACAGGTAGAGCATTTTGTGTATATTGCTGTATATCATTTAATCCTATGTCGACACTGAGATATTAGTAGTATTGTTTCTTTTTGATGCATAAAGAAACAAACTCAGAAAGCTTAAAGAATTTGCCAGGGGTTACATAGCTCATATTAATGGGTCTAAAATTCAAACCCAGGCATGCCCAGCTCTGGAGTCTGTGCTGCTTCCATGACAACAAAAATGACAGATCATGAGCTTAGCAGTTTGGCTTTCTGTGTGACTATGCAGGTATACATGCAGCCTTTTCTTCCTTATTGGGCCACTCAAGATGGTACAGTTGGAAACCTCTGTTTAGACCTTGAGTCTGTTTACTTGGAGGCTGGGCATTATACTTAGTTTCTAAACATCTGCTCTCCTGACACCTAGAATGCAGAAGCGCTCAAGCTGGAAGTCCTGACTTGTTTTGACTCCATGTGACAGTTTGTTTCTACTAAAACTCATGTCATGTGTGTATCACTGTTAATGATTTTGAACTATTCAGCCCTAAGGTGGGGCCCCAGGAGCAATTTTCTGGGTCCTCCCTTTTGAGTGTAAAATGATCTACAGAAAAATGTGTCTGTGGTCCTCCTAGCATCCCAGAGGCTACTGGGGGCTCTGCTATGGCTGGACCATGTGCCAGTTCTGGGTTCTATATCAGGGATTCCTGTCCATGAGCAGGCGGCATCCTCAGCAGCTCATTCCTACATCACTATCACCTCTGAGTCTTTCTTTTATCCACAACCCAAATGCCTTACCTCATACTTCTACTGACACTGTGTAGACACCAGCTTTTTAACACCCTGAGTCCCTCCATCTTTTTCCTTAGCATTTTCTTCTTCCTCCTTTTTTAAAAATAATATTTCTTTCCACTGTCATATTATAGTCATGCTTCTCAGCCCACCAAAGCCTTGAAATGGTATTTGACTCCCAGGTGTGCACTCTTGACTTTTGTGCCCTATCTCTACTCTCAACAGCAAGCCGTAGACATCTGCAGCCATACGTAAAGTTCTGAGCAGTCTTCTCGTCTCCCTCATGCTATCCAACGTAAAGCCTCACAATGTAAATCCTGTAAATCTGATCTCTCTGGAAGTCAAATGAAGTGTCCTGAACATCAGTCATATGTCAGGCACCTGCTTTCCCTTAGGCTATCTTAATTGTGCCTCAGTACAACCCAGAGAGGTAGGAATTTTTGTACCCATTACATAGATTAGAAAACTGAGACTCAGAGAGGTTGAATAATATGGCCTCACTCAAACTCCTGAGGGTCAGAGTTAGGGCTGTGATGTTTCTTTGTCTAATTTGAAGGTCAGGTCTTTCTATGACAAAGTACTGGCTAGCATTGAAGACCTTCATACTATCCTGTCTTGTTCTGCTTTCTGGAAGAGCCAAGTATTACAATATGCTATTCTTTGCCGTGTTGTGACCAGGTTAAAAATTAAAGCAAGGTATGTCAACTTTATGCCTCAGCAGTCACTCTATAAAGCAGCATGAAACCACACATGGCCACAAATACACATTTAAAATGAACCATAACTTTATAAGAGACATTTAGAACTTACAATCAAAAAGCCATTTATTAACAGTTCTATCCACATTCACCAATTAGATGGCCCTGTCATTTATCTGTTTGAACATCAGGCAGTTCTTCAACTATTATTTTAATTAATTAATTCAGCCCTTTTATCCCTAGGGTGGGCCCTGGGAGACACCTGGCTTATTTTCACAGCAGTCCCTGATGCTCAGCTGTCAAGCCACATCATGACTGGCACTCCGAGCTTCATGCAAGGCCAAGCACTTAATCTCTTTAACAGAGACCTGTCATCACTTGCTTTCACTCCAGCACAGCCCCAGTCTGTGTTGAGACACAATGTCTCATGCACCTGTCCCTGCCTTCCCATTGTAACAGCCACCATATGGGTTCAGACCCTTCTCAATTCCTCTCTGCATCATTGTTCCTGCAATTCACTGAGAGCCTGCTTTGTGCCAGGCACCATGCTATGCGTTTCATATTCCTCTTCTCTCATCCACAAAACCACTAGGCAAAATAGGACTATCATCCCCATATCCCCCAAGAGGAAATGGAGTCTTAGAAATGTAAAGTGACTTGTGCAAGATCCCTCAACTAGGAAGCTGTTAAGCCAGGATTGGAAGCGAGCTCTATATTGACTTCGATGATTGCGTTTCTTCCACTCTTCTGCATTGTTAGAATCTTGCCTTTAATATCTAAGATCTAGGAATGAAAGACAGAAGCTAGCTAGGCTATATACTATATAAAGGGGTAAAATGGAAAAGAGGGTCTTCAGAAAAAGCATGGCAGAGGGCCTGCTAAGGGGAAATAAGACGTATCAAAAAAACAAAACACCTGTTGAGCAGTCTTCTGTGGATGTACTGTGTACATTCTCTTTACTCTCTCCTTTGTGGACTTTTCAGTAAATTCTGTTTTGTTCCTGATATTTATGTACAGTGTATTTATTTGGTAGTGGTTGTAGAGCAGGTGTTCAGGGCTAGCAGGAGAAGGAAGAGACAGTGGACAGTTGGATTATATGTTGATTTAAAACAGCATATGATTATTGGCCATATGTATGTCTTCTTACATGTGGGCAACAATAATGAAAAACATATCAATATCACTGATGATTAGAGAAATGCAAATCAAAACTATGATGAGATACCATCTCACACCAGTCAGAATGGCTATTATTTGAAAGTCAAAAGGTAACAGATGTTGGTGAGGTTGTGGAGAAATAGGAACACTTACACACTGTTGGTGGGAGTATAAATTAGTTCAGCCATTGCGGAAGACAGTGTGGCAATTCCTCAAAGACCTAAAGACAGAAATACCATTCAACCCAGCAATCCCATTACTGCGTATATACCCAAAGAAGTATAAATCATTCCATTATAAAGACAAATGCATGCATGTTCACTGCAGCACTATTCACAATAGCAAAGACATGGAATCAACCTAAATGCTCATCAATGACAGACTGGATAAAGAAAATATGGTACCTATACACCATGGAATACTATGTAGCCATAACAAGGAACAAGATCATGTCCTTTTCAAGGAAATGGAAGGAGCTGAAGGCCATTATCCTTAGCAAACTAATGCAGGAAGAGTAAACCAAATACTGCATTTTCTCACTTATAGGTGGGAGCTAAATGATGAGAACATATGAACACAGAGAGGGGGAGAAACATACACTGGGACCTATTGGAGGGTGGAGGATGTAGGGTGGGAGAAGGGACAGGATCAGGGAAAATAACTAATGGGTACTAAGCTTAATAGCTGGGTGATGAAATATCTATACAATAATCCCCATGATGCAAGTTTACCTATGTAAGAAACCTGCACTTGTACCCCTAAACTTAAAATGAAAGTTAAAAAAATAGCAGGTGAAAGAGAGTGATGGTTGCAGGGGGCAGGAGGGGGGAGTTGCCACACCTGGATGAGGAAGGAGGGCATTTCAAGTGAGGATACAGTTTGTGCAAAAGCCCAGAGCTGTGATGAGTACCACACTTCCCAGCCACATATGTTCCTGGGAATATGACGGTTTTGGTTTTCAGAAGGATCCTTTTTGCACGGAAGATACTGAACTTATCTGCTTGCATTCAAAAGGCTATATAGGCCTTTCATAGTAACTTCTGACCAGCTTTCATTCCCAAGTGGTAGCTTTATAAGTTCTGCCTTTTACCTTTCCCCCATGCTGTTTAAGCTGTAAAAAAAAAATGTAGAAAAAAAAAAAAGGAAATCCAGCCATTTTGAGTCCATTGCCTCTTAGCCTCTTAGCCTCTTAGCTGCCCTAGGGGGTGCCACCTCTAAGCTGAAACCTTCTGTAATTGTTTGGGGCTCACTGGGCCTCCCAATGACACCTTCATTTAATGCCATTACAGTGTGGCTCCAGGTTCTTAAAACTTGGTACCTGTGCTCTTTACTTCTGCTGCCAGAAGGAATTGCTTTTAAAAGCTATCCTTTATGCTACTAAATTAGTTCTCACTATTGCTTTGTGTATCCAGGTAAGATGGAACAGTCAAATCCTTCATTCTCTGGGTTGTGGAGGCAGTTTGAAGCATGTCTCAGAGTGTTTCCCAAAGCATGTCCTGTAGAACACTGAGCCCATGATACCAGCTTCCAAATGTAAGTTTAGTAGTCAAATATTCTTGGGAGATGTGGTGCAATGCATCCCAGTCTGAGAGATTCCTAATGCATATTGGCAGATTAAAGGCATGGAGAAAAGGCCCACAAGAAAGAAATCTTTTTAACCCAGTGTTTCCTAAACTTACCACCAAATAGGGAATCCTATTTTTGCATTATTTCTACATCCTTTGGTAAGTGCTGCTCTAGGGAATAACAACCCCTTCCAGGTGCATGGTTTCTAATATTTTACATTCTGTTAGAGCAATACTATGAGGAAAGCAGTATGACTCCTATTTTGTGAGTGATGACATTGAAGGGCAAAGATGTTAGTGACTTGTGCTAGGGAATACATCTGGTAGGAGGCAGTTGAAAATTAGGGTCTCTGTTTTGTAGGGTAGGGGGTCTTTGTCATCAAGCAACAGGGCCTTTTTGTGGAGCCCATTTGCACCCTTCAAGGTTGGTCTAGACCATATACACACATATACACACATGCATGTGTACACATACACCCACCCAAAATGTGCTTTATAAATAGTCAAGTTATTATTGCTTTAAAAAATCCCACTATGGGGTAGGTGGGGAGAGCTAAATAAAGAAATTCTTATTTAATGCAGAGGAAGCTGGGTGCTTCATATACATTACCTCATAAATTTTTGAACTAATCGTGAGAGGTAAATATCTGTATCCCTGTTTTATAGAGAAACACACCAAGGCTCAGAGAAATTAGGTAACTTTCTCGGTGTCACAGAATACCAAAATGCTCAGCCAAGCTTTACGTTTATATTTGATTCCAAAACCCATTCTCTGTCCTCATCCTACTACATTTTGCTAGTGAATGTCACTATTCCTCTTAGCCTAGAACCTAACAGAGGAAGCTAGATTTACCCAGTTGCCTCTGCAGAGTGACATGATGTGTGTTCCAACAGGTGGTTTAGATAAGGCTGGCTTTTCCTGGTGCTTTGAGAAAAATAAGAGTATTGAGAATTAGTAACTCTGCCCTAAAAGGAGATCAAAGGGAACTGATGCTTAAATGGTTTGACAGTGTTATGCCCCACCCTGGAAGGTGGATTTGGGACTTTATCCCTTAAACAAAAAGAATAGTTGGAGCCTTATTAGGGAACTGAGCAAAACTAACCAATATAAGGGCTTGGACACTGCTCAGGCCAACAAGTTGCCAAGTTGGATGGAAAAGCAGCTCATAGCTAGGAGAGGCCAAGGCCAAGTTGTATGGAAAAAGCCAAGTCAAGAGGTAGAAAGGCTGAGGTTTCTAGCCTGGGCTGTGCATCCATAGAGTGTGGGATCCTGGTAAATCTCTTAACTCCTCTTGGCCTTAGTTTCTCATATTTAAAATAAAGGGGTGTGAAAAGATGCCCAGAGATGGTAATTACTATGGGGAAGGGGAATCAGGTTTCTGCCTGGAGGCCAGAGGAACCCATTGTCTGCTCTGGATTGTCTCCTCTGGCCTCATTCTGGAAAGAGGCCTCACTTTAGGTCCCCCAGAGGGGAGAAGGTTTGGTGACCTCAGCCTCCTGAAATGAACACAGAGGGGACTCCCATACCTCACGTTTAGCACAGAGGGCACTGGGAACAACAGACCAGGGACCATAAGGAGGCTCAGCTCATGGGAGGTTGGGGGCTTTCCCCCATTGGTTACTTGGTTACCTAAGTTTATGTCCTAGGTGGAAAATCTGCAGAGTTTGCTTGCTGTTTGTCTATTTGGGGTATGGTTTGTGTGGAAGTGCAGGATACGTTGCTTTGGATCCTGCATCCTACTCTCCAGCTAAGTGGGTTGTGGTCACGCTAAAGAGGGAGGGAAGCAGGATGAGGCCCTGGGACTGTGAAGGGAAGGGAAGGCAGGGTTGCCAGCATGGGCCTGGGAAAGGACTCTAAGCTTGAGCAACAGAAACTTTCAGAGGCCCCCACAATGAGTGATTGGATTAAATGATTTCTCAGCTGCATCCCAGCTCACACATAAAGTGTTGATTTCATTTCCCTACCTTCCTCGAGCAATGCAGCAAACATCGGCACCACAGATGTGCTCAGACTTGAGCCTGACTCACGGAAGAGAGTCTGGGGCTGCCAGGTCTCAGACACCAGATTATAATCAGCTTCTTCCCAGGTGCTGCACACATGAGGCCCATGCCATGGGCAAACAGTGCCCAGGGGTGGTTCAGGCCCTGCAGAGACCATGGACAGTTCACCTGACAGGAAAGAAGATCGGGAGGAACTCACTTCACAGATCCCTCAACAGAGCTAACAGTGTTCTTTGGGCCCCTGTTACTATTTAGGTGAGAGTTGCAAAGGCAGCCTCTCCTAGATTACAAAGTGTGGGTGGAAGTCATCAATACTTCAATAGTACCAGCTGTCAGGACCTACCCTCAGGCCTCTCCTACACCCTCCCTGCCAGGCTCCTAGCCTTCCCACAAGGGAGAGTTGGCCAGTGCTTTTGCCTTGGGGCTGGAGGTTGGAAATACTGTCAGCAGTGCTGTCAAGGTGAAGCTAAAATACGGCATCTCCAGGGGACACCCAGGCTGTGGGCCATGGCTGAGGCTGCAGCGTGGAGGTCAGCGTGCAGGCTCTGAGGGGGCAGGGATGGGCCCAGTGGAGTCCCCACCACCCAGTAGTTCCTTAATAAATTGTTGAATGTTTGATTAGCGTGGAGAGGTGGTGAAGGAGGGGTCACTGAGTGGGTCACTGAGTGCGATGGGAGAGATTGGGGAAGCAGAGATCTTTGGAATTTGGTTTTAGAGAATTAAGGATGAATTAAGGAAGGAATAATTTCTGAGTGCCTACTCTGGGGGACCCACGTGATTGACACCTCACATGAGTTACTCTCCTTAAATCCTAAACAAGAATTATTATTATCCTTCGTTATGAGCTGAGGTTTGAGAGGCTAAGTGAATTACCCAGAGACAAATCATTTCTAAGTGAAAAAGGCAGGATTCAAATCTAGATCTTCTGATTTTTCTGCCTTCATATAGTTAGGTCATTATTTTCTCCATTTTGTAGAGAAGACTGAGGCCCAGAAAAACAACTCAGAGCTAGGAGAGGGCAAAATGGAGACTAAAATCCAGGAATCTGGCTTGCCAGCTTTGCTCCATTCATGGACTGCTTGATGTTCTCCCGGGACATCCAGGTCTCCCTCACCCAGGTCAGCATTGAGTGTACTCAGCAGCTTGTCCTGTTCCCGTGGGGGCTGGGACTTACCCCACCCTGCAGTCCTCATCTTCTCCCTCATTTGTTCAGGCAGCCCCTTTGGGGAGGGCGGACATCTGGCTCACAGCTGGCCTGAGTGAGGCTCATGCAACTCTATACCGAAGAATGTGGGCTTCATGTGTGTTTTTCTTTTCTCTGTTGTAACAAAATTGGATAATGAGCCTGGTGAATGAGGCCCCAGCTCTGCCATGCTGTGCCATTGGGTTACCCTCTCTGGGTCCTGGTATCCCCATTTTTAACAATGTGGGGTTATGCAAAATGACACCCAAGATCTTCTCCTGGTACTGACTTTCTAGAACTCTGTGTAAAACGGTTACCACACATACACCAGGAGAGTCAAGCATTCTTCCTTGCCCATGTAGTGAAATCTAAAACTAAACATGCATAAAATATTTTGATGTTTAAATCAAACCTTGGCATTTTCTATTCACTTTATTTTTTACCCTTGTATAAATTTTTAAAAAATAGTCTTCACTTTATGAGAAAAAGATATTTTCCCTTAAAAGTGCATAGAATTTCAAACTCTTTTTGTTGTTCTTATGCATTCTTTCTTAAAACCTTAACTAAAAACAAAGAAAAAAGGAGATGAAGTGCCTAAATATAAAAAACTTTCTGGGGTTCCTGTTTATTTACATCTTAAAATAGTTAATATTTGTGTCAACCTGGCTAGGCTATGATGTCCAGGTGTTTGGCCAAACACTAGTCTAGATGCTGCTGTGAATGTATTTGTGGGTATGATTAACACTTACCATCAGTTGCCTTTAAGTAAAGCAGATTACACACTATGACGTGGGTGGAACTCATCCAATCAACTGAAGGCTTTAAGAACAAAAGCAGGTTTCCCAGAAAAGGAGGAATTCTGCCTCAAGATTCAATGTGTAAATCCTGCGTGAGTTTGAGTTTCCAGCATGCCCTGTGGGTTTCCATACGTTCCCTGTGAACTTTGGACTTGCTAGCTCTGACAATTCTGTTAGCCAGTTTCTTAAAACAAATCTCTATTTCTGGCCTGGTTGTGGTAGCTCACACCTGTAATGCCAGTGCTTTGGGAGGCTAAGGTGGGTGGACACCTTCAGGCTAGGAGTTTCAGACCAGTCTGGGCAACATAGTGAGACCCCATCTCTACAAAAAACTTTAAAGTTAGCTAGGTATGGTGGCACATGCCTGTAGTGCTAGCTACTGGGGAGGCTGAAGCAGGAGGATCGCTAGTGCCCAGGAGTTTGAGGTTACAGTGAGCTATGACTGCGTCACTGCACTTCAGCCTAGGTGGCAGAGTGAGACCCTGTCTCAAAAAAAAAAAAAAAAAAAGAAAGTATTTATCTCATCTATCTCTCTATCATGTATGTATGTATCTATCTATCCTTTTTTTTTTTTTTTTTTTTTTTTTTGAGACGGAGTCTCGCTCTGTCGCCCAGGCTGGAGTGCAGTGGTGGGATCTTGGCTCACTGCTAGCTCCACCTCCTGGGTTCGCGCCATTCTCCTGCCTCAGCCTCCCAAGTAGCTGGGACTACAGGCACCCGCCACCACGCCCGGCTAATTTTTGTATTTTTAGTAGAGACGGGGTTTCTTTCATCTTGTTAGCCAGGATGGTCTTGATCTCCTGACCTCATGATCTGCCCCACTTGGCCTCCCAAAGTGCTGGGATTACAGGCGTGAGCCACTGCGCCCGGCCGTATGTATCTATCTATCTATATCCTATTGGTTCTGTTTCTCTGGGAAGCCCTGACATACACATCTGCTAGACTGGAAGACTGTTTCCACTGGAAATGTCATAGGATCCATGGTTCTTAGAAACTTTCCAGGAGTGCTGTCTTCACTTTCTGGCTGCATCATATCATGGCTGGTGAGTTTGGGACTCAAGTGACCTGGGTGTGAAGCCAACTTCACTGCTTACTAGCTATGAGGCCTGGTGTAGGCAGCACGCCCCCTGGGCCTCAGTTCCCTCATATCTGGAGCAGGGGGTGGGGAATGGGGTGTGTGATGATAACGCCTTGCTCGGGTTTGTTGGGAGGGTCAGGAGGGACAATGCATTAAATCACCTGACGCAGAACGTAACCTCCACGAAGAGTAAATACTACCCATATTATTCCTATAACTCCTCCTCCTCCTCTGATTCCTCCTCCTTCTCCTTCTATCATAATTATTAACTGGACTCAGACAACATTTAGAGAGCACTGCCTGGTTGCCAAGCCCTATACTGGGGAGCCAGTGATGGCAGATGAAAGTAAACGTCTTTACCCTTCAGGAGCTGAGTCAATTGAGAGGAGAAAGCTCCGCATGCTCTGTGAGTCACAAGACAAGATGATATAAATCAAAGCTCTCCTAAGCCTTCAAGGCCCAACCCAAATCCTGTCTCCTTCACAAAACCTTTCCAGATCCCCCTATTGAAAAGTAATCTCCTGACTCCCACGTCCCCAGGGCCTTTGGCTTGTACCTTTCCTATGGTCCTTACCACTATTTACCTTGTATTAGAGTGATTTATGCACATGTCAGCCTCTCCCACTAGAATGTGAATTCCTGAGGACAGAAATATTTATGAAGGGCTTTTCTATGACTTTGACTACTCTATGAAGGACCAACATAACAACATCAATAACCCACTTCACATTTTAAGATGATTTTATGACAAAATAATTAAAATTAAATGTAATTAAAACATTTTCACATATTCATTCTCATAGCCAATAGTGTTTTTTGTGTCCCTTTTATAGATGCTGCACAGGAGGCAGAGAGATGGCCGTGACCTGTACAAGGTCAGAGAACTAGTTAACAGCAGGGCTAAGCCCAGAATTTGGCCCATCTGTGCTCAGCAGTCTAAGTCTGGCACTTAACTGATGTGGCTGCGTTGCATATTCCTAGTTCCATTAAATCACCCTTAGCGAGCAATTCTGTATTCTGCCATGCATAAGCAGTTTGGCTTCCTTGTCATGAGTGTGGTTTAGTAAGTTCTCTCCCTGTTTAGACATAAAACCAAGCCAGTTGAGACAAATTGCATCTTTTAAGTGCCTTTCCAGACTGGTTGTGACTCTTACCCTGACATTTTTTGGGTCTGCAGAGGCTCCTCTGTAGCAGTTTTCCCCACAAAAACCATGTGGCTTCAGAGTGATTAGAGTTGGGTGTGCTTGAACACTGATCTCTCCACTCTTCCTCCCTTAAACTTCTCAAGGCTTTGTGACAACATTGATAGGCTCAGTTATCTGCCTTTGACAAATGAGGCAATTGAGGCTCTGAGAGGTGGAGTGACTTATGTGCCCGAGGCTGCCACTGTCAGGATTCAAACCCACATCTGTTCAGATGCTAAAGACTTTCCATTATGCCCACATTGAATTCTTTTCCCTAATGGGGAGGGACTGGGAAAGAAGGGACTGACTCTCTTATCTCTAGCAACCAACTTCATTTGTAAGATGTCAATTACAGGACTGATTTTTCTGGGAGACTTAGAATCATTAGATAATGACCATGAGCCAAAGATTCACTTTTGAGTTTGGTACGCACTGCTTGAAGGCTGGGTATGACTATATGATTGTTTTTTTTTTTTTTTCTCTCCCAGTTTGAACACATTAATTGGCAGAAGTTTCCCCTGTGATCTTCCAGTACAACATTCTTCCTGCAGCCACACCTGACCAGTGGGAGGACTGACTAAATTCTTCATCCTCTCCATCCCATGCCTTTACGTCTGCTGTGTCTCCCACGTGGTGAGTCTTTTCTTTACACCTCTAACTAGGCTCCCATCTGTCAAGATCCCACTGGACTGGGCACATGAACTGGCTGAATTGAGTTGATTTGTACTTTGGCAAGACCGGTCTTCATGCAATAAACATTAGGGGACAAGTCAAAAGTAGAAGGTAACTAATAACGGAAGGAAAGGAAGGAGAATTGGTGAGGGCCAGATTTGGCTCAGAAACTTGAACTTCTTTTATTGGGCAGTGGGGAGCCATGGAGGCTTTTGAGCAGAGAAGCGGGCCACATGATGCAAATTATATTTTAGGAAGGTAGATCTGGTAGGAGAAAGTAAAAGTATGAAGGCTGCTTAGTAGATTCTTAGAATAGTCTAATTATGATGTGATGAGGGCCTGAGGCAGGTAAGTATCCGTGGACTGGAGAGCAGTAATAGTTGGGAGGTATTTTGAATGGGGTAGACTGGAGTCATTTGCTAATGGGGTCTCACAAAAAATGTGGCACAACACAGAAGAAAGCATCCAGGCTTTGGAATGAATCATCCTGGGTTATGAATCTCAGCTCAGTCACCTGCAGGTGTGTGACCTTGGGCAAGTCATGTAAACTTGCTGAGTTTCAGTTTTCATCTGTCAAATAGTAATATTTGACAACTCAGACCTGTTGTGAAAATCAATAGAAGTGACAAACATGCAAAGCTAGTCACATTGCAGAGGATCAGTCAGTGATCACCATCATAAAGGGAGGTGGGAATGTATCCTAGCTAAGGGCAGGCCTAGAAGTGTTGCGCTTCTGCTCCTTTGCAGCTGTTTGAACTTGGGAAAATGACTGAACCTGGGTGAATCTTGGTAACATGGGAATAATAATAGCTCTCCCACAGATCTTTTGTAATGAATATCATATTAAATTAGATAAATGTATGGGAAGTGATTAGCTTATGATGGGCACATAGGAAGCCCTCAGGTAAGGAATAGTTGCTAATATTATCATTATTAGAGCCTGATGGACACTGCTGATTGGCTGAACCAGCTTCCATTTCTACCCCATTTTCTCTTTTCTGCTTATACTATAGAATTTCTAAATACTGTCTTTCCTAGCCTCCTTTGCAGCTGGGAGTGGCCACGTGACACAGTTCAGGCCAATAAGACATGAGCACATGTCTGCTGGGGGATGCGGGAAATGCTTTTAAACTCAAGATTAAAGGAAGAGCCCCAGTCAGTGTGGTCCAATTTCATTCTGCCCCTTATTCCTGCCTTAAGTTCGTGGATCGTGCCTGAGGCTGGGACAGACAACTCACAACCATGAAGAAAAGGCAAAGAGAATCACAAAGATGCCAGCCCAACGCTGGGAAGCTACTAGCCTACACCAATGCTAACAACCATCCATTTATGACTTCTTGTCATGTGAGGAGAATGAACCTTCTGTGTGTAAGTTACTGTATTTGTGTTTTCTGCATACTTGTAGCTGAATGCAGTCCTAACTGATAAAAGAGGTAAAGGAAGGAGAACAGAGAAAGGTCACTAGGTGCTTCAGAGCATCAACATTCCAGCTAAAGGAAACTGCTCCATGTTTTCCATACAGGATCACTGTTTTCCTTCTTACAGGGATCTCCCTGACTGGAACCCTCACTCTCCCCTCAGCCCCTCCAGTCCCCATCTCTGTGCACATAAATCCTTTAAGGCTCAGTCTAGAGTCACCTCACCTATGAACTATCTTAATCTCTCCATGTAGAATCAATCTTTCCTCTTTTAATTTCTGTTATAAATACTTACAATAATCATATTCGCAAATGGCTATGTAGTGTGTTATTGGTATTCATAGCTTACTTCTACTAGCAGAAACTAAGTTCCTTTAGATATATTATTTCTGAATAAGACACACACAGTCTTACAAAAAATATTAATTATTATTATTTTGTTAAGTATTTGGTCTACTCATTCAGTGAATGTGTACTATGAATCTACTATGTGTACCATTAGGGTTAATAACTTAAACTCTAATGACAAACAGTTTGGGCTCTCTCTATGGAACAATTTACTGTTTCTTTGTCTTTCAGATAGGGATAATGGTAAAAATAGAGATTTTATGAAGAATAACTGAGTTAATATCTGTAAAATATAGAGAACAGTATCTAGAATACAGAAAATACTCAGGAAATATCTATTGTTAATATTATTATTATTATTGTTGTTGTTTACCAAGCTATTAGTTTCTAGGCATCTACTTGTTTTCTGCCATACAGCAAATGTTGAATGAATAACTTGTGAATAACTTGTGTATGTGTACCTCTGAAATGTTTAAAAACTCCAAATGAAACTAATTTAAATTCATATATACTTAAGTATATTAATGTTCATGAATAATTCACATGAACAAATATGTGTTTTTCAATTGATTTTCTTTGGAGATTGCATTGAGAATTTCACAACAGCTCTTGAAGTAACTGGAGAAGCAGTGGCAACTACCACAAAACCAGAAACAGGAATGGCTTAAGTCAATTAGAAAATTCATTTGCTTTTAAATTCAACAGTTGTCTACTCTCTGCCTGCTCTGGTTTAGCACCTAGAGAGCCTCCTACCACGTGAGTCTCCAGAGTGAAAGGTGACCCTTTCCTCTGACCCACAGGAACCCCCCCATAGTCTGAGCCCAACATACAGCAGCAGCTTCATTTCCAACCCTTGCTAAGAGCCTGGGTACTGCAATCAGAAGGTCTTTGTTTAGATTCTTGTTCTGACCCTTGCTAGGTGTGTAATCCTTCTGGGCCTTAGTTTACCATGTACAAAATAGAACAATAAGGATATTCCTCATACTGAGTTATTGTGAAGCTTGGTTGTGTAATGATCCAGGTGAAGTGCTTAGCACAGAGCTGAACACATGGTACATGATCAGTAAGTGTGATTCATCATGTCATCCCAGTTCACCTAACAGTCTAGGCACGTTGTCTTCTTAACGGAGCTTCTTCAACACTACACAATTTTGCACCTGCTCTTCATACCACACAGTCCTTTTTCATGTCTTCTATTTTATTTATTAATTTTTTTTGAGACTGAGTCTCTGTCACTCAGGCTGGAGTGCAGTGGTGCAATTGTGGCTCACTGTAGTCTCAATCTCCTTGGCTCAAGCAATCCTTCCACCTCAGCCTCCAGAGTAGCTGGGACTACAGTCACATGCCACCATACCCAGCTAATTATTTTTATTTTTTGTAGAAACAGGGTCTTCCTATGTTGCTCAGGCTGGTCTCAAACTCCTGGGCTCAAGCGATCCTCCCGCCTCAGCCTCCCAAAATGCTGGGATTGGAGATGTAAGCCACCACGCCTGGCCTGGATAAAATTCTATTTATTCATCAAGAGTCATCACAGATAACACCCTAATGAGATATATGACAGGACATAATCATGCATTCTGAGTTTATTTTCTTTTTGGGGAGACAAACAAGTAAACAATAGTACTAACAACAACAGAGAACATTATGAGTGAATTACTTAGAGGACCCTTTACCAAGCACCCATATATTTTACTAGCCTGGAATATTTGACATGTCTTTCCGTCTACCATTCAATCTAAGTGAGCCCATTATTAACAAAGACCCTGAGAAGAGAATCCTATTCTCTTAAATTGAGGTGGAATGTCAGATCATTGCTGAGTCCAGGAGGGACTGATATTTGTTAAGTATCTACCATCTGTTGGTACTTAAGTATGAGGGCCTTATATGTCCTCATCTTTAGTCCTTACTACAACCCTAGGAGGTAGATAGTGGTATTGATTTTACACAGGAGGAAACTGAGGGACAGAGATGCTGTGTTACTTGCTTGCGGTTATACAGTGGATATGCAGTGGCTTTGGGATTTGAACTCAGGTCTCTCTGCTGACAAAGTCTGTGTGTTTCTCTAGGTTTTGCTGGAGAGGAGCTAGAGCAGTAGCTAGAGCAGGAGCTAGAGCTAGAGCAGGAGCTAGAGGAGTTTAGGGGGTGGATAGAAGATACAGTGAGGAGTTGGGGCAGGCAGGAAAGCCAAACTTTTTATCTTTGCCAATCTTATAAAGGGCTGATCCTGACTAAAACTCTGCCAGGTGTACATTAATAATAGAAAAACATTTCTGTGTAGACTCATTTTGTTTGCAGAATGGAAATTACTACGTCATGGTCACACACACAAAAACGTGTTTTATTTGGAAACCAAGAACTTTGATCATCTTGTGAATTCATATTGAATTACACCTGGCATGTTGGAGAGCCTGTTTTAGACCTAGTCATTCCTAAATTAGAATCCAGATTCTGACACATGAGTTGTCAGGCTTGAGGCCAATGACTTAATGGAGCCTCAGTTGCCTCATCTGATATGAAGTTATTGATGGTATCAACTCAGAGGTCTATAAAATGAAGTGTGATTAGGAATGCATATATAATTTATCATTTAAACAGGAACATGTGAGAAGTAGGTTGGGGGTATTGGTCCTGTTAAGAATCTTACTGGGACAAGTGTAAACTGATACTGAACAAATTAGATTGTATTGCCACACCAGGTATGATCTGTAAGAAGTGTCTAGCCCACTACTTTCTATCTTGTTAAGTGCCAGCAAATGCTCTTCCTTGACGGTATTTTAAGTACAATCCCAAAATTAAGCGACTTTGTCCTGTTTAAAATTTTCTGAATGTGTTAGACTCACAGGCAGGGTTCTATTAGTTATTCATGTTCTCAAGTGTGACAGACCAGTGAACGTGTAGAGACTAATCAGAACAATGAAAGAGGCTTCTCAGTGCAGTTAGAAGAAAAGAGGATTCATTCAAAGGGAAGAAAAAAGAAGTATGCACTGTAATCTTTTTAAAAACAAAAAGAGAACATACCAGCTTCAGATCAGAAGATGGGAGGGGGGATGTAAAGGAACAAAAGACAGTAAGTTAGAGCAGTCCATTTATTAACCAACATCCACGAAGGAGTGAAGGTGGAGAGGCCAGACTACCCCAGCAAGCTGAGGCACCTTCAGCAACTGCTAAACAATACGCTGGCAGATCCAGCAGGGGATAAAGGTAGACTAAATACTAGGATTTTGTTGTTCCTGACAGTAGATACTTAACAAATGTTAGTTTCCTTTCTTTCACTTCATTTGTGGTAAGGATTGATAAAATAATCTGAGAAGCTGGTTTATATTTTATACCCATAGCCTAATAGCTGCTGAATGGAGTAGAAGTTGATGATCACTAATGCCTACCTAATCATTAGATCTCCATTCATTTCTCCCTTCCCTTACCTTCTTCTTCTCTATCCTCCTTTCCTTCCCCCTCTCCCCTCATCCCTTCCTCTCTTCCTTCCTTCCATCCTCAGCCATTTATTGAGCCAGGAACAGAGGATATGGTGGTGAATAGAAAGGCCTGCAATTTTTCAGGAAGACAGACACTGAGCAGATAATTAACTGCAGTGGTGTCGGGTATCTTGAGATCTGAGTCGACTCCTCACTTTGGGCCCTTCATTTTTGATATGTGTTTGACATGTCCATGTGGCTATTCGCAAAGCATCTCAAACACAACATGTCCAACCCTAAACTCGTGACCTTCCCCTCACATCCAGATCTTCCTGATTTACCTGTCAGAGGTGATGGTATCACTTGGTCAACCCAAGCCAGGAGAAGCCTCAGGGTTACTTTTGACTCTTTCCTCTCAATTCCTTTAATTCTATGTATTACTTTTATTTATTTATTATTATTATTATTATTTTTGGCACAGGGTC
This sequence comes from Homo sapiens, assembly GCF_000001405.40. Lineage (NCBI taxonomy): Eukaryota > Metazoa > Chordata > Mammalia > Primates > Hominidae > Homo > Homo sapiens. Next base: position 79,678,121 of record NC_000011.10, read on the forward strand.
TCACTCTGTCACCCAGGCTGGAGTGTAGTAGTGCAATCTTGGCTCACTGCAACCACTGCTTTCCAGGTTCCAGTGATTCTCCAGCCTCAGCCTCCTGAGTAGCTGGGACTACAGGTGCCCACGACCATGCCCAGCTAATTTTTGTATTTTTTGTAGAGGCAGGGCTTTGCCACACTGCCCAGCCTGTTCTCGAACTCTTGACCTCAAAGCAATCTGCCTGCCTCAGCCCCACAAAATGCTAGGATTACAGGCATGAGCCACTGCACCTGGCCAGTCTATGTGTTATTAAGACTTGGGTTCTCCTACTATATTTTGTCCTTTTGTTTTTGTTGATGATGAAGATGACAAGTCAGTGGGGAGGGTGGCTACAGAGGGGAAGGGGAGCTATCTGTTCACCCTGCTTTATTGGAATAATAGTGTCTTATTTGCTAATTTTTTTCAGTCAATGACAAGAAAATCAACAACATATCCACCAGGACACACTTCACCCTTCATCCCTTCATCCCGCCATATCTATCATCTATTTACCATTTGAGTAATGAGAGGAATAAGCAGCTTCATAATTAATCTCATTTTCCCTGAGTGTTTGGAGTTAAAAATCATTTGCGTTTCCACAATGGTCCAGCAATCCCTTATCCCATCCATCAGTTGGAATGGTAAATTGGCTGCCCAGTTTCCATCTGATCTTTAGTTGAATAACTGCATGTCATCATCACAAATTTGCAGTTTGGCCTAGAGCTTGTTTTGGAGGGGCTTTGCTTCTTTACTAAAGTGTTTCCGATTTTAACTTTATGTTATATCCACGTACAGGGTGTGACAGTGTGTGTGTGGACAGAGAGAGGGAGAGAAGTAGCTGGGGGTGGCAGTGGGAAAGATGTAGAAATGAAGGTGTTGGAACTGCAGACGCACACACACCACTAATTAAAATGGGGAAATAGCATTCTTTCACTTGCAGCCACAGGCAATGAACGTTCCTTGAAAAAAAAAAAAAAAACTGGAGCCTCTAATACTCAGACATTTGCAACTGGATAATAACTTTGCAAAATGTGACTGACAGTTACCAGATTATCTCCTTAATCACACTTTTGTTTCCATTAAGCAGGGCTTATGCTCCCAGCAGGTTTCAAACATGTGTTAATGTTGAACATCCCATGGAAGAATCAAAGAGCTGTAGGGACTGGAGCTTTGTGGAGGGACTCTGCAAACAGAAAGATTCTGGGGTGAGGGTCAGGAAAACCAGTGTGGAGCAAAAATAGCTTCAGCCTGCTCTGCACTGGTTGCACTAAATTCACCCCCTGCCCCCCACTCCTATGACGTCTCAGAAAGTCAGGAGCATCAGTGAAAGATGATAGAAATGCAGGGGAAAGCATGAAAATCAGTAAACCCTGCAGAAATTTTGTTGTCTTTTTGTCTTAAAAAAAATCTTGGGATTCCAAAAGTCAGTTGTTTTAATGGACTAATCCTCAGAGATTTAATATATCATTTTATTGAGTCTTCTTTGTTTCACTCCAAATGTCTAACAACTCTGAATAGTTAACCTGGCTATAAACCCTCTGAAAGAGAGGAAAATGATCAGAGTACCAGTCTTTGTGGTTTAAAACAGAGCCCCCAGTAAGATCCAGGGTACCTTAGGAGTTACTAGAGCCTCTTTGTAGAAGTTTGCAAAGGGCGGATACTGGGAAATTAACACTAGCTAGGAGTCTATACTAGGTGCAGTGTGTATACTAACTTGGCCAATCTGTACTCTGGAATCTATTATTATCCTGTGTTGGAGATGAGGAAACTGAGCCTCAGATCCATTAACTTGCTCAAGGAACCACATTGAGGAAATCATGTTGTCAGAATTTGCACCCAGATCCTCCTGGAGCAAAGTGCACAGGAGTTGTTATTGGAGGGTTTCTCTCTAGATCCCAATTTAAAAGATTCCCCTTTCCTCTTCCCCATACCTCCCCTTTCTCTTTCTTCTCCTCCTTTTTCTTCTTGCTTTTAAAATTTTCTTCCAATTTCCAAATGTGTGGGTATTTTCCACTAGCTTCTCCACATCCATTTCCCACGCTGATCTGTGCCTCATAAAATAGCCACCCTTGCTTTCTGGCTTTGAATTATGTTTGGCCAATAGCAGGCACTGTCAGTGGACTGGACGGAGGGAATTTATTTCCCCGGCTCCCTCCCTACCTTCCCTGCTGTGGTGGTTGCCCATGTCCTGTCAGGTGGTGTCTTCTACATCAGCTCCAAATTCCCAACATTTCCCAAATGTTTTGATGTCAGGATCCCTTCATGCTTTTAAAAATGGTTGAGGAACCCCAAAGAGCTTTTGTTTAATTTTCTTGATGTTTACGGTATTAGAAATTAAGACTGAGAAATACTCAAACACAAGAATACACAGATGTATATTCCATCAGCCATGAGAGCAATGACATCATCACAAGTCAGGTAGTGTCCGAAAAACTTCACTATGTACTCATGAGAGGATGAGAGCGAAGAAGGCAAATGATGTCTTAGTATTATTATGAAATAGTTTTGGCCTTGGGGACACCTAGTAGAGTCTCAGGAACACCCCACAGGTTCACCCTTCCCAAACTGCTCCTTCAGGGTTGCTCTGGGTTGCTTTTCCATCTTTTGTTGACTCTCCTTACTCTGCCTAAAACTCCTTATTACTCTCTTGATGCAATTCTCCTCGATTTCTCCATTTGAGCGTGGGATCTGTTTCCCTAGGAGACTTGACTCCTCACGGGCTGACATATGGCTGGGATTTTACCTTGGAGGAAGGGTCAGGTCAGAAGCAGCTCAGAAGTGCTGGGGGCAAAGAAAAACATTTCTTCCACTGGCAATTACCTTTATTCTGCAAACTTCAATTCATATTGTATTATGTATTGTAAGTAATCTAGAGGCGATTTAAAGTATACACGAGGAAGTACATAGGGTTATATGCAAATACTATGCCATTTTACATAAAGTGCTTGAACATCCATGGATTTTGGTATCTGTGGGGGAAAGGGGGTTGGTAGCATTTCCTGGATCCAATCCCCTACAAGTACAAAGGGATGACTGTATTTATAATTTCCTCATAGATCAAAGGTAGTGTCTAGAATCAGAGCGATAACCACTTCTTTGTGCCTGACCCTGGCCAGGACATAAGAGATCTGTTTCTTTTTAGAGCGGTAGACAAACCAAAGCATTTTCAGAGGAGGACAGGTAGGATTCCAGAAACCAAATTCATCAGGAAGAGTTGAAGGAATAGTTTCCTCTGAAGGAAAGAAGCCTCAGGGGAACTTGGCCATTTTCATATACCTCTTCCTCAGCCTTTCTTTTTCTTTTTTTTTTTTTCTTTTTTGAGACAGAGTCTCGCTGTTGTTTTCCAGGTGCCAAGGCTGGAGTGCAATGGCACGATCTCAGCTCACTGCAACCTCCTCCTCCCCAGTTTAAGCCATTTTCCTGCCTCAGCCTCCCGAGTAGCTGGGATTACAGGCGCCCGCCATCATGCCCAGCTATTTTTTCTGTATTTTTAGTAGAGACAGGGTTTCACCATGTTGGCAGGGCTGGTCTCGAACTCCTGAACTCAGTTGATCCACCCGCCTCGGCCTCCCAAAGTGCTGGGATTACAGGCATGAGCCACCGCGCCCGGACTTCAGCTAGCCTTTCTTGTCCCAGGGAATGCTCAGATCGAGTGGGTTGGACTAGAAGAGTGGATTCCACCTTGTGTGTGTGGTTCTCCATCTCAGGGTGTCATTGAAGGGGTGTGGTGATCCACACAGACACCAAGTATTGTTGGCCACCTAAAAAATTAGTATCCCTGGCTTATATCTGAGCTATGTTTTCATATATATGGAGATGCGCTTATAAGTGATAAAATACAAGATTAATGCAGTTTTGAATTTGTTGTATCTATTTTTCCTTTTTTTTCTAACCAAGAGATAATAACATCATCTGATGTGGTATGTTATGACATTAAAAGAAACACTTATTCTTGGGAAAATTGGGTATCACTGAACCTCAAGTCTTGGTTTTGATTCTGAAGCCTGTGGCTCTGGTGAAGAGAGAAAAGACAGGGAAGTTTATCTAACCTGTAGATATGAAGGGCTTTACTAACCATGGTAGTGAACACTGAGTTAGGTAATATGCAGCAAAAGCCAATGAACATATTTTCTAATTGTCTATTTTTTTCCTTCTTCACAGATAGTATCCATGACATAAGTACAAGTTCCCATATTATAAGAAGAGTATGAAAGTATTTAAACAGTATAGAGGCAATGCTTTTTCCCCTAAACGTTGATAAATCATTACTTGATCTCATCTTGGATAAAAGATCTTTATCTGTTATCATCATTCAAAAATATTTTAGAAACCTATTTCCTCTAAAAGATGAGACAGATTAGGGGGAAAATTCAAGCTACTGAACAACATACCTTAGAAGCCACTAAACAGATTAAAATAAATTTGTCAATTTTCAGGGATATTTACAAAAGCCCAATTTGAGGAACTCAGTAGCAATTGAATGGGAATTTTCAGTTCCTAGAACTAATGAATGAAAGAGCAATGCTTTAAAATTTTTCAGTAATATTTATTTCTATATTTTTCTATTTATTAAAATCATACTTATCCATTGTAGAATTTGGATTCCCCTTCCTTTAATTTTCATTTCCAAAGAAAATATGTTAATGTTAATCTACATGCGGTATTGTATATGCTTGTATATAGCTCTATTTCCATATTTATAAATTTAAAATTGTTTTGTATTATTCACACTATTTGATGACTTGCTGATATGGTTTGGATCTGTGTCCCCACCCAAATCTCATCTTGAATTGTAATACCCATGTCAAGGGAGGGACCTGGTGGGGGGTGATTGGATCATCGGGGGGTGGGTTTCTCCAGGCTGTTCTCATGATAGTGAGTGAGTTCTCATGTGATCTGATGGTTTAAAGCGATGTAGCAGTCCTCCCAAGCCCTCCTGCTTCCATGTAAGACATTTCTTGCTTTCCCTTCACCACAATTGTAAGTTTCCTGAGGCCTCCCCAGCCAGGTGGAACTGTGAGTCAATTAAACCCCTTTTCTTTGTAAATTACCCAGTCTCAGGTAGTTCTTTATAGCAGTGTGAGAATGGACTAATATATTTGCTTTCTCTTAAATTTTTTTATTAGACAGTATGGACTCTCATAAAGAACTGTAGGTAAGGTATATGTAAATTATAAAGCATGATAATAAAATTTTGAATCACATAATCTTATAATAATGTTTTCTCACTGTTTTTTTGTGAGATTTTTATTCAATTTTACATTTATAAGATTCATCCAAGTTATACATACTGTATTTAAAAATTTTTATTACTGTATACTATTCAATTGTGTGAGGTTACTGTACTTTATCTAGACTCCTGTTGATGGACATTTGAGTTATTTAAATTTTTTTGTTTTTCTTTTTTATTTCATAAAAATTCTACCAGGAAATTTTTATGTTTCCTGATGCAAGTGCGTAGGAATTGTCTGGTAGTCTACTAGTAGTGGACTAGGTCATAGGTATATACATATAATACCAATTTGTTTTCCATATTAGTTGTACTCCACAATCAGTATATAAATAAGCCTCCTTTTCCTTACATCTTTGGCAATATTAGATATTTCCCATTTGGCACTGCTTATATAGATCTCATTGTGGTTTCAATTTGCATTTTCTTAATTACTTAAAAAATATTTGCCATTTGTTTTTCTTTCTCTGTGACATACCTATTCAAGTCTTCTGTTCATTAGTCTATTGTTTTGACTTTCTTTTATTGGCATCTAGCTAACTATTGATTATTAGTAAAGGGAAACTATTTTACTGTTACAGTATTTATGGCTGACGTCTTAATTGACCAAGCAGAAGCTATTTCCAACCTCTTTGCCTGTTGCTTCCTCATACTGTTGAAGTTTCAAAGCCAAACAATAATTTTCCCAGAGTCTCTTGCAAGTAGGAGTAGCATGTGAGTCATTTCTGGGGCCATGACATGCAAGCATACATCTTCTGTGGATGTATCTGAGAGAGCTTTGGCTTTCCTGATAAAATGATGCAGATGCAGCTGTCATAACCTTGTGCCATCCCCTTACTTGATTCTGACTTGAATGCAGATGCAATGCTGGGAGCTACAAAAGCCATATGATGAGCTTGAGGGAAAAGCTAAGAAATTTATAAAAATTCTGCCCTTGACAATTCTTATTCATCTCCAAATTTCTGGTTATGTGACTTTTTAAAAATATGGTTTGCTTAGATAGTATAAATCCAATTTTCTTTTAATTAGAGTGGAATACATCTTGACTTATATGCCATCTTATCCACTAAGTCCTCAAACTAGATTCTCATATCCAGCAGTGTCCAAAAAGGTAGTAAAGAAATTCCATAAGCAATTTTGTTAATTCAGAACACAAAATTTTTAACAGGGCTGATATGATCTGGCTGCTCCCTTTCTTTTATCTTTAGAGTGCACTACTTGTCCTGTCGCTCATTGGCTTCACCCACCTTCCCCTTCATCATTTCCAAGAGAGTATGGAATTCTTTCCTACTTATGGCCTTCAATCATCCCATTTCATTTGCCTGGATTCCCTTTCCTTTAACTTTCATTTCCTTTCTAAATTATTCTCACCTGGTATTTCCTTTTCATAAAGCAGATCACGATTTGTTTTCTTCACTAGGTTTTGAGTTCCGCCAGAGAATACTCTATGTCAGTTTCCTTCTTAATTTTATACCCAGCATAGCCTCGCCCTGCACGAGAGACAGGAAGCACTCAAAAACATTTTGTTAAGTGAACAGATGAATATCTTGTATGTTAACCAAGTGCCAAACAACACCTACTTAGTTTCTCTTTAACTTTATAAGCCTCAGGTTTTTCACTTTTGGGATGAGATAAGAATTCCTCCACCTCTCAGTGTGGTTTTAACATTAAATGTGATAACTGTGTGTATGTGCTTGGAATGGGGTCGGGATCATTCGTCTCTGAGAAGGGGAATAATTATTTACCAATTAGCAAATTTTTCTCTCAACTTCTATTCTTTGGACTTTAAAAGTAATACTTGAAATGATTATTAATCATTATTTAATCTAACATTTGTTGAGTATGTGCTTGTGTACTTTATACACACCAAAGCACTTTACATACATTATCTTATTCATTTTTATGAGGTAGCCTCTGTTATTATCCCCTTTTTATAGGTGAGGAAACAGGCTGAAGAAGGATAACTACAAGCCTTGTGAGGTACTCTACCATTACTTGTAGACATACATGATGAAATTGTGGTTGATCAGTTACTATCTAATCAGACTCTGCTATTTATGGGAAATGCTCTCTGCACTTGCTTCATTTTGTTCTTTTCCTGAGACAAAGGAAAAGCAGAATAAAACATGCTGATATCAGGTTTTAAGAAAAGCAGCTTCCAAACACTGCTCTGAGGTCAATACAGATTTTCATTCCAATCTTCTCTCCTCCTAGATCCACAGACTCGGAAATGAAAATTGACACTCAATCTGGTGACCCTAGGAAAGATCCTCGGCCAGGAAACAATGGCTGAGTCCTGCTTGGGCAGCATACTTTTGAGGTTCCAAAAAGTAGATTAATGTACATTACAGAAATTTTGCTGAACAGATTGAAACCAGAAGCATTTATTTTAACCAGAGCTCCTAGTTTAGTAGTTCACATGTAGGGGGTTCTTAATAAATGCTGGTTGAAATGCATTCCATAGCATGATGATATAGTGCGATTTTATTATAATGTTCAGTGCTCAATGTAGTTTATCTTAAGTGCCACTCAATGCATGAATTGATGTTCTTCAAAATTTGCCCCAATTTACCATTACAGTTTTTTCTCTTAACTTTCTACCCCTGCCTATATTTCTAACCACACCAGAGTACTGTTTTCTGTACACATCCTAACGTTTCTATACCTTTGCCTGTGCTGTGTGCTTCCTAGAATTCCTGCACCACCACCCCCTTTAAAAAAAACAGGCCAACTCATTCTGTATTTCTTTGCTAGACTGACTTCATTCAGCCTGTCCAAGCTAAGACATATCTACACACATGCGCTTCCAAATCTTTTAGATAGAACTATGGCAGCCTTTTTCATTTTGTGGCATAGCAGGGCAGGTGGATAAAGCATAGACTTTAAAGTTGGAAATATCTGGGCACAAATCCCAACTCTGCCACGTAAAAATCACGCACCCAGTGCAAATTTACCTAAACATGAGCTTCCATTTTTTTTTTTTTGAAGATGGAGCTATTATTATCTGTTGATTAGGGCTGTTGTGAGGAATAAGTAAGAAAACATGCAAAATATTCAGCGCAGAGTCTGACACATGGTCAGCCTCTGCCTTGTTCTGCCGATTCAGGTTCTCAGCTCAAATACGATTTCTTGAGAAACGCCCCTGTTTAATATCCCACACGTCTTCTCCAGTCTCTTTTTAAAGCTCTGGACCCAGGCTGTTGTGTTCAGTTCCAACTCTACCATTTATTAGCTTGGGTAAGTTTGGGCAAGTTACTTAACTTTCTTGCCTCGTTTTTCTCACATGTAAAATGGGGCTAATAATAATTGCCTCATAGACATGTTATAGGGATCATTTAAACCTTAAAACAGTGCCAGACACAGAGGAAATTCTGGCTGTTGCTGTGTTGTTCTTCCTCTTTCCCCAGGGTCTACATTAGTTTGTGACTCAAGAAGGTACTCATTTCAGATTTGCGGAACAACTGAATGTGTACGCTCTGGTTCCCTTCTCCTTCTCTTGCATACGTGGCTCTCCATAGAGTGTGGGGTCCTCTAGGGGCAGGAAAGGACATCGTTATTATGTGCCCAGGATAGGGTCTGGCACCAGGTGATGCTCAGTTTTATAGGGTGGAAAGGAAATTTTTCAGTTTTGTAATCCTGCCAAGTGATCCCCTGGAAAGGAGTTCATAAACATCAGAACAGTCAGTGCTCTACCCACCACTCAGCAACTTCTTGCCACCACATACTCAAGTTCACTTAGCAGAGGATGACTCAAGTGTAAAAAGTCACTTCCTCCCTGGCACAGCAAAGGCCCAGACCATTGTCTTTCTTGACTGGGTACAAGATTTACCTTGTCCTGCTGGCAGATTTATTGGTCAATGTCCTATTTGGCTGGCAGTAAGATGACTCTTTTCTTTTTTGTGGGTCTAATCTCCCGAATCAATATTTGTTTCCACTTCCCTCTGTCTACAGGCAGAGACTACTTAGCTGATAGGACATTTCTAAAGCAAGAGGATAGCATGGCCATGAGAAGGGGTTTGGGGAAAGACAAGGAAGGGCTCATCCTGATGGCATCTCAATAGGTCAGGTACTTTGCTTTTCAGTAAAACCAGCCACTTATGGGGTGAATTTGTTTAACCTCTTTGCAAGCCTCTAAAAAGAGGTGGCATGAAAAGCATGGGTGATGCAGCCAATTAAAATTCAGTCCCAACCAACAAGGAGAAGTAGGCCATGGCTGGCTAACAGAGAGGCATTGACAGAAAGAGACTCAGGCACTTGGAGCCCACATTACTTGAATGTTCTTTTCTTCCAAAACAAGAAACCCTCCCAAAGCATGGAGTTGTATTGTCCATGTCTGGGTTTATAAAATGTGGGTTTCTCTCGTGTAGTGCCCACAGCACAATCCCTTTGGCTTGCTTTATATTTTCCCCCTTCATCTCTATAGGACACAGACGATGCTTGTCCATTTTCATCACAGAGTTTTCTTCCTATTGCCAGATGTATTATCTGCATGTAGCCTTTAGGCAGGTTCTGAGTGTGCTACCAGACAGATGCCATCTCATAATACATTCACTCCTTGTGCCAACATGAGAGTCTTTCCCCAAGTCCTCTGCTGGCTGATCACTTTTTAGGTCAGGGGAGAGGAGAGAGAGAGGAAGAGGGAAAGGGAGAGAGACTGAGGAAGCCAACGGTGTATGGAATTTGAAATTTGGGGCCTTCAAGCCATATGTGATCAGAGGTCACCCAAGAAAACAGCATACCCTACATCTGTTGTAGGTCCTTGAAAACGGGTGTGAAATCTGAAGCAAGAGAATGTTAATCAAAAAACTTGTAAAATAAGAACATTCTCTTAACAGCTAAAAGTCATTAAATTCACTAATTTATCTTACTTTTTAGACATAACTTTTGATATATAGTCCTTTTATTTTGTACATGACCTCAAATTTGGCTCTTCTCTTGCACAACTGAGCACACAGTTGGCAGGTTTAAGTCTAAAATTGTCCAACTGAGGTCAGACATGACTTTTACACAGGCTTAAAATTAGTCCTTCAATCAGTTATATTAAGGCGACAAAGCCTGGTTTTACTTTCTATAGCTGTCACATGAACTATGATAACTATCGTACCATTATTCTCATCACAGATGAGGAAGGGGGCACCACTGTTTTTTGGGAGGCAGCATCTTCATGTTCACAGTGTGCATTTCACTAATGGAATGCCGCATAAAGTAGAAAAGTTCTGGTTGCTAAAAAATCACATGTTATGTAGTCACGAGCTAGCTGTGGTAGGCAAGAACATGGGCTTTTTAAATAAGAGAGGACTTGAATCCTGGTTGCTGAGTCTGAAACTCAATGATTTCTGGGGTCCGATTTTTCAAGGTCAGTGTTAAAAATATCAACATTATAATGAGCTAAAATCTGATAATGGAAGAAATAAAGAGTCAAATAAGTCATATTGTTAACTAATAGAGAAATGTACTTGCTCTTGAGGGACTGGACCAGTTTTAGCACTTGGTAACTCTTTCATTGTAGCTAACCCAAAGCTGCCCAAGCTAAGCTTTCCTTCTGTTACAGCAGGGAAAGAATGAAAGTCATAGGCTTTAGAATCTGAGAAACTCACCTTCTGTATGAACTTGGGTACCTTAATTACACCCTCTATAATTTCATTTCACTTACGAAATGGGGATAGTACTACTTACTTAATATTAACTCATAGGATTATTATGAGGCCATGTCTCAATGTTCAAGACATTATCACAGCTGTGGTAGGGGTCAGGGGAGAATAGATGCTACTGGCTTCTAATGATTGTCAGCATGATACTAAATACGCTACATTTTACAGGACAGTCTTCTACAGTAAGGAATTATCTGTCCCAAAATAGTGTCAAGGCTTAGAAACCCTGGCTAAATAAACAGTAGCCACTATGTGTCAGATATATTCCTGTACTTAACTGATCTCTTTCAACTGTACACATTCCAAAATGTGGATGCTGAACTTTCAGGCTGATAGTAATGACAACATTTTCTCATTTACAAAAAGCTTCCACATATCATCTCATTTAATTTTCACAGAAACTGTTTGTAAGAATGATTGATGCAATCTTCATTTTACAGTTGGAAAAACGAAGGCTCAGAGACCCTGGATCACCCAGTGAGTAAGCAGCATGCCCAGGTCTAGCATACCATTCTCCTGCTTTCAGCTCTTGTATGCTATCCACATGCTTACAGCATGCTTGGACAATGCAGAAACTCAGCTTTGGTACTTTGGGTAATCTGTTCATCTGTGAAATGGGATAACTCATGCTGATCTACGGACAAAAATAACTGTAAGGATGACATGAAATGATGCAGATAGCAGGCACTCAAAAAACAGAGCTCTATCAACATTCCTGCTTCCTCTCAATGACTGGCACTGAACCGTCCTTAACACCCCATTTCTAAGCCAAGAGATTCTTCAAGACCAAGCCAAGTCTGCCGTGCCACTGTCCCCCGCAGGAGCCTCTGGCTTCATCAAGCCCACAGATCCACAGTTGCTTTGTTCGCCGAGTGACATTTCTATCAGGCACCACCTTGGGCTGGTCACAGAAACTTCGTAGGAGCCATCAGTCCTGGAGCTCAGTACCCCAGGGTTGATGCCTTGACAACTGTGTCACCACTCTCTTATTACCTATCTGGAGGGTCACCTTTCTGACAGACAGCTTTGAAAATTCTTTATTAAACTTTTTTTTTTTTTTAGTAGAAAAGACAGATTATAGTTCTGACATGCTCTACTTATTATGACATGAAACAATGTTCTTATTTCTTTTGCTTGGGGATGTTGAACTGCTGGCTTTGGCCCATGTGGGGTGTCACAATGATGTATTAGTTATTAGGTCAGACTTTCCGTAACCTTTACGTATTCATTTATTCACTCACTCACTCACTTACTCACTCACTCACCTATACATTTGAAAGTCTACTGTGAACCGGGTCTAACAGAGGTTAGACATTTAGTGGATTACACAAAAAAAACAAAACATTTACCCTCAGTCTTTGATCTGAGGATGTCCCAGTTTAATAGGCAATGCAAGGGGGCAAAAAAGATAAAATTTTACCGCCGTGGTAAGTGAAATAAAAGACCTATGTGTTGTACTTGGTAACATAACTTTGGCAGGATGGAAACCAGAATTGGTAGTGTATCTGTAGAGTGGGGTGCCTGGTTCACTCTGGATGATGACAGGTGGTACAGCAGCAGAGGCTGAAGACTAGATTTTGTTGGAATACTCTATAATCTGTGTATAGGAGAAGGAAGAGGAGCTGATCATTCACAGTTGAAATAAGCTGGTGACAGGTACTCCTCTCCAAAAGAAGGCCTGGGTGCCAGATTTTGGGCTCAGAGTGACTTAATAGTTCTGATACACATTTGATAAATAATATCACAAAGGCACCACTGAACATCTGAATATATGAACAGAGAGCTATGAAAAAGGTAGTGACTAACCCTGCCAGGGGAGGTGTAGGAAGTGCCCCAGAAAATATGATATTTGAAGAGGGCATTAAGCATTCAGAGGGCATTAAGCATCCATGAGAAGCGGAAGTATGGCATCTGAGCAGAGCAAAGGTGAAGGTGACATGCTCTGAGAAGGATGAGGATTTCTTCAGAACAAAGTATGATTGGGGGCTGGGGTGGGAGGTGAAGCTCAGGGCACGTTGGGACCATTTTAACACCAGGTCATGGAGTCCAGGCTTTCTCTTCAGTAGGACTTGCTGGGCTGGTGGCTGGTTTATGCAGAGGAGTGTTATGAGAGACTGGAGTGCAGACAAATCTCTCTGCGGGCGGTATGGGTTTATGGGAGGGTAGACTGAAAGCTCAGAGACACAAGGCAAAGAAACAGGTCAGGTGGCTACTACAACCACCCAAAAAGAGAAGCTGGGAGACCTTCCCTCAGGTTTCAATCCAGCTAAGGCCAGTAAAACCCATGTGTTCATTTAGGAGACTCTTGTATATTTATTAAATAAATAAACAAAAGAGAAAAGGCCAGGGATCAATGAGTTTCTTAAACAAAAATTTAAAAGGCAAAACTAAGATATGTTAAATAACACCTAGTAGAATTTAAAGTGTACATACTTTGTGGAATAAATGCATAAAGACATCAGAAATAATCAAGTATGGAATAAGGGTATGGGTCTAGTGAAACAGGGCACTGAAAAAGCTGTAAACTTCCCAGGCAGAAACCTCTGCTCTCATCCTGAGTCTGTTTTCATTTATGTATCATGTGATATCATGTATCATGTGCAATACATGTGATTAGTAATTTGACTCACCCCCTCAGTAAAAGTCACAGTTCCTGTTTACCGAGCACCTGCTAGGCTTAATCATGCACAATGCTCAGGATACCACCTATATTATCTCAGCCAATCTGAACAACAATGGCAAAGCAGGCTTTATCAGGCCTGAGGTTCAGAGAGTTTAGGGATTTACCCAAGGTTGCGGAGCAGTCAGCAGAATTGAGATTTGACCCTGATCTATCCAGCTGTGGAAAGATTCTCTGCGACGGTACATCCTCTGCGATGGTGCGCCCTAGTGAGTATAAAATTTCCATCATCGTAGAATGAGAAATGCCTGAAAGCTGTTAATATACCTACCTTTCTGGACTCTTATTCTGATTCTGTGTCTTTAAAACACGATGTGGACAGAAAAATCAGAAAATTTGGGGTGAGAAAGGAAATAATGAGGAAAAAGAGAAGAAAAGCTCTGCCTCCAACTTTTGCTTTGGTCTTGTGTAAACCTGTTATCATCTTTGGGTCGGAGATTTCTCTTCAATAAAATAAAATAGATGAACTAAATCAAATGTAAGATACACTTTGCCTTAATACTCCTAGAATCAAATGCCCTGAGCTGAGCTTGTTATATAGTAGAAAGGAAGGTTGTAAAATGTAAAATGTGTTCAGTTTTTTAAACCAGTCTAAAGATAAAGCAAGAAATTACTGTGTTCAGTTTCAGAAGATAATGGAAACATTATAAACCTTATAGCATTCCCAGATTTAGCAAATAAAAATGTAGGGTGTTCAGTTAAATTTGGATGTCAGATAAGGAACAAATATTTTCTTAGTATAAATATGTGCCGTGCAATATTTGGGACATAGTTATTCTAAAGATTATTCATTGTTTATGTGAACTTCAAATTTAACTGGGCATCCTGAATATCACTTGGCAACCCTGAAACCTTGACAAAGTAAAAATAATAGCACAGCTGATTAAAGTCAGAAGGAAAGATTGAGGAAACCATAGAAGAACCAGTTTCCTTATTTCACAGACTGGTGAATCAACTGATTCTAGCTAAAATGAGAGTTAAAGAAAGTTTTAAGTTTAGTATTTGCAGTCATAAAGTTAACAACTAGCAAAACTGAACTAGAAAATATAGTAACAACAATAAAAACCTCAGGAGGTTGGGAGGATAGGTGGAAGGAAATACAGGTATACCAAATTCCTCTTTTAAAGGAAACAGCCCAAGGCACAGTCTACAGAGGATGAATCATCAAATAAAACCATAAAGAAAAAACATTATTTAGCATTATGGTTATAATTATCAAAGAACCAAAAACAAAAAAATTAAAAAATGTTTTTTCTTGGTAGTGGGGTTACAAAAGTGGGTAGAGAGTTACTTTTTATTTTATTCTACCCTTATTAGACTTTTACATCTATGCCATGTGTAAAATTAGATTAAAAACAAAATAATTATATTAACCATTGTTGCCACCAACCATCATTCAGCAAACTGTTAAGCTTTTGCTGAAGTATACTCTCATGTTCTCAGTCTCAGGCTTATTTTATTTGCCTCTACCAACTTCATTTGGGTGTAAAAATATTAGCAATCAGATTTACAAACCCAAAAGATGCACAAATATTTGCTATTGCTTTGCCATGTATTGCAAAAATATTTCCAGGTGCTCTAGAATGAAAAAAGATAAAAACCTTCAGATAAATCAACATGGTTCATTTAATTTAAAACAAATATTTGACAGTCACTCTCCTAACATGCCTTCGATTGTGAGTAGCAACTCACATAGCAATGCATTACTCTTAGCACATACTTGCAAATGAATTATGCTTTCACAAGCAGAAATTAAAGTACTCTCCAGAGAAATGTTTGGTTGATTTTTTTCAGGGTTTGATTGATCTAACTTAGAAATATATGAATTTCACTCAATACTTCTATTATTTTGGAAGGGAGACACAAGAGTTGTCTGGCGTATCAAAAAAATCATGAATTAAGAAGTCACTTGGCATGGAAGCCTGATTCTGTGAGAGGTGTGTGTATGTATCTGTGTGTGTGTGTGTGTGTGTGTGCATGCGCGTGCATGAGAGTTGGCTTGAGTTATAGACAGATGGTTTGGACTATAAAAAAGTCGCTGATCCTAAGGTGAAGTCCCATTAGGAGAATGCTTAAGTACTATAAAAACATAGAGCTGTAGCTTGTGATTAATGGCGCTTCCACCCAAAACATTACTAATGCACCCTGTATCCTGCAAACCCCGTCATCTTACTTCAGACCCATCTTTATAGTCATTGAACTCTGCCGTCATCACCAACTTGTTGTAGTTCTTTAATACAAGCTTTATAATGTCTTGAAGTGCATCATATTTATAATGGCATTAAAGGTCATTGACAAGCTTGCTAGATCTTTCAGGATGGAGACCAAGAGCCAAACCTTATACCTAGGCCTTTGTGTTAGTTCATTTTACACTACTATAAAGGTATACCCAAGGCTGGGTAATTTATAAAGAAAAGATGTTTAATTGGCTCACAGTTCTGCAGGGTGTACAGGAATGGCACCAGCATCTGCTTGGCTTCTGGTGAGGATCTCAGGAAGCTTCCACTCACGGAGAAGGCAAAGGGGAACAGGTGTGTCATATGGTGAGAGGGGGAACAACAGAGATCGTGGAGGTGCCAGGCACTTTAAACAACCAGCTCTTTCATAAACTCATTACCACAGGGAGGGCACCAAGCCAATCGTGGGGGATTCACCCCCATAATAAAAATACCTCCCACTAGGTCCCAACTTTAACACTAAGGATTACATTTCAACATGAGATTTGGAGGTGACACACATCCAAACCATATCAGCTCTACTGCCTGTGGACTTTGAAGGGAGATCTGCAGCAACAACCCTTTTGTCTAGCTCTCCTTCTCACTTTTTCCTGCCATGAAATCAAATTCCTTCTTCATGAGCTGGCACAAAGGCCATCTCTTCCAGGAGGAAGTTCTGCCTGTCCCAACATGAAGCACTATTTCCCTTTCACAGTTATACTGAAGAATAAATAAGGTAATAATGAAGTCTTATGACTGAGCTAAGGAACTAATCATCGATCATATGTAGAAGGAGAAAGCCAAGGCCTATCTGGTACCAGTGCAAAAGAAATAATTATATAACAACAAAAACAGTCACATCAACTATTGCCACCATTTCCACCATTTATTGAGTGCACTATAGGTATATTAGGAATTTTATTTAATTCTCACCACAGGTTGAGGCATTATGATTCCTCATTTTGAAGTGAGGCAAATAAGGCACAGAAAGATTAGGTAACCAGACCAGAATCACAAAGCAAAGAACCTGCAAAGCCATAGCTCAAATACAGGTTAGTTTCAGTGTGAATCATATGCTATAAATTAGTCCACAAAATTGCCTGTCTGGGCTTTAGTAAGAAGGCTAAAGGAGAAATTGGTAAAAACAGCAGAAATATATTCCAAATAAGCTTGAGAAATTTTGTGTGTAATCTATGTCAGCTACTTTTTTTTTTTTTTAAGATGGAGTCTTGCTCTGTCACCCAGGCTGCAATGGAGTGGCGTGATCTCGGCTCACTGCAACCTCCACCTCCTGGTTTCAAGCGATTCTCCTGCCTCAGCCTCCTGAGCAGCTGGAACTACAGGCATGTGACATCACGCCCAGCTAATTTTTCTATTTTTAGTAGAGGTGGGGTTTCACCGTATTGGCCAGACCGGTCTCGAACTCCTGACCTTGTGATCCACCCACCTCGGCCTTGCAAAGTGCTGGGATTACAGGCATGAGCAACTGCGCCTGGCCTATGTCAGCTATTTTAAGTCACATGCCTAGTATCCCACTCAGAAGTTTTAAGGAATGCGTAAGCATGCACTGAATATGGTGTGCAAGCTATGCATGATGGCGTGTTGCTGGCATTGTGACTATAGGAATAAAGCAGGGAAAAGGTATGTCTGTCCACAAATTAGAAGGCCATCGGGTTATACAGCTCTGTGTAGCCCCTGAGCACCAGTTCACCTTGCCAGGTAACACAGCTTGCTGCCTTGACCATACTGAACCAGGTAACAAATGAAGCTGATCAGATACACCTTGGATGTCTGCAGCTATGGGGACTCCCGGGAGGTTGTGACCACCTGAGAAGGGGTTCTAATTACAATAAGGGATTTAAAAGCATTAAAGAGCTTCTGAAGAAATTGGCAGACATCATTTGTTCCACAGAGATGCTGTCTGTCTCAGACTGCAGCTCAGACTTTCCTGGCCCTGTGGCTGGCCCCAGCAATAGTGGATAGGTGGCCTCCGGGCTAGATGAGAGAATGGCTTAAGGTTAAAGTGTGCCCATTGGTGTGGGGTAGCCCTGGGTTTCTGTCTTGCTCAACTCTCTGTTCTTTTCATTCCTGTGGAGTTCCTGGACCCTGTTGCAATCATCTTAGTTTAACTGCATTTTCTGACTCTGTCTTTGTCTTATCCGTACCTCCATTTCTTCCTTTTTCCCTTAGCACAGAATTTTCTGTACTGCACCCAATGCAGGAAACAGAGAAGATGAAGGACTGTTTCTCAAGGGCCTGACATCACCATACAGAAAAAAATCCATATATATATATATATATATGTAAACCCATATATATATGTAAACCCATATATATGTAAATCCATATATATATGTAAACCCATATATATGTAAACCCATATATATATGTAAACCCATATATATATGTAAACCCATATATATATATGTAAACCCATATATATATATATAGCATTTTCAAACTTATCATCAAGTAGGCACTTTGTAGGTCCTGCTTTCTAAACTTTGATCTCCATTCTTTGAGTTAATATTTATGATGTGCCTACTATGTGCCAAGCACTCAACTGGACCTTGGGCATATAGACTTTAATCAAACAGGCAAAATTCATGCACTTATGAGGCTTACTTATACATATATATAACTATTATATAAGATACAGTGTCATTCTTAAGGTGTTTTTTTATTCAGGGAATAGTTTTTTTTTTATTTTTTACCTAATTACGAAGTATTGTGCTAGACAGAGTTAAAATTCTTTGAAAATTTAAAGAAGGAAGCAGTTACTTCTGGCTAGCTGTTTGCAGAAAAGAGGGCAGTACAAGGGAGACCAGGAGGGCAATGTTGGGGAAAAGAGAATATTTGTCAAACATCAACAGGTATATTTAATAACGTGGAATTTCTTTTTATATTAAGTGAAATAGTAGATACAAAACCTTATACTATGACCTCAACTGCATAAAAATATGTTGTCACAGAAAAAGTATGAAAAGGAAGGATTCATGTTTACTGTGCTTATCTGGGTGGTGGCATTTTCTGTTGATTTATCTATATTGATCTGAATTTCCCTAAAATTATGTTAGGCTGTTGTAAGAAAGCCATATTCCTTTATATGTAGTCCTATTTTGGCCAAGAAGATAGAAACCTCTGCTACTTTGGTCTTTCAGGAAAATAACTTCTCTCCATTCCCTTCTTTTATTACCCATGGATGTAGGTACCATTGTATCATGTATGAGGGCACACACGTGCACATCCTCTCCTCCCCTCTATTTTTCTTATCCCTTTGTTCCTGCCCTTGTGTTTTTCTGACGTCCTGTCTTCTTTCCCTTTTCTCCTCTGTTTAGCTTAAATATTTCTGGCAGCTTTAGTTTCTGTGAGTAGCACTGAGTACTTTGAGTAGTGCCTTAGCTCAGAATGTTTGCTGACCTCAAAGTGCTCAGCAGTGATGAGAGCAAAATTCTGTGAGCAAGCTAAATGTTTAATGTCAGGTTGTTGGTTATGTGAATTATTGTTCATGAATTTCACAGTGTTATAAGCCTCATTTTCACCAGGACTTTGCTGAAATCGTCACCTCCTCAGATACACTTTCCTTCAAACACCACACTGGTCCCTCACCCCATCCTAGTGTTCTTCACTGTACTTACAGCCATAGTCATTTACTCACTGTGTGTCTCCTGCTCTACAGGGTAAGCTCAGAGCTTACCTTAGAGGACAGAGGTTTTGTCCTCGCTGCTAGACATCTGCAGTGAGTGATGCATAGCAGGCCAGCAGGCCATCAACCAAGATTTTTCTTGACTGAATAATTACAGGCATTATAATTATATACATTTATATTTAATAACATGGAATTTCTTTTTATATTAAGTGAAAGAGTAGACACAAAACTCTTGTACCATGATCTCAACTGCATAAAAATATGTTGTCAGAGAAAAAGTATGGAAAGGAAGGATTAATGTTTACTGTGCTTATCTGGGTGGTGGTATTTTCTGTTGATTTATCTATATTGATCTGAATTTCCCTGATCCCTTACAATGAGCAAATATTTTTTAAAATATAGACTGCTTCAAAAAAGGGTTAATGCTACTGGCTCAGTGCAAAGATTTTGTGGCTGGGACAGCTTGAGGGGATGTGAGAGTGACAGAGAAATCAGTGCCGTGGTTGGGAAAATAACCCATATTGAGCTGACTCATCACCCGAACCAACAGTTGACAATTCCTTTGACTGCTAGTGATATGTTTAAAGTGAAAGTTTTGATGACATAAGTGAAAATGAAGAAGTAGAATCAATAGGCTTAAGATTGTTTTTTAGGGTGTCAGGGCTGAAACATGAAAGAAAGTGAGGGTTTGGCAAAGCCCATATTTTTGTGGTGCCAAGCCACAAATGATCCAAAACTGCTTCAAGATGGGGATGAGACCTCAAGCAGACGCTGCACACAGGCCCTCATACAGCATCCATGTTTTCCAGCCCTGGGACAAGCTGAGGTAGAAGATATATCCTCTAGTTGAGCTGAGCTGATGGATGGAAGCTCTGTGGAGGAGTTGGTCTGCCCTTTCCAGCTTTTTCCATTGCTGCTACTGGTCACCTGTCCTACTCACAGACTCAGCTCTCTCCTTTTCTGAGGCAGAAGAGCATTTTCAAACTTATCAGCAAGTAGGCACTTGGTGGATCCTGCTTTCTAAACTTTGATCTCCATTCTTTGAGTTAATATTTGTGATGTGCCTACTATGTGCCAACCAGTGGACTGGACCTTGGGGATATAGACATTATCAAACAGGCAAAATTCATGCATTTAGGAAGCTTACTTTTAAGTAGGGGGCCTGTAGTCTAGTCTTGAGTGCCTGAAGCCCCAGTCTTCTCTTAAAGCTCTTTGAAAAATTTCTAGACTAGTCCTATCTTTACAATTAGATGGCTACATCAGTTTCCACAGTAGCACTAGTTGCCCTGCAAACAAACTTAGCTATGATCCTGCCTCCCTGCCTTGCTCTTTAGGGATGATCTCCTGAGGAATCTGGACTTGCCTCTCTCTGAACAGAGTCACCTCGAGTTTGGCTATGAGACAAATAGTTAACCACAATAGTCACTTTGCCAACTACTCATATTCCAGTAGCAGTAGTGTAGTAATAATAGCTGCTACTTCTTGATCATTTACTATGCGTTAGAAATGCGCCAAGCTCTTTTTTTCATGTTTTATTTACTACCCATGATATACATAGGTTTTGGTTTCCAGTACAGCCAACCAAACTCCTACCAGATCTTATCCTTCCATAGATAGCAACTGTAAACTGTGGATAAATATAAAAACAAAAATGAAAATACAATAAACTAAGGTACTGAAAAATGACAAAGAAATTACAAGTAGATTCTGGAGGGAAATAGTTTGGAAGAAGGTAGTAGCATGTGGTATGCTTTTTTCATTTTTACAGCTTTTATCCTGAGGATAGACCAAATAAGTTATGCAGAATTAGTAAACCTATGATACAAAACCCACAGTCTTTCCAGCGTAAAGAACCAAATGACAGAGTTCAGGCTAACCACAGCCACTGAAACATGAGGAAGGAATCCTGGAAAAGACATGGAGCTGACTTCTGTTTCTAAACTCTTTCCAAGTCTCTGGCTTACCCCTGCATGTGTGGGGCAGACTGGAAGTAGTTTGTATCTAAGGCTTAAAGAACACACACCAACTGCCAGTGTGAATGTTTGCAGTGGGTGAGTCTGACCAAGTGTGATGGTTAGTGTTATGTATCAACTTGGCTAACCCATAGTATGCAGTTGTTTGAACAAATACTAATGTACAGATAATGTGAAGGTATTTTGTAGATATGGTTAACATGTAAAATAGGTTCACTTCAAGTAAAGGACATTACCTTTGATGATGTGGGTGGGCTTCGTGCACTAGTTGAAGATCTTAAGAGCAAAAACTGGTGTTTCCTGAAGAAGAATTAATTCTGCCTCAAGAGTGCAATATCAAATCCTGCCTGCATTTCCAGCTTCCAGCCTATCCTACAGATTTCAGATTTGACAATTCCACAATGTGTGAACCAATTCCTTAAAGTAAAACTTTTATTATAATATGTGAGTGTGTGAATCCTATGTATATATCTCATATATATCCTATTAGTTATCTGAGTTCTCTGGAGAACCCTGACTGAAACACAAAGTTAATTGCCTGCTAAAAACAAAAATGCCAATACTCTTGCAGACTATAACAGAATCTAGAGGCTCCACAATATAATATTCACAATGTCCAAGATAAAATCCAAAATTACTTTATGCACCAAAAATTAGGAGATTGTGACCCAGTTGCAAGAGAAAAGATAATCAACTGAGAATGACCCTGAAATTATTCCAGTGTTGGAATGAGAAAATAACGATTTTAAATCAGTTATTTTAACTATGCTCAATGAAGTAAAGGAAAATATGCTGTGCTGAATAAAGAGACACAAAATCTCAACAAAGAAAGAAAAACTACCAAAAATAACCAGATGGATATAGTCTTGTGCCCACCAGCACTCTGCACCCATGCTAACACCACCACTGGTGTGAATGTGTGCACAGGTGCTGGCAGGGGCCCACTGAACCCCTAAGCTATGCTGCCACAGCCACTGCTGCAAATGCCAGCATGGAGAATGGCACTCAGGCATCTGCTAGCATCTTGCCACAGCATTCAGGCATCTGGCACTCAGGCATCTGCTAGCATCCTGTCACAGCCAACAAGCATGCATGCCACTGTGCTGCCACTGCTGCTGATGCTGGCATGTGAGGACAAGGATGGATCCCACTGCCATTGCCCTGTGAAGTGCTTTAACTAGCACCACCAATCAGAGTGTTGTGACCAGTGGTCCAAGAGCACTTTGGCTGCTTCAGCACAGCAGGTTCCTAACATTGAAGAGCCACAGGACAAAAATGGGGCCCAATATTAGTCCCTCAGAGTTAGAGCACATAGTCCAGGACTTGGGAGCTGAGCCTTGGCCCCATAAAATCCTCCAGAAATGAAGCCACTTGACTGAACCCACCTTATACCACAATCAAACCTCCAAGGTCATCAAATAGGATAAAAGAAAAAAAGAACATCCAAAGGACAGCAACTTCAAAGACTGAAGGAATGAAGATGAGAAAGAACCAGTGCAACAACTCTGAGAACTCAAAAAACCAGAGTGTCTTATTTCCTCCAAATGACCAAATACTAGTTCTCTAGCAAGGGTTCTTAACCAGCCTGAGATGCCTGAAATGACAAAATTAGAATTCAGAATATGGGTAGAAACAAAGATCATCAAGATTCAGGAGAACATGGAAACCCAATCTAAAGGATCTAAGAATCACAATAAAAGGATACAGGAGCCGAAAGACAAAATAGCCAGTATAGAAAACAATATAACCAATCTGATATAGTTGAAAGACACACTACAAGAATTTTGTAATGCAATCACAAATATTAACAGTAGAACAGACCAAGCTGAAAAAAGTCTCAAGGCTTGAAGGCTGGCTATCTGAAATAAGATAGACAAGAATAAAGAAAAGAAACGTTAAAAAGAATGAACAAAAGCTCCATGAAATATGGGATTATGTAAAGAGACCAAATCTATGAATCCTTGGCATCTCTGAAAGAGACAGAGAGAATGGAAGCAACTTGGAAAACATATTTCAGGATATCATCAATGAGAAATTCCTCAACCTAGCTAGACGGGCTAGGTTCAAATTCAGGAAATGCAGAGAACTCCCACAAATACTTCACAAGATCATCCCATGACACATAATCATCAGATTCTCCAAGGTCAAAATGAAAGAAAGAATGCTAAAGGCCACTAGAGAGAAAAGATAGGTCACTTACAAAAGGAAGCCCATCGGACTAACAGCAGACCTCTTGGCAGAAACCCTAAAAGCCAGAAGAGATTGGGGGCCTATATTCAACATTCTCATTTATTTTTATTTTTATTTTGTTTATTTAATTATTTTGAGACAGAGTCTCACTCTGTCACCCAGGCTAGAGTGCAGTGGCGCAATCTTGGCTTATCACGATCTTCACCCCCCAGGCTAAAGTGACTCTCGTGCCTCAGTCTCCTGAGTAGCTAGGATTACAGCCATGTGTCACCATGCCTGGCTAATTTTTGTATTTTTTTGTAGAGATGAGGTTTTGCTATGTTGCCCAGGCTGGTCTTGAACTCCTGGCCACAAGTGATGGCCTGCCTAAGCCTATCAAAATGCTGGAATTGCAGGCATGAGCCACTGTACACAGCCTTCAACCTTCTTAAAGAAAAGAAATTCCAACTCAGAATTTCATACCCAGCCGAACTAAGCTTCATAAGCAGGGAAAAATAAGAGCCTTTTCAGAAAAGCAAATACTGTGGGAATTCATTGTCACCAGACTTGCCTTACATCAGATCCTAAACAAGCACTAAACATGGAAAGACCATTACCAGCCACTACAAAAACACACTTAAGTACCTACACCGGTGACACTACAAAGCAACTGCCTAAGTAAGTCAGCATAATAACAAGCTAACAACACAACGGCAGGATCAAATCCACACATATCAATACTAAACTTTAAAGTAAATAGGCAAAATATCCCAATTAAAAGGCACAGAGTGGCAAACTGGATAAAGGAGCAAGAGCCAATGGTATGCTGTCTTCAAGAGACCAATCTCACATGCGGTGACACCCACAGGCTCAAAATAAAGGGATAGAGAAAAATCTACCAAGCAAATGGAAACCAGAAAAAAACAGGGGTTGCAATCCTAATTTCAGACAAAACAGACTTTAAATCAACAAAGATTAAAAAAAAAAAAACATAAAAAGGGCATTACATAATGTAAAGGATTCAATTCAACATGAAGACAGAACTATCCTAAATATATATGCACCTAACACAGAAGCACCCAGGTTCATAAAACAAGTTTCTAAAGACCTTCAAAGAGACTTAAGACTCCCACACAATAACAGTGGGAGACTTCAACACCCTACTGACAGTATTAGAGATCATTGAGGCAGAAAATTAATGAAGATATTCAGAACCTGAACTCAATACTAGACTAAATGGACCTGATAGATATCTACCGAACTGTTTACCCCCAAACTACTGAATATACATTCTTTGCATTGCCACATGCCAATACTCTCTAAAATTGACCACACAATTAGACATAAAACAATCCTCAGCAAATGCAAAAGATCTAAAATCATATCAACAACTCTCTTGCACCACAGTGCAATAAAAACAGAATTCAAGACTAAGAAAATTGCTCAGAACCATATGATTACATCAAAATTAAATCAATTGCCCTGGAATGACTTTTGGGTAAATGATGAAACAATGGCAGCAATTAAGAAGTTCTTTGAAATGAATGAGAAAAAAGATGCAACATGTATGAATCTCTGCAATACAGCTAAGCTAGCACAAAGAGGGAAATTTATAGCACTAAATGCCCACATCAAAAAATTAGAAAGATCTCAAGTTAACAGTCTAACATCACAACTAAAAGAAGTAGAGAAGCAAGAGCAAACCAACCCCAAAGCTAATAGAAGACAAAAAAAATTACCAAAATCAGAGCTGAACTGAAGGAGACTGAGACACACACAAGAAACTCAAAATATCAGTGAATCCAGGAGCTGGTCTTTTGAAATACTAATAAGATATATAAAACTAGATAGACTAATAAGAGAAGAGAGAAGATTCAAATACACATGATTAAAAATGACAGGGTGAAAATAACCACTGACCCCACAGAAATACAAATAACCATCAGAGACTATTATGAACACCAGCACAGGCTCAAAGTAGAAAATCTAGAAGAAATAGATAAATTTTGGGACATATACACCCACTCAAGACTGAACCAGGAAGAAACTGAATCCCTAAACAGACCAATGATGAGTTCCAAAATTGAATCAGTAATTAAAAAAAAGCCAGAAAAAGCCCAGGACCAGAAGGATTCACAGCTGAATTCTACCAGATGTGTAAAGAAGAGCTGGTACCATTCCTGCTTAAACTATTCCAGAAAACCAAGGGGGTGGAACTCTTGTTCAACTCATTCTATGAGGCCAGCACCATCCCAATATCAACACCTGGCAGAGATTCAACAGTAACAAAACTTCAGGCCAATATACTTGATGAACACTGACGCAAAAATCTTTAACAAAATACTAGCAAACTGACTCCAGCAGTCCATCAAAAAGCTAATCCATCATGATCAAGTAGGCTTTATCATTGGGATGCAAGGTTGGTTAAACCTATACAAATCAATAAATGTGATTCATCACATAAAGAGAACTAAAGACAAAAATTACATGATCGTTTCAACAGATACAGAAAAGGCTTTCAAGAAAATACAACATCCCTTTATGTTAAAAGCTCTCAACAAACCAGGTATTGATAGAACAGACCTCACACTAATACAAGCCATCTATGACAAACCCACAACCAACATCATACTAAATGGGCAAAAGCTGGAAACATTCCCCTTGAACACCAGCATATGACAAGGATGCCCTCTTCCACCACTCCTACTCAACATAGGAGTTTTATTGGAAGTCCTGGCCAGTGCAGTTAGGCAAGAGAAAGAGATAAAGGCATACAAATAGGAAGAGAGGAAGTCAAACTATCCCTGTCTGTAGATAACATGATCCTTTATCTAGAAAATCCCATAGTCTTGGTCCCAAAGCTCCTTAAGCTGATAAACAATTTCAGCAATGTTTCAGGATACAAAATCAATGTATAAAAATTACTAGCATTTCTATACACAAACAACAGCCAAGACAAGAGCCAAATCAGGAATGCAATCCCATTCACAATTGCCACAAAAAGTAAAACATCTAGGAATATAGCTAACCAGGGAAGTGAAAGATCTCTACAATGAGATCTTACAAAATACTGCTGAAAGAAATCCAAGATAACACAACAAATGGAAAAACATTCCATGCTCATAAATAGGAAGAAACAATATCACTAAAATGGCCACACTGTCCAAAGCAATCTACAGATTCAATGCGATTCCTACCAAACTACCAGTGACATTCTTCACAGAACTAGAAAAAAAAATTCTAGTTTCATATGGAGGCAAAGAAAAGGCCCAAATAGCCAAGGCAATCCTAAGTAAAAAGAGTAGGGAGGGGGGAAAAGCAAAACAGAGGCATCATGCTGCCTGACTTTATACTACAGGGCTACAGTAACCAGAACAGCATCGTACTGATACAAAAACAGACATATAGACCAATGAACAGAATAGAGAGCCCAGACATAAGGCCACACATCTACAACCATCTGATCTTCTACGAAGCTGACAAAAGCAATGTGGAAAGGACTCCCTATTTAATAAATGGTGCTGGGATAACTGGCCAGCCACATGCACAAGATTGAAACTGGACCCCTTCCTTACACCATATAGAAAAGTCAACACAAGATGGATTAAGGATGTAAAACAAAAAACTGCAAAAACTCTGGAGGACACTGTATGCGGTATCATTTTTAACATAGGACCTGGCAAACGTTTCATGATGAAGATGCTAAAAGCAGTCCCAACAAAAGCAAAAATTGACAAATGATATCCCATTAAAGTAAATGAGTTCTACACAGCAAGAGAAACTATCAACACAGTAAATAGACAATGTACAGAATGGGAGAAAATGTTTGCAAACTATGCATCTGATAAAGGTCTAATATGCAGCATCTGTAAGAAACTTAAACAAATGTATAAGAAAAAACCAACCCCATTACAAAGTGGGCAAAGGACATGAACAGACACTTCAAAAGAAGACATACATACAGCCAACAAGCATATGAAAAAAACTCAACATCACTGATCATTAGAGAAATGCAAATAAAAACCATCATGAGATACCATCTCACATCTTTTTAATAATAGCCATTCTGACCATGAGATGGCGATTATCAAACATTTATTTTTATTAAATTTTTAAATATCAAATTAAACATTTATTTCTATTAAAATCTTATTTTTTATTTTATTAAATATTTATTATTTTTAATATTAGCCATCTCACAGACATAATGGCTACTATTAAAAAGTCAAAAAATAACAGATGCTGGCGAGGTTGCAGAGAAAAATGCGTACACGCTGTTGATGGGACTGTGGATTAGTTCAGCCTCCGTGGAAAGCAGTGTGGTGATTCCTCAAAGAGCTGAAAACAAAACTACCATTTGACACAGCAATCCCATTGCTGGGTATATACCCAAAAGAATATAAAGCATTCTATCATTAAAACAGATGCAAGCATATGCTCATTGTGGCACTATTCACAATAGCAAAGACGTGGAATCAACCTAAATGCCTATCAATGGCAGACTGGATAAAGCAAATATGGTACATATACAACATAGAATACTATACAGCCATAAAAAAGAATGAGATAATGGATGGAGCTTGAGGCTGTTATCCTTAACAAACTAACATATGTACAGAAAACCAAATACCACATGTTCTCACTCATAAGTGGGAGCAAAAGGATGAGAACAAATGGACACAAGGGGAACAGACACTGGGGCTTACCTAAGGGTGAAGGGTGGGAGGAGAGAGAGGAGCAGAAAAAATAACTATTGAGTACTAAGATTAGTACTAAGTGAGGAAATAATCTATACAATAAACCTCTGTGACATAAGTTTACCCACGTAACAAACCTGCACATGTACCCCTGAACCTAAAAGTTTATTTAAAAAGTGATGTGAAATTTGATAGTGGTAGTGGTTGCACAACTCAGTGAATGTGCTAATAAAACTACGGAATTGTGTGCTTATAAAGGGTGAATCTTATGGTTTGTGAATTATATCTCAGTATAACTGTGATTTTTAAAAAATTAACAGTCTCAAAAAAATAAAAATAAAACAGAAAATATTCAAAAGAAATAATGTGGACCTCTAGGATGTGTCTGCCAAAAAAAAAAAAAAAAACAAAAACAGAAAATTCTGTAAAAATAAAAAGAACAAAATGAAAATGATCAAACTGAAGAGTATAATATGTGCAATAATTATTCACTGGATGTGCTTAACAGTAGATTGCAGATAACGGAGGAAACTATCTGTAGATATTATGCAAACTAAAGAGGAGAGAGTAAAAATATTATTGAAGAAGTGAGAGGAGACTTGAGGAACTATGGGAAAATAGCAAAAAGTCTCCTGGACATTCAGAAGAAGGTGAAAGAAATAAGGAATAAAAATTGTTGAAAGGGTTAGTGGCTAAAATTTCCCAAACTTTGGAGAAGACATAAATTTACAAATTCAAGAATTCAGAAAATGCCAAGCAGGATAGATATAAAGAAATTCACATCTAGGGAGATCACAGTCAAATTACTAAAAACCAAAAATAGAAACCTTTGGAGCACTCAGAGAGAAATGACACATTACATAAAGGGCAATAATAACTCAAAATCTTGCTGATTTCTTATCAGTAAATATGGAGTCCAGAGAGTCGTGCAATAATCTTTAAAGTGTTAAAAAAATACCCAGAATAAAAATAACCAATGATATTTTCGTTCAAGAATAAAGGTGAAAATAAAGATATCTTACAACAAAACAGGCCAGGCACAGTCGCTCACGTCTGTAATCCCAGCACTTTGGCAGACCAAGGCAGGAGGATTATTTGAGCCTAGAATTTTGAGGCTGCAGTAAGCTATGATTGCACCACTGCATTCCACCCTGGGTGACAGAGTGAGACCCCATCTCAAATAAAAGAACCCCCCACAACAATTAAACAAAAAAGATAAAACCAACATAATTTATTGTCAGAAGATCTGCATGATACGAAATAATGAAGTGTTTCAGATTCAAGGAAAATGATACCAGATAGAAACATCTGTCCTTAGGAAGGAATAAAAGGCATTGGAAATTTTAAATATCTGGATAAACATAACATACTAGATTTTCTTAATTTATTTAAAATAAAGCAAAAATTGTAGCATTGTCTTAGGACTGTAATATTTTCAGTTATTATATTACGGCAGCTATAACATAAGGGAAGGGGTGATAAATGAGTATATGGGGTTACAAGGTTTCTACATTTTATGATGTGTTACGCTATTAACTCTAAATAGAGATAAAAGTTAAGGACATAAATTGTAATCCCCAGAGCAATCACTAAAAGATTTCTTTTAGAAAAAGAAAATAATGCAAAGAGAACTAAAAAAACCAAAAGATAAAATAAATAGAATTCTAAAAATTATTTTAAAAACCAGGCAGTAAAGAACAAAGAAAGAAGCAAAAAGAGAGGAGACAAACAGAAAACAAACTAAACTAGCAGACCTAAATTCAACCATGACAATAGTTACAATAAATGTGAATGGACTAAATACTTCAATTAAAACCCAGAAATTAACAGAATTTATTTTTTTAAAAAAGCAAGAAGCAAAGCAACTATATCCTACCTAAAAGAAATGCCTGTAAGTAAGTGGATGGAAAAAGATAACCACGTAAACAGTAAACATAAACAGCTGGACTTGCTGATTTTGTAGCAAACAGATTACTGCTTTCGCCAGTTATCAATTTTATTGTCTCCCAGCTCCAAATCCATCCTCCTTTGGCCTGCTTTATGGTACTGTAGGTGGACTTTAAATATTTCACCATTGCCAACTTTGTTACGTTATGTCAGTAGAGGGTGCTGCAGGGACACGGTAGGAGGAAAGGGCTTTTCTTTCCGGTTTGGTGTACTTTTCTTCTTTCTCCCAGGCATGAGTGGCCTGTAGTGTGTGTGCAAGACATCCAGTGGTGCTCGCTTCCCACTGACTTAGTGGCAACTTTCTGGGCAGCTTTCTAGCCAGTTTGCACCAGCTGACATTCCAATGACTCTTTCGGGTGCCTCAGTAGGTGCCTTTCCAGTGAGTTCCAGCGACACCTTAGTGAGTAGTTTCCTAGTGAATTTTGTCAGGACCCTACTGTGCTGCCAGTTCTAGTTTGTACCTCCATGAACTTCTCGGCCATCCAATGTGCCAAACTCACATTTCCAACCAGGTCTGAGTCTCATGCTTCCGGCCCTGTTCAAAATGTGTTTCTTCCTTAGGTACTGTTCCTTAGCCCCAGAGGTAGTAGCTGCTCTCTGTACCTGCCATTCATCATTCATGGTAGAGCTTGCTCTGCCCCTTAGTAATTAATCTCCTGTTACTACCGAACAATTCCTTAGATTAAATTTGCCCTGTTCCACTTCTGTGTGATTTCTGGACCTTGACTGATATAGATCTCAAGACAAAGAGCTTTATTAAGGACAAAAAATAACATAATTACAAAATAAAAAATAAAAAGCCCCTTTATGGATTGCTGGAGCTTAGGGGTTCTGGTCTTCAGTGAGCTATGATAGCAAAACTGCACACCAGTCTGGGAAACAGAATGAGACCCTGTCTCAGGAAAAAAAATCAAACAAAAACAAAAACAAAAACAAAAATAAAAACAAAAAACAGACAAAAAAAGCCCCTATGAAATGATAAAAGGTCTCATCAAGAAGACATTTAGAATTGACAAAAAGGAACAAATGGATCATTACAGTAGTAACTGGAGACTTTAACATCCTTCTCTCAGAAATTAGAAAAAATAAAAGACATAAATGTTCTGAACAAAACTATCAAACACCTTAAACTAATTAATATGTATAGGACACTATGCTGTAACTAGAAGATACTCATTCTTTTCAAGTACATGTGTTCATCAGAGTGATTATGTTTTCAGCTACAAATTAAAGAAATTAAAACAATTAAAAAGGATTAAATTTATATAAAGTATGTTCTCTGATCTCAATGGAATTAATTTGAAGTCAATAATAACAATAAGATACCTTGAAATATCACAATATTTGATAATAAATATACTTCTAAATAATACATGGATAAAAGAAATCATGCAGAAAATTAGAAAACATTTTGATCTAAATTCGAATAAAAATACAACATATCAGAATTTGCAAGATAGAACAACAGCAATGTTTAGAGAGAGTTATTGCTCTGAACAATGACCCCTGAGACTACTGTAAGAAGCCACCAAAAGAACACCAAAATAAATGCAAAATTAGAAAAAAGAAAGTAATAAAAATAATATGTCTAAGATAAAGTGTATAAAAAATGGCTAATAATTTTTAAAATTAGTAAAGCCCAAAGGTGAGTTTTTTGAAGACTCAGAAACTTAGTAAAACTCTAGCTAGACTGATTAAGGAAAAGGATGAGAAAATACAAATTATCAATATCAAACATAAGAAAAGGGATTATTATTTTGGATACTACAGATACTTAAATGATATTAAAAGAATATTATTAATAACTTATGTCACATATTCAACAACATATTCAACACATTATTTGAAAAATACTGTTTACCAAAACTGACATAAGAAAAAACAGAAAATCTGAATAGCCCTATTTCTAATAAGAAATTAAATCATTATCAAATCCTCTCACAAAGAAAACTTCAGGTCTAGAAGGCTTTACTGGTTCTATCAGACAACAAAAAAAGAAACAAAATTGGCTGGGTGCAGTGGCTCATGCCTGTAATCCCAGCACTTTGGGAGGCTGAGGCGGGCGGATCATGAGGTCAGGAGGTTGAGAGCATCCTGGCCAACATGGTGAAACCCTGTCTCTACTAAAATACAAAAAATTAGCTGGGCATGGTGGCACGTGCCTGTAGTCCCAGCTACTTGGGAGGCTGAGGCAGGGGAATCACTTGTACCCGGGAGGTGAAGGTTGCAGTGAGCTGGAGATTGCAGTGGGCCAAGATCGAGCCACTGCACTCCA
Source organism: Homo sapiens (assembly GCF_000001405.40). Lineage (NCBI taxonomy): Eukaryota > Metazoa > Chordata > Mammalia > Primates > Hominidae > Homo > Homo sapiens. Next base: position 79,710,623 of record NC_000011.10, read on the forward strand.
GCTTGGTGACAGAGCAAGACTCCAACTCAAAAAAATAAGTAAATAAATAAATAAAATTAAATCCTATCAAATCCTATCAGACATTAAAGAAAGAACTGAAACCAATCTTACATAAATAGTTTCACAAAACAGAGAAGAAAAACTTCCCAACTTGTTTTATGAAGCCAGCATAACCATAATGCCAAAATCTGACAAAATATTAAAAGTAAATAAGGCTAATATCCCTTATGAACATACATGCAAAAATACCTAACAAGATTAGCAAGTTGAATCAGTAATAGAAAAAAAGAATAATATATCATAATCATGTAAGTTTTAATCCCACCATGCTAAACTTAATTAATGCTATTTGCTATATTAATATAGAAGAAAAATCACATAATCACTTCAATAGATGCAGAAAAAGAAATTTACAAAATTTAAAATCCATTCATGTTAAAAAAAAGTCCCAGAAAACTAAAAATAGATGAACATTTCTATAAGCTAATAAAGGACTCTACCAGAAACCCTGTAGCAATTATTATACCTAATGGTGAAATACTGAATACTTTTCCTAGGCTGAAAATACTGAATACTTTTTCTAGGTTGTGTCTCCTAGATAGGAAATGAAGAAAGGATCCAACAATAAAAATACTGGAAAGTTAATAAAGTGGATGAAGTAAAACTGTTTCTATCTGTAGCTAATATAATCATTTACACAGAAAATCCACAGGAAACTGCAATACATATATTAGACCTAATAAGTAAATTTAGCAAAATAGTAGGGTACAATGTTAACATGTAAAAATCACTAAAAATTTATAGCAGTAAATATGTAAATACTTTCATTTACATGTTATACAACATAAAATATTTTGGAATAAATTTAACAAAGATGTAGAGAACCTTTACACTGAAGGCTACAAAATGTTATTGAGCAAAACTAAAATAGATCTGAATAAATGGAAGGATATACTGTGTTCAATTTCTTAAGATAACAACTCAACTTACATTGATCTATAGATTCAATACAATCCAAGTAAATTCAATACAATGAATCCAAGAAAGCTTTTTTCCCCTAGTATCTCTGACCTGGCCAAACTTCCTTTGCCTGATCTATTGTCTACTAATAGCAGGTATGAAGTAGGAACTTTCAGGAACTTTATAATCTGGGCCCTGACTATATTTGCAGCATCATCTCCTGTGATCCCACCCCTACTGTGTACTTCTGGCATGCCAAACTACAAACAACTCTCCCAAAGTGTCATTATATTTCTTTTTGTTTTTCACTTTTATTTTAGGTCCAGGGGTACATGTGCATGTTTGTTACACAGGTAAATTTTGTGTCCTGGGGGTTTTGTGTACAGATTATTTCATCACTGAGGTAATCAGCATGGTACCTGATAGGTAGTTTTTGATCCTCCCCTTCCCTCCTCTGACCCTCCAACTTAAACTGGCCTTGGTGTCTGTTGTTCTTTTCTTTGTATCCATATATACTCAATGTTTAGCTCTCATTTTATATGGGAGAACATGTGGTATTTGGTTTTCTGTATGCATTAGTTTGCTTAGGATAATGGCTTCCAGCTCCATCCATGTTGCTACAAAGGACATTATCTCATTCTTTTTTATGGCTGCATAGTATTCCATGATGTATATGTACCACATTTTCTTTATCCAATCTACCATTGATGGGCATTTAGGTTAATTTCATGTCTTTGCTATTGTGAATAGTGCTGTGATGCACATATGTGTGTATGTCTTTATGGTAGAATGATTTACATTCTTTTGTGCATATACCCAATAATGGGATTGCTGAGTTGAAGGGTAATTCAGTTTTAAGTTCTTTTAGAAACCACTACACTGCTTTCCACAATGACTGAACTAATTTACATTCCCACCAGCAGTGCATAAGTGTTCTCTTTGCTCCACAACCTTGCCAGCATCTGTTATTTTTTGATATTTTAATAATAGCCATTCTAACTGGTGTGAGATGGTATCTCATGATGGTTTTGATTTTTACTTCTTAATGATCAGTGATGTTGAGCTTTTTTTCATACACTTGTTGGCTGCATGCATGTTTTCTTTTGAAAAGTGCCTGTTCATGTCCTTCGCCCACTTTTTAACGGGATTGTTTGTTGTTTACTTGTAAGTTTGTTTAAATTTCTTATAGTTGCTGGTTATTAGATATTTGGCAGATGTATAGTTTACAAATATTTTCTTCCATTCTGTAGTTTGTTCACTTTGCTCATTGTTCCTCTTCCTGTTCAGAAACTCTTTAGTTTAATTAGGTTCCATTTATCAGTTTTTGTTTTTGTTGGAATTGCTTTTGGCATCTTCATCATGAAATGTTTGTCAGGTTCTATGTCCAGAATGGTATTGCCTTGTTTATTTTCTAAGGTTTGTATAGTTTTAGGTTTTACATTTAATTCTTTAGTCTATCTTGAGTTGATTTTTTTATGAGGTATAAGGAAGGAGTTCAGTTTCAGTCTTGTGCATATGGCTAGCCAGTTATCCCCTACCATTTATCGAATAGGGAGTCCTTTCCCCATTGCTTGTTTTTTGTTGATTTTGTCAAACATCAGATTGTTGTAGGTGTGTTGCATTATTTCTGGCTTTCTATTCTGTTTCAGTGGTCAATGTGTTTTTGTATCAGTACCATGATGTTTTGTCCACTTTAGCCTTGTAGTATAGTTTGAGGTTGAGTAATGTGATGCCTCCAGCTTTGTTCTTTTTGCTTAATATTGCCTTGGTTATTCAGGCTTTTTGGTTCCACTTAAATTTTAAAATAGTTTTTTCTAATTCTATGAGGAATATCACTGGTACTTTGATAGGAATAGCATTAAATTTGTAAATTGTTTTGGGCAGTACGGCCATTTTAATATTGATTCTTCCTATCCATGAACATGGAATGTTTTTCCATTTGTTTGTGTCATCTCTGATTTCTTTGAGCAGTGTTTTGTAATTCTGTTTAGAGAGGTTTATAATCTCCCTGGTTAGTGGTATTCTTAGGTATTTTATTCTTTTTGTGGCAGTTGTGAGTGGGATTGCATTCTTAATTTGGCTCTCAGCTTGGATGTTGTTGGTATATGGGAATGCTACTCGTTTTTGTAAATTAATTTTGTATCCTAAAATTGCTGAAGTTGTTTATCAGCTTAAAGAGCTTTTGGGTGAGATTATTGGGTTTTCAAAATGTAGATCATGTTGTGTGCAAACAGGGATAGTTGGACTTCCTGTTTTTCTATTTAGATGCCCTTTTTTTCTCTCTCTTGTTTGATTGCTCTGGCCAGGACTTCCAATACTATGTTGAACAGGAATGGTGAAAGAAGGCATCCTTGTCTTGTGCCAGTTTTCAAGGGAAATTCTTGCAGCTTTTCCTCATTTAGTATGATGTTGGCTGTGGGTTTGTCATAGATGGCTCATATTATTTTGAGGTCTGTTCTTTCAATGCCTAGTTTGTTGAGAGTTTTTAATATGGAGGGATGCTACATTTTATCAAAAGCCATTTCTGCATTTATTGAGAAGATCATGTGGTTTGTGTTTTTAGTTCTGTTTATGGGATGAACCACATTTATTGATTTGTATATGTTGCACCAACCTTGCATACAGTGATAAAGTGTACTTGATCATGGTGGATTAGCTTTTTGATGTACTGCTAGCTTTGGTTTGCCAGTATTTTGTTGCAGATTTTTGCATCAATGTTCATCAAGGATACTGGCCTAAAGTTTATTTTTGTTGTTGTTATTGTTGTCGTGTTTCTGCCAGGTTTTGGTATCAGGATGGTGCTGGCCTCATAGAATGAGTTGGACAGGAGTTCTACCTCCTCAATTTTTTTGGAATAGTTTCAGAGGAATAGTACCAGCTCTTCTGTATACATCTGGTAGATTTCAGCTTGAATCCTTCTGGTTTTTGTATTTTTTTGGCTGGTAGGCTATTTATTACTGATTCAATTTTGGAACTCATTATTGGTCTGTTCAGGTATTTAATCTCTTCTTGGTTCAATCTTGAGATGTTTTATTTTTCTAGGAATTTATCAATTTCTTCTAGATTTTCTGTGCATAGAGGTGTTCATAATAGTCTCTGAGGGTTTTTGCATTTCTGTGGGGTCAGTGATAATGTTTCCTTTGTCATTTCTGATTGTGTTTATTTGGGTTTTCCCTCTCTCTTTTCTTATTAGTCTAGCTAGCAGTTTATCTATCTTATTAATTCTTTCAAGCTAGCAGTTTATCTATCTTATTAATTCTTTCAAAGAACTAACTCTTGAATTCATTGATCTTTTGTATGGTTTTCTCGTCTCCATTTTCTTCAGTTCAGCTTCGATTTAGGTTTTCTTGTGTTCTGCTAGCGTTGGGGTTAGCTCGTTTCTGTAGTTCTTCTCGTTGTGATGTTAAGTTGTTAATTTGAAATTTTTCTGACTTTTTGATGTGAAATTGACAAGCCAATTCTAAAATTTACATGGAAATGCAAGGGTATCCAAAGAAAGCTTGAAAGAACAAAGTTACGTGGTTAACGCTACCTGATTTCAAAATTTGCTATACACCCATAGTATTCAAGATAGTGTGATACTACATAATGATCAAGAAATAGATCAATGGTATAGAATAAAAAACATGGACTAGACCCTCATTTATGCTGTCATTTTATTTCTTAAGACAACAAATCAATCCAGTAGGAAAACAAACATTTTTTCCAAAATGTGGTTATTGTGGTAAAATTCATATAAAAAAATTACTATCTTAACCACCTAAAATTGACTATTTGATGGCATTACATATATTTATATTGCTGTGCAACGATTACTGCCATCTTTCTCCATAACTCTTCGTCTTATAAAACTAAAACTCTGTATACATTAAATCATAACTCCCCATCCCCTCCCCTAGGCCTTGGCAACCACTGTTCTACTTTCTGTCTCTACGATTTTGATTATTCCAAGTTCCTCATATAAGTGGTATCATATAGTATTTGTCATTTTGTGACTGGTTTATGTTACTTGGCATAATGTCATCAAGGTTCATCTATGTTGTAGCATACGTCAGAACTTCATTTCTTTTTCAATAAAGCTGAATAACATTTTGTTATACATATGTACCACATTTTGCTTATCCATTCTTCTGTCTTTGGACACTGTGTTGCTTCCATATTTTAATTATTGTAATAATGCTGATAATAAACATGGATGTACAAATATCTCTTTGAGACCCAGATTTTAATTATTTTGAGAATATACTCAGAAGTTGAATTTTGGATCATATAGTAATTCTGTTTTGAATTAAAAAAAAGAACTTCCATAGTGTTTACCACAGGGGTGTTACCATTTTACATTCCCACCAATGGTAAACGGGGTTTCAATTCTTCCACATCCTCCCCAATTTGTTATTTTAGGGCTTTTTGTTAATAGCCAAAAAATTTGTTATTTTTTAACAAATATGCCACAACTCAATATCTGTACCAAAAACAAAAACAAAAAATCATAACAATAAATCTGTACCCAATATACAAAATTAATTTGAATAAACCATTTAACTCTCTCTCTCAGTAGTCTTGTTCATTCCCACTAGGGAAGCTGAGAACTCCTGCAAGATTATACTATGTAAATGGTAAAGTCAGCCTTTGAAGCCAGATTTCTCTGTCTTCTATACCTGTGCTGTTTGTTGACTTTTGTTTCATCCTTGAGTTCTATCTCATCATCTTTTTCATCACTGAACCACCAGGAACCCTGTAAATACTGGTTGAACAGAGGATTGAATGGCTTCTAGAACTCCCTGCTGCCTGCACACAATCCTTTCTACAAAATGCAGCACACTCCTAGTAATCAATCTCTGGTCTCCTTCTCTATGGAACTTGGTTTTAAAGTCTCATGTTTAGAAGGCATAACCAAATTATGAGAGAGAGAGAAAAAAAAGAAGATCATTAAAAGCCTGCACACTGGAATAAGGGCCATTTGTACCTAAAGAGCTAGTGACATATGATTAAGAATAAAATTTAAAAAATTGGTTTAAAATCAACATAATATTTCCTCTGATTCCATTTAGAGACAGTTTAAAATATTCAGTTTGCTTATCTTTAAAATTAAGAGGCAAAGAGTGGGGTCATCAACTTCTATCTAAAGTACAGTACAATTATTGATGAGAGAGGGCCTGAAGGAGGCTAGGCAGTACTGGAAGACAAAATGGGGGAAAAATGTGGAAGGAAGATTGGGGAAAGAGGAGGCAAATGCAGAGGGCAAGACAGTAAGGGAACATTCTCCTTGTTACACAATACGCAGAACCTGCCACAGTTTTAAAGTATCTAGATAGAAGGACTCTGTCCTGGAAAGTCTTGCCTTCCCCTTGGGGTTGGGATTTCTAATGCTCCCAAGGTGAACCAGTTCCCAAGACTATGATGTTCTGCTTTTAAAATCTAGCCTCAGGGTAGAGAAAGGCCTTTGTTGCATAGTGGAGAGCCTCTGAGCTCTCAAAATAACATTGCCAAGCACTGAGAAAAACACCAATGGAATAGAATGAGAAAAATAGAGGCACCCAAGTCACTGTGATATTCTTTAAAAACAGATTTCTGACCCTACAAGGGTTAAACTTGAGCCCCACAGGGCTGGTGCACAACCAAGGACTCCCTGCCTGGCTTCCTGCCTTCTCAGTTTAAGGCCTGCCTCCTTACTGCTTCTATTTACCTTATTTCTTGCCAGTAGGTCTGTCTGCAAGAGTCCTTGTCACCTTCCCAGCTAAGGTCCCCTAACCCCTTCTTCAGTTTCCTTGGGTAACTTATACTCAGTTTGTTTCTTCATTTTCCAAAATGAGGAAAATGATACTTCCACAGTCTTCAGCTGCTTGTGTTGATGGACATAAGGACGTCATAGTCACTTGCTCAGCTGGAAGTATTTTGTGATTTGGTTTGTGACTCTTAATCATTCATGGAATTTATCAACCAAATGACAATTTTAGAGCTGAAGAGAGTCCTGTTCATAATTACATGGAAACAAGAGTTGTACATGGACTGTCCTGGGATAAAGGTATGGTCATCCCAGTGATAGACTCACAGTAAAGAGATACCACCATTCTAAGCAATCGTATTATACCTTGTAATGAAAATTATCACAAAAACAGTAACAATTCTATTTTCTTTCAGAAAGATAAAAAGGGAGTGAGGCATACATGTACAACTATTCAGGAGAGTGAGAGGGAGAAAGGAAATCAAAGAGGATAAGGATGAGAACAAAAGAGAGGAAGAGACTTAGGTGACACCTCTGAAGGTACTAGAGTGAATGTTGAAAGCTTAAGTCCATTTTTATGTTTATACAGGAGATACTGGTCCTTTGAAATGTTAACTGCTCTATTTCCTTAATTCTAAGAGAAACACCTTTTCACATTTTAATTATTCTGAAATCAGAATGCATATTACAAGGGATGTCAGAAAATAACTCTTTAGCTCCTAGAAAGAGGAATAATTTGTGACAGAGTTCTTATTGCCTATACATGTATGAACTTGGCAATGCACAGCAGGTAGATCTGTTCAGACTAACAGCTGAGTTGATATATTTGCATTGGTAGCACCATATGTGGTTAAATTTTACATTAAATCTAGATGTATAATAATTGCTCAAAATGGCTTCAGCAAGACTGCATTGTGATGTCACGTTATAGCAAAAATTTAATGCCTGCAGAAGACAACTGGCACATTCCAAGCAATGCAATTAAAGGCATTGGAAAGCACCAAGTACCTTCGAGTGCTTCATAGAATTTTCAAGTCTAGTAAAGGTAAATGTGGATAAGCAACGTTTCAAGAACTACAACTTAGGTGCCTATGATATCTGGTAGAAGGTTAGGCTGAAACAGAAATTTTTTAATCTCTAGAGATAACTAGTTTAATTAAGGGAATACCAAAAAGGAGCCATGAGTTTAACCATATAGCTAATCTAGATCAAATTGTGGTCTTCCTCCGTTTGCCTTGAAATCGCACTGTCGGGCCAGGCGCGGTGGCTTATGTCTGTAATCCTAGCACTTTGGGAGGCTGAGGCGGGTGGGTCACGAGGCCAGGAGATCGAGACCATCCTGGCTAACACGGTGAAACCCCATCTCTACTAAAAATCCAAAAATTAGCTGGTCGTGGTGGCGGATGCCTGTAGTCCCAGCTACTCGGGAGGCTGAGGCAGGAGAATGGCGTGAACCTGGGAGGCGGAGCTTGCAGTGAGCCGAGATCGTGCCACTGCACTCCAGCCTGGGCGACAGAGCCAGACTCCACCTCAGAAAAAAAAAAAAAAAAAAGAAAAAAAGAAATTGCACTGTCAATTGCAAAGGTGTTAAAGAGGACAAGAGATGTAAATTAGGCTCAGCCCCTGATGCAATGCCTAACTGCAGATGGCCAAAAGGGATTCTGAAGAATTCTAAGTGTTAAGAAGGATTAGATTCAAATTTTGATCATGACACTTAAAATAAATGATGGGTATATGGGTAAATAAATGTTGTAGAGCAGGAGTTTTTTTAGCTAATTTTCACATTTATTTCACTCCCTTACCTGCCAATGACTGCCCCACCATTATTGAATTAATGGTCTGTTTCATAATTGACTTTGTTTTAAAGTTAAGCAAGTAGAATACTTGTCAGCCCACAACTTCCTTAATATGCATCTTTGGAGGCTCCACCATCAAATGAATAACCCAATTTTCCTAGCCTGATGGGCAAAGGTAATAACTAGAACACTATATTTTCCAGAACTGAACCAGAAAACCAGATTTCTGGTTTAAATTGGTTAAACTGACAAAGAATCAGGTTTAGCACTAAGGAGAAAGATGTGTACTTCTGATATTATTATACATTTTAATACAGATACTAGTAGCTCAATTCCTGAATTAAGAAAAATGTAGAATGTGATACTGATACCACTAAAGGATAATATAAAATTATTTAATTTTGACAGCATTCATGTCACATCAATGCAGAAATTTTAAAAATTAACCAGATATGAATTATGAAGTAGCTATTAGAATATTTAACATTAAAGGTGAATACCAGATGAGAAAATGTATTTTTTTAAAAATCCAGAATTAGAAACTTTAGCCTCAACGTAAAATGAAACATTCATTGACTGTGCTTCTTAGATTACTTCTTTTAGATTTTAAGTGTCTCACTTTGGAAAGCTAGAATTTACTAGACCATTCAAAAAGCTAAGGAAAAAAGAGCAAAACACATCAGCTAAAAGGGTAATCACTTGTGTGTTGAGAACACTATTTTCTTTCTGTTTTTAATAGAGTATTGGCAGAAATATTTTTGTTCAGATTACAGACAAATCATTCTATCTCACTTACCAAAAAGTAAAAACTGATTTCAAATGAGGAAATAAAATATTATTTCCCCGTTACATACATAATTGTACTGACCATTTATTTGCTGCTCTGTTCTATATTAATGTTTGCAATTGAACCAGATTAAACAGTATGGTAAGGGTGTAAATAATTTCCTGCAGGTGTGCTGAGGAACACAACTAAAATATTCCTTGCAACTTATTTCAGGTGGCATTTTGGGATTTTAAGATGTGCACAATATGTTTTTCAAAGGTAACTGAAATTCTGATTTTGTTTTTTATGCTGTTAAAAAGTGAAAAGGATTTGAGTATACCAATGTTTTCAACAATGTGCTGACAATCCAAAAGTGATTACATTGTACTTGGATGGGAGAAATAGAAATGGAATTGGCTTAGAACCAAAAATAAAAACAGTAAAGAATTTGTGATATGTGCTGATGGGAATGTGGGAAGGGATGGAGTAAAATGCGGAGAGGTTGCTAGAGGACATATACAGACATTATGTTCTCAACCAAAATCACAAGGTTTGTTACTGCAAACGTAACAGTGGAAACAATAGGATAGAAAATCATGGCTGCCTCAGAAAAATCCAAAAATTGTCCTTCCAAGAGTGTATAAAGAGGTAGTAAAACATTGACAAAGGTGTTAGTATGGGGAAAACTATAAATAAGAAACCAATTACTGTAAAGTGAATTACATTTTTTGGACTTGTTTCTGTTTTCCCCAAATTATTGCTAGTTGTACAAGGCAAAATGTGTGGGTATGAAAAAAAATGTGTTATGTTAACTGTGCCTTCTGAGTACATTTATTATTTCCAATCTGCATTTATGCATCCAGAAATATGTTGTGCTAAAAACAAGAAACAACTCAGTCTCCAGAATCAACTCTTTTTTTTATAGAAACAAAAAAACAGCTTATCACACAACTCTAGGTATTGTGCCTCCCAATAAACAAAACCCCAAATCAACCTTTCCCTCACACAAAAAAGAACAATATCCCATTCAAAAACAACAAAACATGCTCTGAAGAAGAGACTAGAATAGATAACATGTCTGGAAACGTATTCTATTCTTCCATTAGAATGCAGCTTATGTGAAGGTCAGAAATCTTTTCAGAAAGTTTTAAAATATCTCATTTAATGTCTGCCCTTTGATTTATTTTCCAATCTGGGGTAAGCTTTTCATCTTGCCACCAACATTTCAATAACATATCAAACCAAAGGAGTTACAGAAGCAAAATTTCATTATTGAACATCAGGTATATTTGCAATGTGAATAAATGATCAGTTTTTGAACAAGACAAAAAAGTGATTTTCTTTTTCAGATATATTTGTCACTTTGTAACAGGATTCCTTCAAACACAAAAGCTTTCTAGGGGATTTACATTTTATATATGCTTCATGAACATTTGGTTTATATACAACTCTTCCACAATGCAACTATGACCCAAGGGAAGTATACCTCTAAAGGTGTATGTTATAACTATATATCCAGAGTAATATACTAGATACAGGTGTGGGCAGAACTCTGAAGACTTTGGGGTAGATTTGAAAATTATGAATAAAAATGACCCAAGAATAGAGAAAATTAATCAAATCAAGCTTTCACCATAACTTGGCTCATGACAAAAGGTGACAAATGAGAAGTGAAGAACCATATAACTCACCAATATGACCAATGTTTGTCACCAGAGACCCATGACAAATCCAAGCTCCATTGAACATTGATCTATAAAGATAAGGAAGAAAAGAGTTATCACTTTTGTGGAGATGAAAATATTTTTGTGCAAGGGGTACAGTTTGGACACATTCTGATAGAACCATATTTCAAGGCAGGCTTGGGTATAGGGTACAGAGAGAAACAGTGTGTATTACAATTGCCTTGGTTTTACTTCTTCAGCTACAACTTCATACGTATATTATACAGGTATCTTTTCTTGTGAGTAGAGACCAATACTAGCCCTCAGTAAAACTAACTAATAAAAGTTGAATGAAAACCCTCTATTGGAATATTAAATACCTTTTTTTTCTCCCTGTTTCTAAAAAGCACATCTCATCAAATTACTTCTTTGCTTGAAGAGGCTTCCCACTTTGAGGGTCAAGGCAAGACATCTTAACAGGATTTATAATGCTCATCAGGGCCTGATCCCAGCTTCCTTTCCATCCCAACTTGGTGTCTCCACCCAGATATACTTATTCATTTGCATCTCTAGAAATTCACACATTTGCCATCACCCATAGGCCTGTGAGTATGAGGATCTCTCTGCCTAGAAAAACATGCCTCCCCTGTTCTTACAAAAATCTCTTGCCTGCCTGACTTCGTTCATGCTCAGGATTCACGCAGTTATCGTCTCCTCTAGAAAGCTCCTTTGGCAACCAAAGGCTCACTCAGGTGCACACCCACCAGCCTCTTGCAGCATCTAATTTCTAATTTTACCTAGCATTTAGAAGTTTAGGTTGTGACAGTTTACTAAATGGTGTCAGGTTACTGTTTGATATTTTTATATATCTTATTTGTTTTAATTTTCAGTAACTAGTAGAGTTCCTGACTTATAGTAAGTGCTCAATAAATGTCTGATGCATTACTATATGGACTGAATGAATCAGCATAAGACAGGACAAGTGAATAATTTAGTCATGATCAAGCATTTTTATGCCAGGGACCTAGCTAAATTCATTACAAATAATTGCTCTGCATTTTTTGGCCCAGAGTCTGTCTTCTTGTGATGTAAACTGCTTTTCTTAATTCTCTAAACCCATTCCATTCTCAAGATTGTTTATTCTTCAGTCTTCTAGCTTGAGTTTCTGGTGTTTAATTATCAAAAATTATTTTGCTAGATAAGACCTGTTTGAGCTGACTTTCTTGAACTTGACTCTTAACTCATGTTAGAAGTCTGCCATAAACAACTGGAAAAGAAACCATGAAAGTAATCCCATTTACAATAGCTAGAAATAAAATAAAGTACCTAGAAATAAACTTTTAAAAAGTGAAACATTTCAATAATAAATACTACAACACATTGATAAAAGAAATTGAAGAGGATACAAAACATGAAAAGATATTCCACATTCATGGATTTGGAGAATCAATATTGTAAAAATGCTTATACTACCCAAAGCAATCTACAGATTCAGTACAATCCCTATAAAAATATTAATTACATTCTTCACAGAAATAGGAAAAAAAAATCCTAAGATTTATATAAAACCAATAAAGGGCCAGAATGGCCAAAGAAATGCTGAGCAAAAAGAATGCTGGAGGCACCACACTACCTGATTTCAAAATAAATTACAAGGTATGTAATCAAACCAGCATGGTATTAGCATAAAAATGAATACATGTATACCGATGAAACAGAAGACAGAACCCAGAAAGAAATCTACTCATTTAAAGTCAACTCTTTTTGACAAAGGTGTCAAGAATGTGCATTGAAGAAAGGACAGTCTCTTCAATAAATGGTGCTAGGAAAACTGGATATCCATACAGAGAAGAAAAAAACTAGACCTCTATCAGAAAACAGCCTAAAAAGGCAAATCTAAGATTTATTGGTCTTAAAGAAGAGGCAGAGAAAGAGACAGGGGTAGAAAGTTTACTCAAAGGGATAATAACAGAGAACTTCCCACACCTAGAGAAAGATATCAGTACACAAGTACAAGAAGGTTATAGAACACCAAGTGGATTTAACCCAATGAAGACTATCTCAAGGTATTTAACAATCAAACTTCCAAAGATCAATGATCAAGAAAGAATTTGAAAAGACACAAGAGAAAAGAAACAAGTAACATGCAATGGAGCTCCAATGTGTTGGCAGCAGGCTTTTCAGTGGACACCTTACAGACCAGGAGAGACTGACATGACATATTTAAAGTGCTGAAGGAAAATAAAACCTTTTATTCTAGAAAAGTATATGCAGAAAGATATCCTTTAAACATGAAGGAGAAATAAAGACTTTCCCAGGCAAACAAAAGCTGAGGAATTTCATTAATACCAGACCTGTCCTATAAGAAATACTAAAGGGAGTTCTTCAATTTGAAAGAAAAGAATGTTGATGAATAACAAGAAATCATCTGAAGTTTCAAAAATCACTGGTAATAGTAAGTACACAGAAAAACAGAGAATATTTGATATGGTTTGGCTCTGTGTCCCTACCCAAGTCTCATCTTGAATTGTACTCCCATAATTCCTACGTGTTATGAGAGGGACCCGGTGGGAGATCATTTGAATCATGGGGGAGAACGCATACTATTCTCGTGGTACTGAACAAGTCTCATGAGATCTGATGGGTTTATCAAGAGTTTCTGCTTTTGCATCTCACTCATTTTCTCTTGCTGTCACCATGCAAGAAGTACCTTTCACCTCCTGCCATGATTCTGAGGCCTCCCCAGCCATGTGGAACTGTAAGTCCAATTAAACCTCTTTTTCTTCCCAGTCTTGGGTATGTCTTTATCAGCAGCATGAAAACGGCCTAATACAATATTATAACACTATAATTGTGGCATGTAAACTACTCATATCTTGAGGAGAAAGGCTAAAAGAGAAACCAATCAAAAATAATAATTACAACTTTTCAAGATACTCCCAGTACAATAAAATATAAATAGAAACAACAAGAAGCTAAAAATCAGGGGGACAAAGAATTTATTAGTTTTCTCTTTGCTTTGTTAGTTTGTTTATTAGTTTGTTTATGTAGTCAGTGTTAAGTTGTCACAGTTTAAAATAATGGGTTATAAGATAGTATTTACAAGCCTCATGATAACCTCAAATCAAAAAGCATACAATAGATATACAAAATATAAAAAGCAAGAAACTAAATCATATCACCAGAGAAAATCACCTTCACTAAATGGCAGACGGGAATAAAAGAAAGAAGAAAGAGAAGACCACAAAACAATCAAAAATAAGTAACAAAATGGCAGGACAAAGTCCTAACTTATCAATAATAACACTGAATATAAATGGACTAAACTCTCCAATCAAAAGGCACAGAGTCCAAAAACAACAAAAGTCACAGAGTGGTGAATGGATAAGAAAACAAACCCAATGATCTGTTGCCTATGGGAAACATACTTCACCCATAAAGACAGAGACTGAAAATAAAGGGATGGAAAAAGAGAAAGATATTCCATGCAAATAGAAAAAAAGAAAGAACTGCAGAAGCTATACTTTTTTTTCTTTTTGAGATGGAGTCTTGCTCTTCTGCCCAAGCTGGAGTGCAGTGGTGCAAGCTTGGCTCGCTGCAACCTCCACCTCCCGGGTTCCAACTATTCTCCTGCCTCAGCCTCCCGAATAGCTGAGATTACAGGTGCACGTCTCCATGCCCATGTAATTTTTGTATTTTTAGTAGAGAAGGGGTTTGACCTTGTTGGCCAGGCTTGTCTCGAACTCCTGACCTTGTAATCTGCCTGTCTTGGCCTCCCAAAATGTTGTGATTACAGGCGTGAGCCACCACGCCCAGCCAGAAGCTCTACTTACAGCAGACAAAATAGATTTCAAGACAAAAACTATAAAAAGAGACAAAGAAGTTCAAAAGTATCAAATCAGCAAGAAGATGTAACAACTATAAATATATATGTACCTAACACTGGTGAACCAAAATATATAAAGCAAATATTATTAGAGCCAAAGAGAGGTAGACCTCAATACAATAATAGCTAGAGACATCAATGCCCCACTTTAAGAATTGAACAGATCATCCAGACAAAATCAACAAACAAACATCAGACTTAATCTGCACTATAGACTAAATGGACCTAATAGATATATTTACAGAACATTTCATCTGATGACTGCAGAATACACATTCTTCTCCTCAGCACATGGATCATCCTCAAGGATACACCATATGTTAAGGTACAAAACTAGTGTTAAAAATTCAAAATAATTGAAAGTATATCAAGTATCTTCTCTGACCACAATGGAATATAACTAGAAATCAGTAACAAGAGGAATTTTGGAGTTCTTGAGACCACTAAACCTCAGGGCTAAAAGGGACCTTAAAGGTCTTTATCCTCTGCTGTTCAGTCCTTCATTTCTTTTTTTACAACATTCTCATCTCTGCAGACTCACACTGTGCATCTCTACTGATGAGGTACTTAATTTCCCCAGAGGCAGCACAGCTCTTACGTTGAAATTGATCAGACAAGAACTTCAATTCATTGGTCATAATTCTTTCCCATGTGACCCTACAAGCCAGTATCCTCCCTTTTCTTCATAGCAACTCTAGAGCAATTTACTTCTTAACATGTAAGTTCAGGGGTACATGTGCAGGTTTATTATATAGGGAAACCCATGTCACTGGGGTTTGTTTATAGATTATTTCATCACTCAGGTATTATGTCTAGTACCCATTAGTTATTTTTCCTTATCCTCTCCCTCTTCCCACTTTC
Source organism: Homo sapiens (assembly GCF_000001405.40). Taxonomy (NCBI): domain Eukaryota; kingdom Metazoa; phylum Chordata; class Mammalia; order Primates; family Hominidae; genus Homo; species Homo sapiens. The sequence goes on from NC_000011.10 coordinate 79,726,281, forward strand.
CACTCTTTGATAGGCCCCAGTTTCTATTTTTCCCTTTTATGTTTTCATGTGTTCATAATTTAGCTCCCACTTATAAGTGAGAACATGCAGTATTTGGTTTTCTGTTCCTGCATTAGTTTGCCTAGGATAATAGCCTCCAGCTGTGTCCATGTTCCCACAAAAGAAATGATCTCGTTCTTTTTTATGGTTGCATAGTATTTTGTGGTGTATATGTGCCACATTTTCCTTACCCAGTCCACCATGGATATGCATTTAGGTTGGTTTCATGTCTTTGCTATTGTGAACAGTGCTGGAATGAACACACATGTGCATGTCTTTATAATAGAATGATTCATATTCCTTTGGGTATATACCCAGTAATGGGATTGCTGGGTCCCATGGTAGTTCTGTTTTTAGGTTTTTGAGGAATAGCCACATTGTTTTTCACAAAGATTGAACTAATTTACACTTCCACTAACACTGTAAAAGTGTTGCTTTTTCTCCACAACCTTGCCAGCACCTGCTTCTTTTTATTTTCTGACTTTTAAATAGTAGACATTCTGACTGATGTGAGATGATATTTCATTGTGGTTTTGATTTGCATCTCTCTAATTATCAGTGATGTTGAGCTTCTTTTCATATGCATGTATGTCTTCTTTGGGAAATTGCTTGTTCATGTCCTTTGCCCACTTTTTTATGGGGTTGTTTCTTTCTTGTAAATTTAAGTTTCTTATAGATAGTAGTTTGATCTTTGAAGTTGCTGACCTTTGGATAGTCTTTTTTTTTCTTCCTTTATCCTATTTGGTGACCTTAAGGGTTTGATTGTGGTACAGGGTGGATTCAGACGACTAGCTTCATTTCTGGAAGATTTTAGGGGGCCAATGCTCAGCTCCTAGTTCCTGGACTGTGTGGTCTAGGAAACTTGTTTCGTGCCCCAACTTTGTCTTCTTGGCCAAGGTGCTCCCTGACTACTGGTCACTATTCTGATGTGTGGTGTCAGCCAAAGCATTTCATAGAGTGGTGGCAGTGGGATCCATCTTCATTTGCATGTGTGAGAAGCAGCAGTGGCAGCGCGGTGAGGTGCATGCTTCTCAGCCACTGCAGGGTACTAGCGGGTACTGGTGTGCCTGCTTCCGTGTAGGTTCACCACAGTGGCAGAATCAGCTTGCGGGGTTGGGAGGCCCCTGCTGGCAACTATGCATGTGGTCACGCTGGTGGTGGTGTCAGCAAAGGGGCAGAACACTGTTAGGCACAGGTCTGGGTGCACTGTCTTTGTGCCACAGGCCGTGGTGGTCTCTCAGGGTGGGGAGTACCCATTGTTCTCTGGGCCTTGTTTTACTCCCATGGCAGTGTTGACACAAGGGCAGAGTGCTAACATGGCTGTGGCTGGTTGCGGCTCGCTGGCTCCTCGCCCACCAAGGCTCTGACTGCAGTGGTGGTCCAGTGGGGAGTGGGGGCAAAGTGCACTCCCACAACAGCAGTGGCAGGGCAGGGCATATGCACACCGGCTGGGTGAGAAAGCTAAAACCTGTCCACGCACATACATGCTGGAAAAGTGATGTGCATGGTTGCTGTGGGCCCCAGGGATGCTGCAGTGTGGGAGGGAGCAGGCAGGCTGGTATTTGACCATGGGGGCTGCCCTGCTAGATCTTTCTGCCTATCAAGGACAATCTTCCCATGCAGGAGCTATGATGTAGCCCCTAGGAGACCCAAAGCTGCCCTGCGAGCAGGTGCTGCAAGGCTGGGCCCCCAGAAGAGGCCAGTGGATCAAAGGGTGCTCAAGTCGGACTGACCCCGTCTGGTGGGCAAGATTGCCCTACAGAGTTCAGGTCCATCAGTGTCCCTAGGGCTAATGTCTCCTATGGCTAATGTCTCCAAGTTGAGCCTAGGGAGATGGACCTTCCTGGTGGTGCTGTGCTACAGGTGCTCTTGCACGAAACCCTCTAGGCTCCACATCAGCTATGTGCTGCCCCTATGAGTTCTCTAAGCAGCTCTCTGCATCAATGAGTGGCCATGGTGGTCAAGGGGTCTCCTCTTGATTGGATTCCAGAGGCAGGTGGTGAGAGCAGGTTGCTGTTGGCCAGTTCAACTCACCCATTCCCTGGGAGTTGTTAGGGGCCAGGAATGAGTCCTAGTGAGTGGTAGCCTCTTTCAGGTTCCCAGCTTCCTCCCCGTCGAGCCCAGCTCCTGTGTCCTCCCTCCATCCACTCTCGGTGCCTTCCCTCTGAAGATCTGTTAGGAGTGAGCCAGTCATCTTGGTCCCTCAGTGGCAGCTGTTCCACTTGGCTGCATCTAGTCAGCCATCTTGCCCTCTCCCTCTAGAGCAATTTAAATCCCTGAGTTTTCTCTTTTTTCAGTTGAATATCCCCAGTTCCTCCAGTTTATTATTTCTGAATCCCAGACCATCTTTTATGCCTTCTTTGAATAAACTCCAGTGGATTCATGTTTCAAGTGTAGTTTGTTTCAAGGTAGAGTGGCACCATCATCTTCCTATTTTAGATGTTGTGCTTCTATGGAAGCACATGAGATGAATGTTAAATTAGGGTTAATTGTCCTCCCGTTGATCACAGCTCTTTAACATCTCCTCCTCAGTCTGACCACGTGTTACAGCTCTAACCTGTGGTTGCATGTTATCTTGTTCTCTTTGCCACACACACTTAAATCCTTTATCTTTAAAAGCAAATAAAGTGCTTGACATTGGGCACTAGCTCTTTATTCTTCCTTCTGGTTGAACTTTTGCTGGCATTATTTATCTAATATTTTGTTTTCAGTTATGCTAAATGACATTACCAGACCAGAAATATAGAAAGTAGAATAAAGAAAGAAAACAGGTCTGTTAGTCCTGATGCAATTAGTATTGACATTTTGATACGTTTCTTTCAGTCTTAGTTCACGTGTAAGTATATGGGATTGTGGAGTGAGCACGGTACTGTGTAAGTTCCATGTTTTTACATAGTTTTCAAAATTATAATTTTATATCACCTTATATTCTCTCTGGAAAATACATTGAATTCATGTGACCTTTGGTTTGATGTTGAATGTTTTGGTTATTTTCTTAATTCCCTTGTTTATAAACAATTGTTTATAAACAATTGTTTATAAACAATGACACAATAAGATTGTTTTGTTTCTGTTTTCCCACAAGTCATTCTCATACTTAGGACTACTTCTTAGATTTGCTTCCTAGAAATGTTTCTCCTAAATAGTTTAGGAGAAAAAGTTCTCAACTTTTTGGTTAAAAAATTGCAATATAATAGCACATAAGCATATTTTAGAGATCACTGACTTCAGTCTCTCATTTGTAGGAATGTCACTTGACTAAGAACAAATAACAACAAAAGAACTCACCTACGTTCCTTCTAACTAAAGGATGTGTTTATTATTTCCCCTTTCTAACACCACACTCCACAGAACTACTTATCTACATTTATTTAACAAGGCACATAACTTACAGGTGAGTACAGTGTATACCTTACAAATAGACACAGTGATTAATAAAAATAAAAAGTAAAACAATTGAAGAACCTCTAAGAAAACAACAAATTATCCACTCAGGTATGTGTTTATAATTGACAATATTTCCATCTCAATGATCTAGATTGCTATAGGAAATAATGCGATAGGTGTAAATTTTTAGAACATGAAGTTTTCTATAGTGAAGATAGTCTTTACTTATAGCTCATGGAATTGTTCACTGTTTTCCAGTCTTCCCATATGAGACAGGTTTTCCATTGCAAACCTACATTCTTTAATATACAGAGCTTCCTGTATTATGTACAGGATTTGCCTCAACAGCCATAAAAAGACTCCTCCAATCACTGATGCCACTTTCAAAATACCAGACACTAAAAATGCTTATCCAGTCCCCTCTTGGAGCAGGGCAGGTGCTACGTGTCACTCTTATCAATCCAATGCTATCTCCAAAATGTTAACATGGGAAATACTTCTTTCTCACCTTTTTCTTCATTCTTACTCTTCTTTCCCACCATTTAGGAGGTATGATGAACACTGCTTTTCCCTTGAAGTTTACATATCATTTAACAAACAGTTCTCTCATTTTCACTGGGTGCCAGCTACCAAGTTGGACATAAGAACACAGCTATGGGCAGAAAGATGTGGCCCTGCCCTCATTCTACAACATTCTCACCCTGCCAAGTCCCCATGGTAGCCACTGCAAATTGCCATTTTGGTCTTCAAGTCTCTGATTCTGGATTCACCCTTCTCATTGTCAGGAGACTTCTCAGAAAATGGATAACTTAATTAGAAGAAGGAGTGGACCTATTTCAGAGTCTACTCAGTTTACAATGATCTCTCCTGCCCCCTGCTTCCATAGTATAGGCTTATGGCCACCTCTTTCAGCAAGAATACTTTCTTCCTGGCCACAGCTGCTTAGACTAGATGTTGCCATCATGTCCATTCAGAGTTCTTTCCCCATAAATTTGGAAGTTAGACCAACAAAATTAGTATTTATTTATTTATTTATTTATTTATTTTTAGATGGTTGGATTGTCATAGACGCATTTGGGAGCTGGAAATAATTATGCCCTTTTCCATGTGGATCAGAGACCAAAGTAAGCCAGCTCTCACAGGGAGAAGAATGAAGTGCCCACATAGAAAGAGGCAGAGATAAGAGTTGGAGAGTCCAGATAGTTTTCTCATCCTCATCTGCATTTCTGACCTTGTTTGTCGTAAGATGTATTTTTTTCTTTCTTATAATAAGTCCCACTTTTTTTGCTTAACCTGCCTCAGGCTGGTTCCTGTAACTTAAAATCAAGTGGCCTGACTAATATGCTGGGGGTGCAGAGGTGGGCAAAAAGGGAAGATGTGCCACTTCAAGAAACCCAGGCATGATGGTCCCACAGAGAGGGTGGCGGGGTTCTTATGGGAAATGCTGCTACTTAGCAGTCATCAGGCGAAGGGGGTGTTCTTGATACCAGTCAAAAGAAAAAATGAAAGATAATCAAAATTCAGTGCTCTCAAAATTCAGAAGTTAGCGCAAAGGGTCTTTCAAATCAGAGGAAGAGAAAGGGCCTTGGAGATATAATTTAAATAAAAAATGCAAGTAAATGTTAGGTATATGATAGAAGATTGAACACCGGCTTTGCATTTGAAGTAATGAGACCAATTATTTTAGCAGAAGGAACAGAATTTGAACATAAAAATCATTTCTGTCTTATTAAAATGATAACCTGAAAAGCCAGGGTTCTTATTCCCACAACGCTGTGTAAACCAATCCCAAAATGATAGAGCACATGTTGAACGGCTAAAGACAACGTCACACAGACTTGTCTGTGTGATGTTAGGAAAGTCACCAAATTTCTACAGGCCTTAATTCATCTGAAAAATGGGGCAGTGTATACACAATTCAGAAGACTGCAGCGAGAATAAATGAGACAGTGTTAAGTGGCACAGGAGCTGGTATAAAATCTGACAACACGTTAGTTCTCTTTATCTTTGACTTCTGGTAATACACTTAAACGTTTTTAGTCAAGCCAAAAGGCATTTGGAAAAAAGTTTAGTAAATATGGTCAAGATGAGAAATAGTGTTTAAAACAAGGTAGCATTGTCTAACAAGTGTTTATTTAGCATCTGCTGTTTTCTGAGTATAATGACAAACTGTAGGGTAATGAGGCAGATTCTCAAGCATGATTCAGGCTGTGATCCTGGAGTTGGTGCTCAAGCCCCAGTCCAGATGACTCTTAGACTCTGGCACACCGAGGGTGACAGAACCCTACATTGGGATAGGGACTCAAGTCTGTGGGGTTAAAAGGTCACCCGTATTAACTTCATACCTGCTACTAAGTTCTTATTTCTTAATCTTAATTGACACTGTGTATGAACACATGATATTGAGTAGAGCACAACTATTCTATACCAACTGGAAATGAGAAATTCTTATTCCTATGTCGTATGTCCTGAAATGGCAAAACAAATGAACAAACAAACAAGCCCTCTTTTTTTGTTTGTTTTGTTTTGTTTTGTTTTTTTGAGACAAAGTCTGGCTCTGTCACCCAGGCTGGAATGCAGTGGTGTAATCTCGGCTCACTGCAACTTCCGCCTTTTGGGTTCAGCCTCCTGAGTAGCTGAGATTACAGGCACCCACCACCACGCCTGGCTAATTTTTGTATTTTAGTAGAGACAGGGTCTCACCATGTTGGCCAGGTGGCTTTCGAGCTCCTGACCTCAGGTGATTCACCCACCTTGGCCTCCCAAAGTGCTGGGATTACAGGTGTGAACGACTGCACCCAGCCCAAATAGGCCCTCTTTCAGCACACGGTGTTGTAATTGTCTGGCTACTTGTCTGAGGGCCTAGCTAGGCTGACTATGAACTTTGTAAGCTAAAGAACTTTGTGTCTAATCTATTCCTGCCTGATTAAACTCCCAATTCTGAGCACACTGCCTGATATACAATAGGTGCCGTAGGAAAGAAGGAAGGAATGAAGACAACAAAGCAGGAAGGCAGGCAGGAAGAAAAACACCTATAAAATCAAGGTATGGATTGAATAATCTTTGAGGATTTTCTATCATCAACACTCTAAGACTCTGTAAATCTATTTCTAGAAGATGTATAGTGGCAAAGGACCTCCTAGACTTTTACCCTGGCACACCTGCTGGGACAGTGACACACAGAGGCCAGTGGTTTTTCTAACCCACCAGCTAAGAAACTAAACATTTTCCCCAGGGAGCTAAATTCAGAGAAGCCCTAGTTGTGAGTTGAAGCAGAAAAGACGAGGACTCAACTGCAGAGGTCCAAGTCCACTATGGCAAGTGAATAGATACAACACCAGGGTGGGAGTCAAGGACTGTGAGGAAAAAGCTCATGGGCAACAAAATGCCCAGGGCAAAGGCACCATCCTCCACCCACATATGTGCCCACAAAGGTAGGTGAGCACACTTAACTGGTTGGGCAGATTTAATTTTGTGTTAGATAGAAAAGAAAGATTGGTGATCGAGGTTCTAGGATGCAACTTTGATACTGATTCTCTACAAAATATGATTCTCTGATTCATTTATTTACATATATTCAGCTCTTTATTCAACCAGTGTTTACTGATTGGGAAAGCCAAGTTATATGAGAGAACATAGAGGGAACCACCATTCTGGTCTTAGAGAATTTAGGGAGGCAACATAAAATGTTAGGAGGCAACAGAGAGGATGAAAGAATTGATGAGTGTGAGTTGGCCAGCTGAAGAGTAGGAGAAAGGAAATTCCAGTTGCAAACATCTGGCCATTAGAGGGAACATGGTGTATTTGGAGAAACTACAAGGAATTCAGTATGGCTGTGGCATAAGCAAAGAAGGGAAAGACTAGAGGTGAGGCTGGTATCTGGAAATGGCCAGGCTTGAAGTATTTTGCAAACCATGCTAATCAGTGTGTACTTTTTCTGTAGGGCAGTAGAAACCACAGAAGAAAGCCAGAAAACCAGCCAGATAGATGGCTGCTGAAACAATTCAAGAGAGACATGATGATCTACTATAATGGCGGTGGAGAACAGATAGAAGTGAGTAAATTAAGAGATAATTAGGAGGCAGGAATTTTCAATATATCTTTGTTTTAAAGATGCAGACCATAAGGTTCTCTGCAGTTTGGATCCCTCCTTGCAAGACTGGGTGTAAACTAAGTACTTAACAAAAGAGTCAGCGTACATTGGTGCTAACATATTGTCATCACTTTTGAATGTTGGTCAGGGTCTGGTCTTTATGGTGTGATATGAGCCAAATAACACATGTAGCTTGGGGAGTATTTTTTATTTTTTAGTTTGTTGGCACCCAAGGTCAGAGATTCCATCTGCTTCACTTCCATGAAGCTATAAAACCACAATGCAGCTAATGTAACACAATAGAGCAAAGAATGACCCCAATTTCCTCATTGGTCTGAAGGCCCTGAGGTCAGCTCTTCTCAGGGCTCCCAGGGATTAAGCTTTAACAGAGAGAGGGACCTCTGCACTTTGGTACCACCTCTGCCACATGCATGCCACAGTTAAATGTGCAATTTCAAGAGAAACAAAATTGAGTTCAGAAAGCAGTTGCTGAGGCTGCAGGTATTTGATCATGCTACTTGAGAATCTGTGGGTGGGCTAAAGGGTCATGGTAGACATGTATAGTCTTAGATTCTAGCTCAGTCTGTGTAATCTTGCAGCCCCAGGGATTCAGTTTCCTGTCTTTGCCCCAGCTTCTCGAAGTGTATATATTATTTGTTTTGTTTATTGTCTATCTCCTCACCCCTCCCAACAGAATGTAGGCACCATGTAGGGAGACGTTTTTATTTTGTTACTGTAGCCACAATAATTGGAACAGAGCAGGTGCTTAATTAATGTTTTTTGAATAATTAAATTAGCTGAATGAACTTGGGGTAAATTATTTCAGTTCAGACTTTGGGTTTATCCATATTTCAAATGGGACTGATTGTATATGTTTTACTCTACCCTCAGGACTCTTTCAAAGCTATAATGAGAAAATAAAAGATCCCCAGCTGGATGTTCAGCTATCATCTTTTATATTTTAGCTTGTTTATAGTGGCTTTCTATCTAGCTTGTCATTCATCCAGCCATCAATTCATCCATTCACTCATCATCTCTAGTTTAGCATCTGCTGTGTACCTTTGTAGAGCCTTTAACACCATTCCATACCGAGGATTATGCTAGATACCATATTCACCATCTCTAGTGTTTGTGTGAATTTTGGAAAGTGATTGCTATATATTTTTTTTTATATAAATGAGAGAACTGAGGCTCAGCAACTTCACACAGATGTAAAGTAGCAGGGCATGAATTCACATCACAGGTGTGTCCGATTTCTTTTTTTCTTTCCTAGATGGAATCTTGCTCCATCCCCCAAGCTGGAGTGCAGTGGCATGATCTTGGCTCACTGCAACCTCCGCCTCCCGGGTTCAAGAGGTTCTCCTGCCTCAGCCTCCCAAGTAGCTGAGACTGCAGGCGCCTGCCACCACACCCAGATAATTTTTGTATTTTTAATAGAGATGAGGTGTCACCATGTTGGTTGGCTCGAATCCTGACCTCAGGTGATCCGCCTGCCCCAGCCTCCCAAAATTCTGGGATTACAGGGGTGCGCTGCTGCGCCAAGCTCAGGTGTATCCAATTTGCTTTTGACTCCCAGATCTTCCAGTTCCTAACTGTAGTTTTCTCACCTGTGAAATAGGCACTAAAATGCCTACCTCACAGGCTCCTCTACTTGAGCCTGGCATAGACGCAGTAAATTTGTTGAAGCACTTAGATAACACCTCACCCTTGCTGCTGTCACAGGTATTTCCATGGGGGTGCCCCACTGACGATCATCATGGCAAATCACACTCACTACCCTTTTTTGATTACCCTCATGTCCTTCATTATTCATGGTTGTTTTAGCAGGAAAACCACATTGATATTGCCCACTCCTTCTCATTGCTAGCATACAGTGGCATGTAGGTTTCCTGTCTCTGTGCTTCTATTGCCTTCCCAGGTCTTTTCAGTCTCCTCTCCTGGGGAAACTCTCACTCCTGAATGCAGACACAGGCCCTCACTGGGGAAGTTCCAGATGTCTCTTTATGGTTCCTTACTAGTCCCCTCCTATTCAATTCCCTCAGAAAGCCTCTCCTAAAGAGTCATTTCAGTGAACAAAATAAAATTTGACGGTAGCAGTAAAAGTATTTCTCCACGTATTATTTTGCACAAAACTTAGAAAAAAATATTAAATGCTAAAAAGGATACAAATAGTTCATTTCCCCCTACTAAATGTGGCATTTTGGGGCAGTTTCTTGCAATATTGGGCATCGGGGCCTTGTTGAATTATGTAAAGTGGTGTTTTGATAGAGTCAGAAGATACACACAGGCCCCAATCCAAACCCTAGCTCCTTGTATTTTTATTTATATGTATTTGTTTGTTTGTCTGCTGTGTCACTATGTCTTGACCACAAGGTAATGCAACCTTGGCCACTGACATTCTCTTTATTTGCTTCTGTTTAATCATTGCAAAGAGAACGATATTTGAGCATTATACTGACTACTCCCTTACTCAGCTCACAGAGGAGTAGAGGGCTAAGAAGTGAGTTTCCAAATGCCTGCAGTGAGCCAGGCAATGGACTAGGTGCTGTACATATACTGCATATTATTAAATGTTCACAGTTCTTCAAGGCGTGTGTTCCCATGTTGTAGATGTATAGCCTGGAGCTCAGAAATATAAGAAAATTGTCCAAGTCATACAGGTTTGAAACTGGAAATTGAATGTACATCTCTCTGACTCCAAAGCCACTACTTTTTCCACTCCACTCTCACACTTAGCACAGCCCAGTTCTACTTCATCTCTACCATGTATTATTTGTACATATGCATGGCTCTTAGTTTTCTTTGAAAGTGGAAGTAATGTCTTCTACCTTTTTCTCCTTATTTTTTCATCAAGACTTCTAGTGCTTAGTGCAATATAAATGCTTAATATGTGCTTCTTTAAAAACAACATAGGTGAACATGTTTTGTTTTAATGATTAGCTATTAACTCCACGCACCAGACATGAGCATAAGAACCAGACTTTTTCATCTCACATTTTTTCTGATGGCTTTTCTTGTGGCCATCCATGCTTAGAACTGTCTGCCGATTTTGCCCTTGAAGCTTAGAACTGTCTGCAGATTTTCCCCTTGAAAAATGAAACTTTTTATTCCTTTAGTTAAAAGAGTATAATAAAAATCCCCAAACTAATAATGCTTTGATTTTTTTTTTTGTTACTTGCCTTCTTAAAAACTCCTGTTGCTTATATAAAAATGGAAAACTGCCTTTTCCATTGCTTCAGATTACTTTTGTTAAAATACTTCTGGGCGGCCAAATTTCAACCTGAAGCCAATGTTCGTATCCAAATCACAAATAGGAATGAGAAATATGTTTGGGTTATTTCCCCCCACTCTCATTTTTACTTCCTCAATCTAAACTTTCCTTTATGTTAACTGTTAACAGAAGTGTTACTTCTGTTAATACTTGAAGACATTGAGATAAAAGTATTTCTTTCTTATTATTGCATCTGGAAAGAGTTTGACTCTGCTTTTATTTATATGAAGTTCAATGGAAGCCAAAGGAAAAAAAAATAAAGACAAGCAACACTGCAGTGTACTCATATGGAACAAGAGGTCTGCATGGTACCAGCAAGATCAATGATACTGGTCACAAAGCAATGCTTTGGTGACTCAAAGCTCCCTTCTCAAATCAGAAATAATCCTCTAGAAAGAGAAATACAGATTAGAGATAAAATGGCAACCACAAGGAGAAAATCAAACTATCATATTAATGGGCAGAATTTTTTGACAGTAGAAACAAAAAGTTATCTCATCACGGTTTTCTTTTTATTCCATGCTGGGAGGAAACATGTGTGGGGAGTACCAATTTCTTCAAGGGTGCTACTCCTTTCAGCTTTGAAAGGTAATGGGGGAAATGTGGTGGGGTTCAAAGGAGGAAAATGGAGAAATTGATTCTGTTTCTACTTTAGGCTGTGAACTGAAGAGACATTAGATGTCCTTAGTATTTCCTCCCCCTTGAGATCTTACTCAGATTGCCAGGATGGTATATGAGATAGGGCCTGGGTCTGAAACCTTTTTTTTTTTTTTTTTTAAATGAGGGGTCTTTAGGCATATACAGGAACCAAGCATGGCTGCAGGAAGTGGCTGGAAGGGTTGCATCTTGGGTATCCCTTCTTTGGAGACTATAGCTAACAACTTGATTTATTTGGCTCTTGATTTCTTTCATTATAATAAATACGTAGGTATTACTATCTTGTGATACATTAATTGAGTCAGATGATGGATGTGAGACTGCTTTACTAAGGCTGTATTGCTCTGAAGTTAGATTGTTGGAGTTTAAATCCCAGTTCCACCATTTACTAGCTGTGTGGCCTTGAGCAAAATACTTAACCTCTCCATGCCTTGGTTTCCTCTCCTACCAAATGGTTATAAATTTGTGAGAATTAAATGAGTTAGTAAACACAAAGCACTTAGAAGTCTGTTTGACATTCAGTAAACATGCAGTAATGTAGCTTTATCATTGTTTAAGTTTAGGCTACTTAAATAGCATATCCTTATCTAGTATTGCCAATGACCAAGGATATGCAAGACTTATGTGGGGTAAGAGAGCAATTTCTATACTTATTAGAAACATGAGTCCTGGATTCATTTATTCTTTTAACAGACATTTTATGAACATCAAATATGCCAAGCACTGAGTTCGATACTGAAGATTCAAAGACATATCAGACACAGCCACTGTTGGCAAGGAATTCTGAGCCTAGGGGAGAGAGAGATAGACAAACAGGAATTATGGCAGCAATTATGACAGAGTGTGCATTCCTGGCTGGCTGGCTATAGGAACGTGGTGGAGAAAGTACCTAACTCAGAGTGTTCGGGAGCTGGAAGGGTTTCGGAGAAGGCATAATGCTTGAGCAGCAAGTTGAAGGAGTTCCTAGGGAAACTGTGTTTCAGGCAAGGGGAAGAGTAGTTGCAATGGCCAAGAGGTGAGAGAAAGCATGGTGTATGTGGGTGGTGAGAGGGAAGGACAGAGAGAGAGGTGGAGGAAGAGAAGGAGGATGGGGAGGAGAAGAAAAAGGGAAGGAGGGAAGGAGAAGGGGAAGGAGACGGAAAAGGGATTCCTTGTGGTCACCCCAGCTACTAGGCCTGTGGTCCTTAATCTCCAACTCCATCCCCAGATAGTCTGGTCCCTTTGAGGATCCCAGAAAGTGAGGTAGGGTCATGGAAACATGTGGTAGGGTGGGGGAAATGGAGGTTATCATCTCTTCATTCTGCTTCTCCTGCCTTTCCTGAAAGCCTTCTGTATCCTCATTTTTCATCTCTTCCCTTCCCATTCCGCATTATCCACACTGAGCTTCACCCAGGCTCTGGAGCACTCACTGAACTTCCTGCCCAGAGTCTTTCCTTGTCTACGTCTTGCACTCTCTGTCTGCAACACTCTCCCTCCTCCTTCTCATTTCATCTAGTTCATTTCAACTCATGCTTCAGGTATCTCTTAGACACTGCTTCCTCTCTGCTTCCATGACCCTTTCTCTCTCTCTATCCTAGCATTTGTCTTTGAGCTTTACTGCTCTGTCCTCAGCCCCCAGCACAGGGTCTGGCACATAGTTAGCAGCTAGAGAATACTTGCTGAACAAGACATTGAAGGACAAGGAGTTGCTTTTATATACATCCCTGACTAGTTCCCCTTCCTTGCTGGCCAAATGCAGTGGTCACCAAGCTCTATTCTCCTGGATGTTCCCCCGCTTGTCTCTGCACTTGCCCTCTCTTGCCTGGATAAAGACAAGAACCTTCTTATGCCTCCAAAGGCATTCTTGCAATTGGATCCTACCAGTCCTCACTTAAAATTATGCTGTGACTCCCTATTGCCCCCGATTAACATCCAGAGTCCTTGGTTAGCAGTCGAGGCCTTTCCCATTGTAATAAATAGAACTCCATCTCTGTCCTTCTATGAGGCTCTGAGGTCTTTAAGAGCTTGTCCTGCATCTCTCCATGTCCAAAGTCCAGTCAAGCACGTGGAGCACAGTATGTGTCCAGTAAATGTGAAAAAATACATCAGGGTCACATGAATCTCAAGTAGAAAAATATTGTTTTGTGTATTTGAAAAGTATAGACTAAAAAACTGTTTAGCAGGGCACTTAGTTTTAAGGGAAGTGTCCCAACCAGGAAACGGAGTTAAATTCAGCACAGCTGATTGCTTCATGATGCCATTCAAGGATATAAATGACGTTAACTTCTCTTGTCACATTTACGAACAGGGCTGGTGAGCAGGTGCTCAGGGAGTCTGTCTTCTATGGTTACAGAGAATGCTCCTGCAATGGTCCTGGAAACCACCCACAGCTAAACCCAGGTGTGCTGAACTTCTAAAGTTTATTCCTTGCTGACCAGCTGGCATTGTGTGACTTTCTTTGGGAGCATAACTTACCTTTCCTCTATTTCTTTCTCCTGCACCTATGGCCCACCCCTCATTTCTTTTGTAGAAGACACATAATCATGGCAAGGGACTTAAATTTTTTGAAAATCAATTTCTTTCTTTGAAAATCATCACCTTCTTGAGACTCTTTTTGTGAAGCATAAGAGTGCCATTGTCATTATCATCAGCAGCGATAATATGAATGTCTAACATTTGTCCTACTGCATACTATATGCCAGGCACTATGCTAAGTACATTTGCTGGGTACTTTTACATGGATAATCTCATTTAAATTAAAGAGATAACTAACCTCATGTCCCTTAACTCTTAGCACAGTACCTTGTATAGAAGAAATTCTTAATAAATGTTAGTCATTATTATAATTCTGTGAATCCTAATAACCATATTCTGAGGTCAGTATTACTATGAATTTTTTTTGTGTGTGTTTTAACAGATGAGGAGACTGAGGCTTTCAGAGTATAACGATATTTAAGAGTGGAGCTGGCATTCAAGCCTGAGCTGCCTGTCTACCAAGGCTGTGTAATGTAAGAGATGTGAAAGCGCTTTGTGAGGCATAGGGCTCATGTGTTTGTTACTATCCCCACACATAGGTGTTGAGTAGGTGAGGGATCAGCACCGATAAATAGGTAGGTGAGGCAGTTAAACACAACTGATGCAAAATTCTCATCAAATGAGAAATGTCTTAGGTCAGAAGGAAGTGTGCATGTGTAAGTCTGTGTGTCTATGCGTGTCTAGAAGCAATTTTTTGGGGGAAAGATAGTTTTAAGGACCCAAAAGGCTAAGTTTACAGGCTTTCCTTTGAGCTCATGAGGTTTGCTCTAGAGAAAGGTCATGAGTGGAGACAAGCAAGGATGAGTTCCTCTTTATGACTCCCAGCAGTCCTTGCAGTGTTTGGTGAAGTATATACTGCAGAGATTCTCTCCATTTTACAAATGCAGAAACTGACAAGCAGGAGACCTGCCTGTTGCCTTCTGATATGGTTTGGCTCTGTTTCCCCACTTAAATCTCATGTTGAATTATTATCTTCATTGTTGGAGGAGGAACCTGGTGGGAGGTGATTGGATCATGGAGGTGGATTTCCCCCTTGCTGTTCTCATGATAGTGAGTACGATCTCAAAAGATCTGTTTGTTGAAAAGTGTGTAGCCCTTCCCCCTTCACATTCTCTCCTGCCACCATCAGAAGACGTGGTGCCTTCACCCTTCTCCCATGATTGTAAGTTTCCTGAGGCCTCCCAGCCATGCCTCTTGTAAATCCTGTGGAATTGTGAGTCAACTAACCTCTTTTCTTTATTAATTACCCAGCCTCGGGTAGTTCTTTATAGCAGTATGAGAATGAACTAATACACCTTCCTATTTACTATTCTAGTGTTTCTGGCTCAGTTTTCTGATTTCAAGTAGCATGGACTTTCTTCTATAAAACACTTAAAAATTATCTCAACAAACCAAAGTTCAAATCAACTGCATCAGACTCCTCCCCCCAAACTTTCTAAGGACATAGGAGCACTGAATAGGTACTCAGGAAGTTCAGGTCTCAGTGTCAGCTCTCCCATAACCTTCTCCATGACTTTAGTCAAGCCCCTCTCTGGCTCTTAGTTTCAACATCTGTGGAATGGACAGTTTGAGCCCAGTGACTGTGATTTCCAGCTGGAAAAGAACAAGATCCTACTGCATTCAAAACATACTTTTAGGCACATGTTGTTAGACACTAACATTCATATCTTATCCAGAATAAAGTTCAAATGGATTTTTTTTTCTTTAATGTTGCTGCTGCTACTTCTCTTCTTTCTCTTTGTCTTCCTCCTTCTTTTTAAATAAGCCATATTCCCTTGTAGTTGTCTTTCTCCCAAAAGGCATTAAGATGCTGACCCAGGCAATTTGACTCTGGAGGGTTCCTGATGGCTCAAGGCCTGGTTAACCGAGGGCCTCCTTAATAAGCTCTTGCTCTGTCCTGGACCTGCATGTGCCTCAACTGTGGGGTGTGGGTGGGGGCTGCTGCACCACCCAGGCCCCCCAGTAATGAAGGAGTACCAACACACTCAATGACCATCTGTCTTATGCCACTAACTTAGCAGAGTACTCAACTTCATAATCACTCCCTTAGAGCCCTGTGCATGCTTTCCCTACCAAGCTGAAAACATACAAAAAATCTTGGCAATAGTCCAAGGCAGCATTTATCACTTGCTATATCACCCCCGATGGAATCCCCTTCCCCTCTGTGAAGCCAGACTGGTTTCCATACAAGGGAGCTTACTCTAGCTCAGGGCACACATTTCTTGGAGTTGTTTCACGTAGGAATGAAAATGTACACTCAGAGCCCCCATCCTGTGTTCATGTATATGTTCCTGAAAAAGAGGCAAAACTAGTCTTGAAGATGGGCAAAAATTTCAGGTCTCTGAGTGTTGGATCTGCATTGCTATGAATCAACTGATGAGGTCTTGGATGTATCAATGGAGGCATAGTGATCTGAATGAGAGGTGCAAAATGCAATACCTCTTCTGTCTGTTGCACTGACCACACCACGCCAGGAATAGTGTGCAAAGCCCTTGGTAGCATGCTCTACATACAATGAGATCCATAATCTTCATTTTTTAGAAATCATACCTTCCAGGGGATAGATTTTATATTTGTATGCATGCATATTTACAAAGACATACATGTCTGGCTGATATATAGTTGCACACATTGGTATGATACATCAGTTGTTCCATTCAGTGCTTCAGGATGTTCTTATATCCTCTTCTCCTCACCACTGTGTCTGCTCCAATCCCTCCCTTGAAGCTTCAGACCTCCCCATGTGGTAGCAACTAAAGGGTTAACACTGGACCATCAGGGTTACCCTGCTCTAGCCCCCAAACACATGCCTGTTCTGATCAGTCAGTGCTTGTGTCATCTGAGTTCCTATGATTTTAATATTGTGATTGGTCTGATGAATTAGGCACATTATAAACAAACACAAAAAATAGTAATAAAAAAGGTTATACAAAAGGAGCAAAGAGACGTTCTCATATTTTCTTATGGCATTTCAGTGGATCAGGTCAGTGTGTTGTGAAGACCACTGATTTAAATGTTATTATTTTTTAAGTCCAGCCTCTCTCTTCTTTATTCCTCTTATAGCCTTAGTTCAATCATCATCACTTCTCACATATATATAACCATCTAGTTGATTCTCCTGTATCCAGACTTTCTATCCTTAAACCTAATCTTCACTAAAAATCAAGGGAGATATTTTCTGTGACCATAACCCTGACTTGAGACTTCTCTGCTAAAACCTTTCATACCACCCCAGCACAGAAAGATGAGGACTTTCCAAGTACAGTGTCTAGCAAAACAACATTTTTGGGGAAGTGAAAAGACACGCAATGAAAGCAGTTTTACTTGCTCAGGTAAGTCGGGAAAACATCAGGTTGTAGACATTTAATTTTTCTTTCTTTTTTTGAGACAGGGTCTCCTTCTGTCACCCAGGCTAGAGTGTAGGCATCGTATAATCATGGCTCACTGCAGCCTCCATCTCTTGGGCTCAGATGATTTTCCCACCTCAACCCCTGAGTAGCTGGGACTAAAAGCATGTCGCACCATGCCCAGCTATTTAAAAATGTTTTTGTGTAGAGACAGGATTTCACTATGTTGCCTGGGCTGGTCTCAAACTCCTCGGCTTAAGAGATCCTCCCGCCTCGGCTTCCGAAAGTGCTGAGATTATAGGCATAAGCCCTCGTATTCAAGCCAATTTTTCGTTTTTTATTTTTTAAATTTTATATTTTCTTTTGCTTATTTTATGTTTTTCTTTCCCTTTTTACTCTCTTTTCTTTCTCTGCTTTGTGCATGAAGTTTTTTTTTTTTTTTTTAATTTTTAATTGTAGGATTCCTAGAAGCCTTGAATGTGGTCTGTGAACTGTGCATCTTACAAAGGGACCCAGTGTATACAATTTCCCAAACTTTTTGGTTATTAAGCATCTTTTTCAGCACATTGCTACTAATATCATTCAGAACAATGTTTTATTGAACACCAGTGTGGGAAACATTGGCCTTTAGGATCAAATCTCAACATCTCAGTAGGCCAACAATGTCCTTCCTCATCTACCCCTAAATACCAGTCCAGCTTCATTTCTTTGGTATTCTCTCTTCTTATGGTCCTCCCACTCCTACCCCTTGGTTTAGCACAGTGGTTCTCAAAGTGTGTTCCAGGGATGTCTGCAGGTCACCAAGATTCTTTTAAGAGGTCCCCGAGGTCAAACCTGCTATTTTCTTAATAATATTATGATGCTACTTGCCTTTTCACTCCCATAGTCTCATGGATTTACAGAGTGTTCCAGAGGCTATGTGATGTGTACTTTTTGCAGCAGACTCAGTGCAGTAGCTGCTATGATAATCCAGCTGTCTTTTATTAAGTGATATTAAAGGGACTTGAAAAATTATAAAATAACTTTTGTTTTGAAAAAAATAATATCTTTTTATGAAGCATGTTATTTATGTGAACATGTAAGAGGCTTATTGTTATTTTAAATGACTGATAAATTTTTTAAAGTTTCTTTGTTTTAATTTCTTAAATGGTAAATGTTACTGGATATAACCCACATAAACAATTCATAATAAATTTTAAGAGTATAAAAGGGCCTTGAGGCCAAAAATTTGAGGACCACTGTCCTGGTCACACTGAACTATTGACAGCTAGGAGTCTATGCAAATCAGTCTTTCTTTCCTTCCTGCCTGCCAGGCCCTGGGACACACTGTGCTCTTTACCTAGAATTTTTTCCCTGCTAGTTGAGTAAAATGTATTGGGCATCTCTCATGTGCTTGGCATTGTGCTAAGTGTATTTAAAATAATCTTGGAAAAATCAATACTATCTCATTTTCTAAGAGGGAACCAAATCTCAGGAAAGTAAGGTATCTTGACATGGCATCTAGGTTAACACTGACCTATATCCAGTGCTGTGCTTCCTACAGCTGACTATCCTCTGACTCACTCAGCCAAGTCTTCTGACTTTCTTCTGACCCATGTAATCTTTGATTCTGTCATTATTATAAAAGACTATTCTTGTTGCTCATGAACTCTGGGATATTCACCATAACTTCTAAAAAACATCACATCAGAGTGGCCTTCCTAATTCTCTAGTGGTGAAGCCATTGTCTTCAGGCTCCTTAGGTTTTGTCCTTGCCATCCTAGTTCAGAGGAGAATAAGATTTCTTTCTTTCTCCCAGAACGCCAGATCAAAACCTGGCATGCTGCACAAGGGTGTGTTTAATAGGTGGGTTCTGAATATGGATTGTTATGTCTACATGTCAGCTGCTTTGCTTTTAGTCCATTTCTGTATTGCCTTATGCACTGTCTACACCTGAATCAAGCTCGTCACCTAGTTTCTGAATTGGGGGAAAATGCTCTAACCATTTGCCTCACTTCCAGTCATACTCTCATCTCCAGCTCTTTTACTTCTGTGAAGTGGAGGGATGGCTATTGTTTTTATCTACTCAGAATTTTCCTTTCCCTGCTAACAACTCTTCAATTCTCAGATGGGAACTGCTTTTTCCCAGTGTTCGAGCCCTGGTTGGTCTGTTGGTTCAAGAGAGTCAGCTGTAGGAAGCACAGCCCTGGACTTAGATTACAGTAAGCCTAGATGCCATGTCGAGATATTTTACTTTTCTGAGGTGCCCAGTTTTCTCCTGGACAGAGTGTGCACAAGATGGGCTTTATGCAACCTAGATACTCTTTCCTGGGAATTTTAACTTAAGCAGAGTGATTCAAAGGCTGAAAAGCAGTAGTTGTTCATTCAACCCAGCTGTGGCATCCTGAAGAGACCATCCACTGCTTCCTGATACGTAGCTCTCTGGAGTATCTCAGGTTCTTCTAGTTTCTGAGACCTGGTTCTTCAAAGTAAGAACCATCATTTTCCTTCTCCATGCCTACACTCCCCACTAAAAAAAAATATTGTTTAATAAAGGAAACTTTTATTTCCTACATTTAATAATACACATCTTTGTATATATCCTTCTGATGCTCTGAAGTCATTTGTTCACCACCGCCCACATGATAAAGTCTAAAATTTAGCTTGACTTCATGGTCCTGAGTGTCTATTAATCAATCTCCACAGACCACCACTTTATTCCTGATTTCACCGATTTTCTCAAATACACTTGTATCCATTGTTTTAGAAGAATTAAGAGCAGGAGAACCTGATTTTGAGATCCAGTCTTGGCATTTCCTAGCTGTGTCATATTGATAATGATGATGTTGATAGTAACAGCTTCCTTGTGTTAAGCAATTACTATATGCAAGAAACTTCATATATATTATTTGTAATACTTACAATAACCCAGTAGCTTTCTACTGGGGCCAATTTTGCCATCCAGACGGTTTTTGGCAATGTCTGGGGACATTGTTGATCTCGCTAACTTAGGATGGAGTGGTGTTACTGGCATCTACTGTATAGAGGTCAGAGATGCTGCTAAATATTCTATAATACATAAGGCAGCTGCCACAGCAAAGAATGATCTAGCCCCAAGTGTTTACAGTGCTGATGTTGAGAAACCTTGAAATAATTAATACCCTCATTTTACAGAGGAGAACCTTAAGGCTCAAAGAGATTTAATGGCCTATGCCAGGTGTATATCCTGTAGGTAAGTATCCAAACATGGTAACTAAGATCTAAACATAGGCTAGTCTTGGCTCGAAAGTCCCTGCTGTTTCTATTGCTATATCCTATAACTCCAAGTATCTGAACTCCTTTCATAGACGTGCAGAACTCAGGCTGGGATCCTGAGATTCAGAGCTCAGGGAAGGGGTGTGCCAGAAGGGTGGCTTATACAAGTCAGAAGTACAATCTAAGCGAAGGGTCAGCTCAGTCCAAATAGCTATGCTAAAGGGTCAATTCAGGTAGAAAGTAACTGGGTACATATTGAAGTCTTAGAATAGAATATGAGAGTTTCAAATGGAGCACAGGAGGCCCTATGCTCCATAGGGTCTCTATGAGATAGAGATTCTCTCATATAGATTCTCTGTGAGAGTCCACTAATAGTACAGCAACAGGGGTTTTTGATAGTGTGTTAGATCTCGACACCAAGGGGAAGAGATTGTGTACAAAAGTACTAGACAGATGAGACTTTACATCACTTATCATCTCTACAGTTCAGTTTCTTTTTCTGTGCAATTAGGGAAACCTTCCTACTCACCTTGTAAGGCCCCAGAGAGGGAATGGATTTCAAGGAGATCTGTAAATGACAGCTGTCATTCAAATCATATATATTCTAATTGAGATATTCAAAGTCGGTTTATCTTTTCTTCCCCAAAGTACATCACATCCCTGGCTCCCTGTTCTTAAGTTGGTGCTAGCTCTGTGTGTATGTAATGAAAACAACTTGAATTTGCTCCTATTTATGCAATACACTATCCCCATTGGTCTGCAGTTTGGCTATGACTCCTCATCACCATATTTGTTTCACACTATCTTTGTGTTGTTAACATTATATGTCAATAAATCATTGCCTTTTCCTGTGTTGGAGTGCCCAGAGGCCACTGTATTTGGGTTCATCTAGAAAATCCAAATAATATAAGTAGAAAACATAAATAATAGATGGGCTTCTTATTCCCTGGGGGGTCCTGCCAATGTAGTTCACAAATGTAGTTTCTCTTAGTGTCTGTTCGGTCTAATTTTAAGGTCTATGAGAGCAGAATTTAGACCTGAGTAAGAAAGTATTGATGGACATATTTTTTTCTCCTATCAATGATCTTATGTACCACGTGTTGAGAAGGATAAATGTGGGGATACATGTGATTACAAATGAACAAAATGTGGCTGATATCAGAATCCTGCCTTTTTTCCCCCAGTGGTTTTCAAGAGAGGAAGAGACAATAACACTTGTAAAATTATCACTTATACTTTAATAATAATAAAAAGTCTCCATTAAAAAATGAATATTTATCCTGCCATGAATTTAACAAATCTTAGCCTCAGGCCTGTTTTTATTAATTTCCTTTTATTTATTTATTTTTACTCCTCTTATGCTTTTTCATGCAAAGGCAAGGCAATCAATGAAGGCACTTAACGTAATTCTCACCTCCCCACTATAAGTGAAAGCTGGTATGTTCGAGCTCTTATTCCCTGAATTTGTATAGAAAGCTAGTATCTGAATATCCCACTCAACTTTTCAGGATGATCTTGTTACTTCATGTGTTCAACTTAATTTTATTTCTCCATCAACTATCCAACAAATAATTACTTAGAATCTATCATGTGTAACAACTA
This sequence comes from Homo sapiens, assembly GCF_000001405.40. Taxonomy (NCBI): domain Eukaryota; kingdom Metazoa; phylum Chordata; class Mammalia; order Primates; family Hominidae; genus Homo; species Homo sapiens. The sequence goes on from NC_000011.10 coordinate 79,748,425, forward strand.
CGACTCTAGCTTCTCACACTTTCAAACTATCTTCTCCATGATTATTAGGGCTAATTTCTTAAAATACACATCTTACACTTCCCAGCTGAAAAGCCTTCAACAACTTCCTATTGTCTGCCTTAGAAGATAATGTGTAAATATCTTATCTAGCATTAAAGACTATCAAATTCAAATCTGTAGATTCTGGCCGAAGTAAAATAATGGGGACCAGATGTACCCTCCTGTCTAAAATAAATTAAAACAACTATGCAAAATACATAAAACAACAGCTTTCAGACATTGGACATCAGGCAGTACAAAATAGTGATAGAGGGGAAACAAACAAGGTGAGCTGTACAATTGTCCCAGCTTACTGTTTGGAGGGAGTTTCTAGCCACAACATCAGCATGGGGCCTAAGGCAGAGTACTGAGGACACCAAGAGTTGATAAAATAGACTTTACAGGACAGGATACCAGAAAAAAAGGGAGCTGCTTAGCGAAAAAGAGAGCTGCTTAGAGAGAGTGCTCCAGAGATTTATCTCCACTCTCTAAGTACTGATCAGATGTGCAAGTAAGGAAACTACCAACGACAGGGAAGCATTACCTAAAAGGAATATAAGAAACAGTCAGCGGAGCTCACACAGGACTAGAAATAGTTTGTGTTACCACCAACTGGAGTAAAAACTTCTCATAGTTGGTATTCAAAAGAATTTTATCTTAGTGGCAAAATAATATTATTACCAGTAGGCTAAAGGCTCCTCTAATCCTGGTTAAAAGCAAACTTAATAAGAGAATTGTTTCCGAGTAATTTAACTGTACTTCACAATAAAGTTTAAATATATATATTATATATATATATATAAATATATATATGCAAAAAAATCAGCCATCAACCAAATAAAATATATAACTAGTAGCATCCAATAAAAAATTACCAGACATTTAAAGAAGCAGAAAAATGATACTGATAATGAGATCAAACAACTGAAACCAACCCAGAAATAGTACACATGATGGAATTAGTAGAAAAGGTATTAAAGCAGTTAATGTAACAATATTCTGTGTGTTCCAGAAGGTAGAAGAAAGCATGAGAATGTCAAGGAGAGATTGAAGATACAAGAAAACACAAGGCAGACTTTTAGAGAGGAATAAAACAATGTCTGACAGTTAGAAAACACACATGCACTAGATGGGAATAACAGATAAATAGGTAGTGCAGAAGAAAAATGTAAACTCAAGACACTGAAAGAAATACTGAAAATAACATGAACAGAACATCAGAGAGATATGGAACAATGTTGAGTGGCTGAATATTTGTGTCACTGGAGTACTTACAAAGGAGTTTGGCTGAAAAAACATTTGAAGAAATAACAGCTATTTTTCCCCCAATTTTTATGAAAACCATATACCATAGACCCAAGAAGAACAATAAGCCTCAAACCAATTAACTAGACAAAAAAATACACTAAGGTATATAATAATCAACTTGGTGGAAACCAGATAAAGAGATCATCTTAAAATGAGCAGGTGTGGGGAAGATTACGTACAAATGAACACCAGCATGAATGATCTCAGAGTATCTTTAAAGCACTGAAAGAAAAAAAAAAACACCCTGTCAACCCAGAATTATATATCCAGTGAAAATCTTGCCACAGTGAAATAAAAATATTGATTTTTCAGCCTAAGAAGGGTGAAATAATTTGTCGATTGCAAAATTACTTTACAAGAAATACTAAAGAAAATCTTGCAGACAAAAGGAAAACTAAACCAGAAGAAAATCTGCATCTATAGAAAGCAATGAAAAGCACTGGAAAAGGTATTCTGCTCTTTTTTTTTCTTTTTCTTAGTTTCAAAATCCTCTAAAAAACAACTTAGCAAATATAAAATAAATAACAAGTAAAGAAAATATACATTTTACTAGATAAAATGGTATATTACTTGATAAAAGATTGTGATAACTTAAAGATGTATACTCTAAACTCCAAAGCAATAAATAACAAAAAAAAGAATTATAGCTAAGTCAACAGAAGAAATAAAATAATAAAATATTCAATTAACCTAAAAGAAGGCAGAAAAAGAAGAAAAAGATTAAGAACAGATTAGACAGAGAAAACAAATAGCAAGTTAGTAGATTTAAGTCTATTCATTTCAATAATCACATTAAATAATTAAATGCCAATTAAATGGCAAGAGATTACCAAAGTGGGTAAAAAAGAGAGATCAAACTATATTTTGTCTACAATAAACCCACTTTAAATTTAAACACACAAATGTTTTAAAAGGATAGAAAAATTGTCATGTTAATCATATTAAAAAGATGTAGTGAAAGTGTAGTATATGTTAACATCATAAAAAGTTTATTTCTGAGTAAAGAACATCACCAGAAACAGAAAGACTTTTTGTAATAATAAAGGGGTCATTTCAGGAAAAAGACCTTAGAATTGTAAATATTTATGCACACAACAGAGATTCAAAATACATGAAAACAAAAACAGGACTGCAAGGAGAAATAAACAAATCTACAATTATAGCCATCTATTTCAATACTCTTCTCTCCATAATTGATGAGGAGGAAGGAAAACAGCAGGATCTAGAAGATCAACCAACTATCAAGCAAACTGACCTGATTAACATTTATAGACACACTAACAATAACAGAATACACAATTTTTTAAGTGTGCATGGAACATTTTGTAGCCTCACCCATATTCTAAATTATACTACAAATCTCAAAAAAATTTAACAAGGTTCAAGTCATACCACATATATTCTCTGATCACAATGGAATTACATTATCAATCAGTAACGTATATTTCTAAAAATTCCTCAAATATTTGGAAACTAAATAATTCACTTCTAAATACTCCATAGGTCAAAGAGTAAATTGAGAGGGACACTGAAGAGAGAACTGAATGAAAATGAATACAACATAAAATATTTGTGGGATATTAGTTCATTATTGGTGTATATAGAAATGCTGATTTTTCTATGCTGATTTTGTATGTTGCAGTTTTGCCAAACATATTAATCAGATCCAAGAGCTTTTTGGTGGAGTCTTTAGGTTTTTCTAAATATAACATCATATCATCTGTAAAGAGAGACAGTTTGACTTCCTCTTTTCCAATTTGGATACCTTTTACTTCTTTCTCTTGCCTGATTGCTCTAGGTAAGACTTCTAGTAATACCTCATAAAAAAATAAAGATGGCTATTCCATTTACAATAGCTACCAAATAAAATAAAATACAATACCTAAGAATTAATTTAAGTATGGAGGTGAAAGACTACAATTTTCCTTCTACAAGGAAAATTATAAAACACTAATGGAAGAATCGAAGAGGACACACACAAATGAAAAGACATCATATGCTAATGATTTGGAATAATAATTTGGAATAATATTGTTAAAATAACCATACTATCCAAAACAATCTAAAGATTCAATTCAATCTCTATCGACATACCAATTACACTCTACAGAAATAAAAAATGCAATCCTAAAATTAATATGGAACGAAACAAGAGCCCAAATAGCCAAAGCAATCCTGAGCAAAAAGAACACAGCTGGGGGGCATCACACCAACCGACTTCAAAATATATTACAAGCGTATCACAATTGAAACAGCATGGTAAATTATATGGTTTGGCTCTGTGTCCCCACCCAAATCCCATCTGAAATTGTATTCCCCATGTGTCCAGGGAGGCAACTGGTGAGAGGTGATTGGATCATGGGGCAGTTTTCTTCATGCTGTTCTTAAGACAGTGAGTGAGTTCTCACAAGATTTGATGGCTTACAAGTGTTTGACAGCTCCCCCCAACCCCACCCCTCTCCTACTGCCTTGTGAAGAAGGTGCTTACTTTTCCTTCGCCTTCTGCCGTGATTGTAAGTTTACTGAGCCATGAGGAACTGTGAGTCAATTAAACCTCTTTTATTTAAAAATTACCCAGTCTCAGGTAGGTCTTTATAGCAGTGTGAAAACAAACTAACACAGCATTGGTATAAAAACAAACAAATAGACCAATGGAACAGAATAGAGAACTGAGAAATCCACTTATTTATAACCAACCAATTTTTGAAAAAGGTGTTAAGAACACACATTGAGGAGAGTGTGTCCTTTTTAATAAAAAGTGCTGGGAAAACTGGATCTCCATGTGCAAAAGAATGAAAGTAGACCCCTCTCCCTCACCACATATAAAAACGAACTCAAAATAGATTAAAGACTTAAACTTAAGACCTGAAACTATAAAACAACTACAAGAAACATAGGAAAACGCTCCAGGACATTGATCTGGGTAAATATTTTATGGCTAAGACCTTAAAAGCACAGGCAACAAAATAAACATAGACAAATGGGACTATATTAAAATCAAAAAGTTTCTGTACATCAAAGGAAACAATTGACAGAGTGAAGAGGCAAACTGTTGAATGGAAAAAAATCTGCCAACTATGCATTCAATAATGAACTAATATGTGGAATACACAAGGAACTCAAAAAACTCAACAACACAAAAACAAATAATTCCATTCAAAAATGGGAGAAGGACCTGATCAAAATAAAACAAACACATGGCCAAAAGGTTTATGAAAAAATGTTCAACACTGCTAATCATCAGGGAATGCAAATCAAAACCATGAGATACCATTTCACCCCAGTTAGAATGGCTATTATCAAAAAGACAAAAAGCAGATGCTGGTGAGGATGCAGAGGAAAGGGAACTCTTACATATATATTGTTGGTGGGAATGTAAATTAATGTACCCATTATGGAAAAGAGTATGGAGGTTTATCAAAAAGCTAAAAAATAGAACTACCATATGATTCATATGGCTATTTATCCAAAGGAAAGGAAATCAATATATTAAAGAAATAAATGTACTCCCATATTTATTGCAGTATTACTCACAATAACAAAAATATGGAACGAACTTAAGTATCCATCAATGGATGAATGGATTTTTAAAAATATGCTATAGTTATATAATTGAATACTATTCAGTCATAAAAAAATGAAATCCTGTCATTTTCAGCAACATGAATGCAACTGAAGGTCATTGTTGTAAGTGAAATAAGCCACAGATAGAAAGACAGTTATCACATGTACTTACTAATATGTGGGTGCTAAAAAATGCTGACCTCATGGAGGTAGAGAGTAGAATAATGGATACCAGGGACTTTGAAGGATGTGGGTGGAAGATGAAGAGAGGTTGGTTAATGGCACAAACATACAGTTAGATAGAAGAAATAAGTTTTAATGTTCAATAGTAGAGTAGGATGACAATAGTTAATAACAGCGTATTATATGTTTCAAAAGAGTTAGAAGTGAGGCCTTGATATATTCTCAACACACTGAAATGATAAATGCATGAGGTGCTGGATATACTAAATACAATAATTTGATCATTACACATTCTATGCATATAACAGAATGTCTCATGTGCCCCATAAATATGTGAAATATTATATATCAAAGAATGTGTGGAATGCAGCTAAAGCAGCACTTACAGGAAAATTTATAAGCAGAAAAGTAAAGATCTCAAACTAATGACTTCAGCTTCCTCCATAGCATACAAACCCATTCATAATTTGACCTTGCCTAGTTTTATGTTGTCCAGGCTGATCTCAACTTTGCAAAGTTTTATAATAACATCTCTCTTCACTAGCTACTGACCAGTATCAGCACTGGTAGTAGTTGTAACAGCAATAGTAGTAACAGCTACTGCTAATTTATTGAGCATTTACTATATGCCAGAAGTGTTCTATACATCACCTCATTTAATCTTCTGGTAGATAGATATTATATGTATCGTCTAATTTATTCCTTACTACAGTTCTATGAGGCATTATTACTATTATTATTAATATTTTCATTTTAATAAGGAGGATGCTTATTTAATAAGGTTAAGGAAATTGCTTAAGGTCACATAATTATCCTGCCAAAGATTATTGAACATTTACCATGTGCAAGACTCTGTTCCAATTACACAGCTAGTGAGTAGCAGATTCAAGACTCAACCTCTGTGGTTTCAAAGCCTATTCTCTTAGGCATCTTGCTTTCCTGCATTTGTATACTCCAAATGCAGGAAATGATGCTTTGCGAACTTTCCCTTCCAACTCCAGGGTTTCAGTCCAGCGTCTGGAACATTGATGGATGTAGAAATTGAGAAAAGAACATTCACAATTCATTGAATTACTGTTCTGTATCAGATCTTATGGTTGCCTTGAACATTTACCATGTGTTATCACCTTTATTCTTCCTTAAAACTGTGCAACCTTAATATTAGTATTTTTAAAGACACAGGTTCTTGCTGTGTTGCCCAAGCTAGCCTGGAACTCCTGGCCTCAAACAATCCTACTGCCTATACCTCCTGAGTAGCAAGAACCACAGGTACACACCAGCACATCTGGCTGTATAATCTGCATTCCAACTTCCAAATATAGTTGATTCTTTCCCCTTTTTACATCTCCTTTACTAGCACTGGAGCCTAAGACACCATCATTTCTTGTCTAAACTACTGTCTTAGCTTCTTAGTTGTTTTCCCAACTTTCACTATTGCCTCCTCACAATTTGTTTTCCACACAGAAGCAGTCATAATCATTCAAATAATATTTTAAGAAATATACATAGGACTGTGCCTTCTGTGTTTAAAAATCATCTAGTGTACTTAGCTTAAAAGGAAAACTAACTTCTTATTGTGGCCTACAAAGATCAGCATGATCTGGTCCCTGTTCGTCTTGTCAGCCCCGTCTCTTTCCACTCTGATCCTGGCTAAAAACAACCTAGCCACATCGGGGTTTTAGTTCTTGGAATATACCAGTCTCTTCCCCATCTATAGCATTCATACATGCTGTTCCTTCTGCCTGGGGTACATTCTTTCACTCTCACCTGGATAATGCTATTCATAATTCATTTCCTTCCTTGTATGTTATACCCTGTTAGAGATCTCTTCTGACCCCATTCCAATATCACTTTGCCTAATTAATCCCTCTCACCTCTCACAACTTCCTGTTCTTTTCATTTGGCACTGAGGTTCAGTAGAGATCTAGATCTTATACAAATTAATAACTCTCTATCTTTATCTCACTCTATTTTGCAACAGCATTTACACACATGATTGTCCATTTTTTCCATTTTTGAAAGAATTTCTTCTGTTGGCTTCTATAACATCACATTCTTCTGTTTGTCATCCTCTCTCACAGACTATTGCTTCTCATTTTCCCATGCTAGACCCTTCTTCTCTGCCAGAATTTTGAATGTTAGCAGGCTTTGGGCTCAATCCTAGATGGTGTTATTTTCTCTATCTTACCTTTCTCTCAGATCTCGTGTTTATGCATGGCTTTAAATCCCAATAATACACTGATTTACCCATGCTTACTAAATATCTCTACTTGGATGTCGGACAGAACTCTCAGAGAACATGACTGAAACAGATTCTTCATGCCCTCAAAACACATAAAACAGATTCCCCAAGCCTTGCCCATCTGAGTAAACTGCTCCACCATTCATTCAGCTGCTCTGACAAAAATATTTAGAAGTAATTCTTGATTGCTCTTTTTTCCTCAGACTTAATTTTTAACCCTAAGTTCTGTTGGCTCAAATTCCAAAATAAATAAAATAAATAAATAAATAAAACAAAAGCAAACAAAACCCAAACTGAAATGTGATTTTTCCCCCACCATCTCCAATACTAGTTTAAGAGACACCAGCATGCCTCATTGGACTCTATCATTAGCCTGCTGACTGCTCTTCTCTACCCACCTTCCCATCAATGATCCTCCATAACAGCAGCTAGGGGGAAGGAACATTAATCATTATTAAGCAGATCACATTACTTTTGTAAAATTCTGTAATATCTCCCCATTGCAACCAGAATGAAATCTTACCTCTTTACTATGGTGGTCTTCACAGCCCTATGTCTGGACCTGCCTGAATCTCCATTCTCACCTCTACTCACTTTCTCTTTATGGGTACAGTAGGTCCAGACATAGGACCTGCCTACATCTCCAATTATTCACTATGTTCCTGCCACAGTGGCTTTTTCTGCTCCAAGAGCATACCAATATTATTCCTATTTCAGGGCTTTTGATCTTGTACCTTCCACTTGGAGTGCTTTCCTCTAAGATGTTTATATAGCTGACTTCTCTCTATAAAGGTTTCAAATGTCATCTCCTCTGAAAATCCTTTTCTTCCCTCCTTGAGCTAAACAGTTCTTCCACCACGATCCTCCAATATTGTTTCCATCATAGCGTTTCTCAAAATCTGAGATTATAGCATTTTTCATTTATCTATTTGCTTATTGTTTCTTCCCCCAAGTTGGAAGTTTCTTGAAGTTGTGGCTTCTCACAGTTGCTTTGTTGCCTTACAGCTTAGAAAAGTACCTGGTTCATAATAGTTAAATATTTGTTGACTGACTGCCTAGATTGTCTTTGCTGAAATTATTTGTCTGGGCAGACTTCAATGACTTTTAATTGGACACCAAAGATTTGAGAAGTATTTTTTTCATGCCAATGTACTTGCTTTTTCAAAACTGACATGAGCAACTGAATCCCAATTAAGGCAAAGAGTCTTGCCTCAGGCAAGAAATGCAATGGCTTACCCAAAATACACATTGGTATTTTCCCAAGATGGAAAGCCCCTTCAAAATCTCAGAGGTTCCCCCAGTGAGAGTGAAGAATCATCACCAGGAGAAGAGAAAGTTGTGAGGACCAATTTTGGATCAGGAAATGAGACCAGCTTAGGTTGTCACTGACTAGTTTTACCAAATCATCAATTGTTTCAGAAACCAAAGCATGATTGCAACATCTTTGTGATGAAGTTGGGGTTTTAGAAGTTAACTTGAAATTTAACTAACAGCAGGCTTAGTATTTGGGTACTTTTAATGTGCTGGATCCTGTGTAAGGCTCTGGGAATACAGAGAGACAAAGACAGGGATAGATATGTACAATTCATCAATCCCAGTGCAGCATAATAAGCACTGCAGCAAAAAAGTGTACAGAGAGCTGTGCAAATAGAGAAGAGCAAGTGCCTCACTGCTGAGGAGTCAGGAAAGATCTACAGAGGAAGTGATGTGAGATCTACAGAGGAAGTGATGTCAAGCAAAGTGTTCACTTGGCAGATCAGATGGGAAGAACGTTTCATGTAAGGCCTAGTGACAAGACAGAGCACGTTTCTTTCAGGAAATAGCAAGCATTTTAGAGGTGCTAGATGGTTGGATCCTTGGGGAAGAGTGTAGAAGATGAGGCACACTAGACCAACTCACAGACTTTGAATAGGCTAAGGGGTGTGATTTTGATCTTGAAGAAATAATAAGGTGTGTTAGAATAATTTTGAAGCTAGGACAGACAGAAGGTGATGAGCTACAGAGATTTAAAGTTAGGCTTCCTAAATTTAGAGATAGAGTGATGGCTCCTTCATTCTTTTCTTTATCATAAAAATGCTTGGGTAGATGTAATGAAATAAAGTTAAGGAATATTACCAAGGTAGGATTGGGGAAATTACGCAGTAGAAGAGGCTGGTACTTGTGCTATGTTTGAGGTGTTAGAAGAAGGACTCTATGAGTCACTACTCTGTACATACACAAACATACATGCACACATGCACACATGCATGTGTGCACACATGGTCCCTTTCTTTCTACACATTCATAGCAACTTTATTTGAAATAGCCCCAAATTGGAAACAATTCAAATGTCCATAAACACGTGCACGGACAAACCCTGGCACAAATCTATACAATGCAATACCACTCACCAACAAAAGGGAATGAAAGGCTGATACACAGAAGAACAAGAATAAATATCAAAACAACTAGACTGAGAGAAAGAAGCCAGACACAAAATAGAAGACATGCTATACAACGACATCTGTATAAATTTTTATAAAATGCAAACTATTCTGCAGTGAATCAAAGCATATCTGTAGCTGCCTAGGAATAAGGCCTTATTTTTAACCTTGTAAGACCTGCAGGGAATAGATCCCATTATTGTTCTCATTTTACAGGTAAAGTGATGGAGTCTGCTACGGTACACTGAAATCTGTAAGTCCTTCTCTAATATCAGACATTAATGTTGTTTTAAGCCTTAATATGATATTGCTATTTTAAAGACTTATCATTAAAATTTTTATTGTCAACTAAGCAATAATAGCAAGATTTCTGTGGGTTTCTGTTGTCTATGTCTGTAATACTTCAATCTGCTAGCATATAAAAATCTCCTAGAAAATGTATACAAAAACAGATTCTTATTTCTCATCCTAGACGTGTAGTTCTCAGGTGTTAGAGTATATTAGAGTCATCTGGGGAACTTGGTAAACATACAGAGGTGAGGTCTCTGTATTTTTTATTAATGCTCCAGGTGATTCTGATAAATACTGAACTTTGAGAATCACTGTTCAAATAAATTAGAGTCTCCTGGGCTGATGCCTGATATTTATATTTTTAAAAGGCCTATCAGATGGTTCTGTAACCAATCCATGGAAGAAATTTTGGTTACAAGTTGAAATACAAATTCATCATTACTTTGTACAGAATCCTTCCAAAATCTGCCCCCCAACTTTCTTTCCAGTCTGATCTGTCACTCTCTTTCAAACAACATCCATTCCTGCCAGCCTGAACTTCTCATGGTCTTTCTTCATGATGGCAGCCAATGGAATGTCCACCATGGACTATGTATTGTCTCACAATGGCAGTCCTTTGCATACCCTTTATCAAAAACTCATCCCCTTTCTTTTTTTAGATACTTGTGTTTACAGGTAGAACGCCGCTGGAACATATTTCCCTCATCAAAGCCTTCTCTGACATCACAGGACCCTTCTTCTATGTTCCTTTGGCATTTTAAGATCCCCATTTATCACTTGAAATTGCACTTTTTCTGTTTACATGCTTCTCTCATGCTTCACTGTCAGCATCTTAAGGCAGGATATCCAATGAAAATAGCACAGACATCTGAGTCAGATGGATGTGGGTAGGTATCCAGCTATGATATTTAGTGGCTGTGTAAACCTGGTCAAGATATGTAACTTCTCTAAAACTCAGCTTTCTTATTTTTGAAATTGAGCTAATAATTGGATTTCTTTCATAGAGTTCCTATGAAGATTGACTAGATAGCAATTGGAAAGCATCTTCCACAGCTCCTGATACATAGTAAGCATTTAATATAGAGTAGCCATTATTAATGTTAGCACATAGGTATAGGACAATGTCTTGGTCTTATTCAATTTATATTTCTAGCACATGGCAGGTACAAACAGATCTGCTGAATGGACTCATCTTTCATATATCTTGACTATCACAAAGGTTTCTCTTTGAGGGAAGATCATTAGAGACAAAGTTTACTAAACTACACACCACATCCCTGACAAAAAAAAAAAAAAAAGTCCTGATGGATGCAGCGTCTATATCACACAGTCCAAATGTACAAACACTGGGCCTTGTTCAAGGCTTGCAACACACCAAATTGTAATGATTTGGGTTTACAAAGCTTGTAGCTCAAGCATGGCTTGCACACTCATACAGATCATGACCTTCTCCAGAAATGTCCTGGAGGAAGCCATTCTTGGCTTTGGAAGTTTGTGGTCATGGCAACAACCCTCATACTCCAACACTCCCTTCCAGGGAAACCAGGGCAGGAAGGCCTTTCATGAACAAACACACACAGAAATTGGGGTGAGGGAGACTGCACACAATGTGGCTGGTTGTGTTATGGATAAAGCCAAGGCTAATGACCAGAAATCTCCAGCAGTCTGTACAGAGAAAAGAGCAAGTGTTCTAGGTGAGCGGGAGGAGGAAAGGAGCAAGGGTGCTACTTTTCTGGTCTCTATTTATCTTTGGGGCCTGCCAAAGTAGCAGTGAGCACAAGAAATAAAATGCAACAATTATCTCTCCAGGAATTCTGATTTCTTTTGGAGTTTTATTGCCAAATGGCTGACACTCTGAATTTATGCACAAATGACTCATATATATTAAGTATTAGGAGCAGAAGGAGGTAAAGTAACACAGTCTTAACTGAGGTCCTCTGATGATCAGTTTTCCTTCTGTGCCAATTCAGCCTCCACAAAGTCACTGGCAAAGTACTTCTAAAGCACTAATCAGATGAGTTCACTCTTGACCAAAGACCTTTATTAGCAACCCACTACTTGCAGGATAACATCCAAATTCCCTAAAAGAGAGCATGAGTCCCTTCATGTCTGGCCCCACAAGCTTCTACTGCCTGATGTTATCCTACATTTTAGTCTTAGGAAATTATTTGCTCTTCCCAGAACAAAGAATCTTGTTTACTACAGCTCCATGCTTCTGCAAATGCTTTCTTTTTTAAAGAATGCCCACCTTACTTGATCTGCTTAGCCAACTCCTATTCATTCATTAAAAACCTGTGTTAGGCTTTATATGATCACCGACCTTCTTCTTAATGTTTCCTCCATGAGTTGACTGTTTGTTTTTACACTATCCCCAACACATGCCTTCATGCTAATACTGTAATGTACTTAGCTATTGATATCTTGTTCCCTGTACTGGGTGGGGAACTCCTTGAGGGCAGAGTCTGGTATTGGAGGGAATACTTTGACACTTCTTCTCACTTCTACCTCCACAGGGCACCATTGCCCTGGAGTATCACTGCGTCTCCTGGTCATGTATGTAGGCTGACAGAGAAAGATAGAAGGCCACTAACATTTTAAGTTAGGCAATGAGAACAGTATTATAGAAAGTATTATAGAAATGCCTAACTAACATTTTAAGTTAGGCAATGAGAAGAGTATTATAGAAAGTATTATAGAAAGAGTATTATAGAAAGTAATATAGAAAGTATTATAGAAAGTAAAGAGTATTATAGAAAGAGTATTATAGAAGGTTCCTGTGTGCCAGACTTCGTGGTGGGAACATGAAGCTAAATTAAACAGAGGCTTTCTCCATACATTTTTACTTCTGAAAGAACATATATCATATTTAATAAATTGTGAGAATTTCTTTCAACGGATATGTTATTTCAACCGATTAAACAAACACCCTTAGAAGTTAGGTCCAATTGTTATCCAGTTTTAGAAGTGAGAATAATGGTTTTCTAGGATTTTACACCTTATGAGAGATCTGGAATTGGAACCAAGTTACAACACGAAGAATAATCTTTAATCTACTATTTATTAAGCATCTGCTGTTTTCCAGGAATTGTGCTAAGTTTTATACATATATTATCACTAATTTGTAATAAGCCATCATGATAATTGGGATTACCTCTACTTTACAGATAAGAAGTCTGTGGCTCAGAGAGACAAAGAGTTTTTTTTAAAAACACACAGCAAACAAGAAGCGGAATCAGGATTTGACTCTGTATCCAACTGACACCCAAACACCAAATTTTCCATCATCTATGCTTGTTGAAGTTTTTAATGTAATATTCACTCAATTCCTTTTTAATATGCAAGAACTCACAGAAACCCACACAGCCTCCATAGGAGAACTGGTATTTAAGCAGTCTCTGCAAAATCATAATAAGGAGGAGGTAAAAGACCATTCCACTGAAGAGGAGATGGAAAAAAAGGAGTTTTAGAAATCTCTCTGCATGAATAGAGGATCTGTTATTAAAGGCTATTTTAGGAAGCAAGAATGGAAGAATCTGCTCCTCTCCTTTCCCATTTCCTGGTTCTTGCATATCCATCAAGGAATCCATCCAATGGGCCCTTTGACACAGCTGGGATAATGCAGGAAATCAGCATTATTCTTAGCTTACTGAATGAATGATATGGTGAAGACTCAAAAGCAGAGTCTCCAAGGGAAATTTAAAAAAGCATGGAAGTTTTAGGTGGGAGAATGAATGACTCAGCATGCATGTTAGAAGACTTTCAAGTATTTGGAGGGTTCTCATTTGGAAGGTGTAAAACCAGGACAACAACTCTGAAGAAGATTAGATTTCCTCTTAGGGTTCATATGTAGAAATCACCAAGAAACAAGATTCTTCAGAACTGACATGAGAGAAGAACTTCCTCAATCACATGGTGGAAGGCAATGAGCTGCCTGTAACGGGAAATACTCCAATAAAGGTGGTGTGACCACTTGGTGGAGATGTTGTAGAGAAAATTCAAGAACTGTAAAGGCCTTTAAAATCCCTGACATCGCAGGCTCCTCTGATTCTGGGAGCTGCACTGAATCCAAATGAATAATACTAAAACCATATTTACCATAGTCATTATCATGTCTCTAGACATCTGAGGAGATGGATGTTGTCTTTACTGTTTAGATGGGAGCATCTAGTCAGGAATAGAATCCAATCACACTAGGAACCAAATGGACTAGCCACTGAGGTATAGCAAATCAGAGTCCCTTAGGGGAGAAGATGAGTCATAGATCATAATCCTCACTGGTGTTGTTACAGTCTTCCTGCGCTACATAGCATTGAAATAGGCTGGAAATGTTCTGTCCTTGGGGTGATAAAATATTCCTTGGTAAGCACACAGATTCATTTTCCTAAAGCAAATGAATCACTTGTGCTTTTCTTCTCATATTTTTTATCAACAGGGTAAGAACCCTGCCTGTGAAAAAATCTGTCTAAAAAATAAGTGTATATTTCAAGAGGGACTATACAAAGAGTAAACACATGGCAGGTCTCATGCCAGAGGTCAAACCAGGTTCAACATATTTGCATATTTTGATGGGAGCTGTAGAATAAGGACTACCAAAATGTACACTTGTTGTGTCAACCCTAAGGGTCTAAATTTGAACACAAACGGCTTTAGGTATTGAAGGGAAAACTGTTGCCCAAAGTATGAATTCTATCTAATAACTCAATCCTCTATTGTTTCCCTCTTGGGGTTTAGTATGCCCACACTGAGATTTGAATGCTAAATCTAGGTCAAACAGAAATTTGCTCAAGTATTCCCAGTTCTGAGGACTCGGAAGCTGCTCTGAAAACACTTGTGCTGAATGACGGCATTTTACAGAGGCAATATGCACTGCATCTATTCTTTGAAAAAATTTTTTTGAGTTCTTTCTCTATGTCAAGTATTCTGCTGGGCCTAGGAATGGGGAGGATGAGGTATGGGCCCTTCCTTCAACTAGCTCATAATGGTGTGCAGACAGATTTACAGTGATATAATTCAGTGTTTTTAGTGCTGCAAGAGAGGTATTTATAATGAACAATGGTTATGTAAAGAAAGGAAAAATTGACCATTTGCTCTGTGTATTTGGGGGGAAGGTGAGGTTTGTAGGAAAAAGTTTATCAAAAGAGTTAACATGTAACCTGTAAGCTGGATGTTGAAGTTTATCCTTTCTTATATAGGTGAAAGATGGGACAGTATTCCAGAGAGAAGGAGGAGAATATGCAAATGTGCCATTTGTGGAAAAGTGTATATATTTAGGAAAATGTTAATATGGCTAGTCCATGGGGTTGTACAGGAGACGGGGCTGGGAAGTAGGAGAGGAGAGTGAGTGATTTTTTTTTACAAACATGATCCTTTGGCTATGGGGAAGAAAAACAAATACAAAAAGGTTTTAAAGAGGAAAGAGACATGATCAGGTTTTATGATTTATAAATGTATGTGTCCATACAGGGAGACTGGATTGCAAGGGAAAAAATGGAATCTGGAAGCATGATTAAAAGTTGATTACAAAATTTATAAGTTGGGTAAAATCTAGTGGTGGTAAGCCTATGGAGAAACAGATATTCTCATACACTTTTGGTAGAAACGTAAATTGGTATAACTTTTTGGAAGACAATTTGCTAACATGTAGCAACTTCACTTTTAGCATTTATCTTATAGATATATTCACACACACACAATGTGACATTTAGTTGACAACCTAAATGTCCATCAATAGGGAACTACATTTATACAATGTAATAGGCTGAAATCATAAAAGCAGAATGAGGTGGAGATTTACATATAGATATGGAAAAATGGTGAAGGTCTATAGTTAAGGGAAAAGTATGATTTGCAGTACAGGTTATAGACAAACAGATTGGCAGACAGATAGACATAAAATTGGTAACCATCGTGTTAAAAATAACTAGAAAAGCTAAGTCAAAACAAACAAACAAAAATATAGTTTGAAGGAAGTGGAGACCTTCCAAGTCATTGAAAAATTATAGGTCTAAGATCCTGGAAAACAAAGAGATTGGGAGAAACAAGCCTGGTATTTGAAGTAGCTTTTTTTTTTTTTTTTTTTTTTTTTTTTTTCCTGAGACTCGCTCTGTCGCCCAGGCTGGAGTGCAGTGGTGCGATCTTGGCTCACTGCAAGCTCCGCCTCCCGGGTTCACACCATTCTCCTGCCTCAGCCTCCCAGGAGCTGGGACTACAGGCGCCCGCCACCAAGCCCCGCTAATTTTTTTTTGTATTTTTAGTAGAGACGGGGTTTCACTGTGTTAACCAGGATGGTCTCCATCTCCTGACTTCGTGATCAGCCCTTCTCGGGCTCCCAAAGTGCTGGTATTACAGGCGTGAGCCACCGCGCCCGGCCTGAAGTAGTTTTTTCACTACAAGTGTCTGCTAGTTCTGGAACAGGGATCTAAGAAACTGAGAAATTGTAAATAGGGCTTTCAACAGATTCATGGAACTAATAAGGCTAAAAATAAGAGTTCAGACCCCTCAAGCTAGGGGGTGTCATTGTGATACACCCCTTTAATTCCAGTTGAGGAGTTAAAAAAGTCTATACTCTGGGAGTAAAGGTAAATCAGAAATACATTTGCCCTCCAAGAGAATGAAGCCTAGCTTTAAAGACTAGACAATATGACATACTGATTTCAAATTGGATTGACCTAGGCTAGCTACTAAAATTAATAATATTCAATAATATTTATTAATAAAATTAATGAGCCAGAAGCTAATGTATTTTCTGAAAAAAAATGCATTGTACCAGCATATATATATATATATATATATATATATATATATATATATATATATATATATATATATATGCTGGTACAATGCATTTTTTATATGTATATAAAATTTTATATATATATATAAAACAAGCATAAGAGGAGATGAGAGATAGGACTAAAAATCAGTAGAAACAATAAGCAGAAGAAACAGGCCTATGGGGGAATGTGGATAATGGAATTGTAATAATAGGAACGTTTAAAATAGCTATGCTGAATGCATTCAAGGGATAAAAGATAATAGTAATAATTTCAGCATAAATTCAAAATTCTATAAAATAACCAAATGGAAATTCTAGAGCTTTAAAATACAGAAACTGAAATTAAGAAAAACATGGAATTATTTAATAGCAGATTAGAACAACTAAAGAGAATCAGTGAACTATAAGATTAGATAGAAAAATATATACAAAATGAAATGGAGATATGAAAGATGAAAAACACAGAAAAGAGTGGATATAACCTTAAAGATCATGTAGACCACATTCACTGGAGTAGGGATTGGCTAGGTGTCTACCAGACTCTTTCAATTTTCTCCTGGTCATCAAGAGCTGGAATACATTTCCCAGCCTCCCTTGTAGTTGAGTGTGGCTATGTATTTGAGGTTCTGGCCCCTGGAATACAGGAGGAAGTGATATATATCATTTCCAGGCTTGTCCTGTGAAAACATCTCGTCACCCTCCTCTCTTCTCTTCTCTGGGATGTTGCTGCCCATGTGACATTGGATGTCACATGTTGAAGATGGTTAAGTCTCCATTACCCTAGGTTCTGAAATGATTGCATGGATCAAAGCGTCTCAGTCCCTGCCTCTGAATGGATTTTACATGAATGAGAAACAAATTGCATATTATATATAGTTTATGTGTCACAGCATTTAGCATTATTTTAACTAACATATTCTCAGCCATTCTAGGAGTCCTCTTTACAACAACCTTTTCTCAGTCTACTTTCAGAATGAGGATCTACAGTGAAGAAGGATGCCTAACTTTTCAAGACAACTAATTTCTTTTTTTTTTGAAAGATATAGCACTTGAAAAAAGTTTTTCCTGATTTCATCTCTTTATGAACTTACTAGACTTATTTATTTATCTGGGACATCTTTCAGAGATATACCTATAGATACTGAAACTAGCCCTCATAAAGAATTTTTATTTTGGAATGTACATTTGAAAGAGGAAATGAAAAATTCTCTGACATTGTCTAGCTGAATGACCTTGACTGTGTCTTCCTCAAACTTGGTTTCAATCAGTAAAATGACTGCATTAGATTGAATGGATCTCTACTGTCCCTTTCACCTTAGAGAAGGTAAGATGTGCTTTTCATCAATTAGCTTATTCTCTATTGAATAGGAAACAGAATATAAATAAAATAATATAAATATATAATATAATACAACATAATGTAAATCCGCATCTATATCCACATTTAGTTGAAATGAGATTGAAGATTAGGTCCATATCTGTATAATGAGGAGAGATGATGTTTTATTCACTTATACTCACAAATTTCCAAGTTCTCTTTAAGGGTCATGTAATCTAGTCTTCCCCTACCCTGCACCCACTTTCAGCCTCTGAAACTTAAATTTCTTCTACCATAGCTCCACCAAATGGACATTCAGATGCTGCTTGAATTCCTCTAGTGACAGGGAAGTCATTACATCCCAGGGAAGCAACACAGTTTATCTCTGAGCAGCTGAGTTCTAAGACTGAAATATTAAGAACTGGATTTGATAATGCCAGACATAATTTGACTATAAGATTGCATGTTCTAATGCACATATATCAGCACAGTAGACATCACAGAGAGGGGGAAAATAAGTAAACATATACAGTGTATGCTCACATGCAGTATAAAACATGTACACACAAAACATCCATAGATTTGTTTATATATTTGTATATATTACATAATATCACTTGTTAACCATTTTGACTGTCAGGACATAAAAGACTTTTCTCAGTATTTTCAATGTAGATAAGACTATTTTTTATGCCTTTAAGAGCTGTAGAATAAGCCTTTATCTAATGGGTCTTATAGAAAGAGATAAAGATAGTTTTCCATGGTATCTCCTGCTTCTAGTGTTGGTTGGTCCTCCCTACCCATAGATCACCCACAGAGATTTTCTCCTGGATAGGCCACAGGATGACAGCTGGTTTCATGGGGAGTGAAAGTGAAATTGGGCATTTTGGAGCAACCTGTTTTTTTCTCCCATGGCGTAATGAATGAGTTAAATTCATTCTCACTCTTATTTCTGGAACACCATCAAATCTGTATCATTGAGCATAATTTGGGGTCAAAGGCTGTACTCTTACTACCAGGTAAAGTAACTAAATAATGTGTTTGCAGATCACTTTGGAGCTGATAAGTGCCTTATGATGCATTGGTTATTTAATCTTCAAATCACCCTTGAGTTCGGTAAAGCAATGATCGTTATCCAAAATTATAGTTAGGAAGACTGGGCATTAGTTGAGTTAGCAATATCCCCAAGGTCACACACCTTTTAGGTGGCAAAGTTGAGTAGTTATGAGATCACTGGAGAATTGCCTACATAATATCAATTCACCCTTTTTACTTACTAATAGGCCCATTGTTCTGTTTAAAATAGCATTGTGCCTAGTCTAAAATATGTGATCTTCCATATTATTTTTCAGGTAGGGGTAGACATATGGCACAGTTCTAGCCAATTAGAGGCAAATTGAGGTCCCCAATAAAGGTGTTCGTTTCCTGAATAAAAAGACAAAGTCTGGCAATAAAAGGACTCTTCTTCCTTCTTTTTCTCTAGAAAGCAGGTATGATGCCTGATGATACTGCAACTGCTTTGCAACAGAAGCCACAACCATAAAAATACAAGTTATCATAAAATAGCCCTTACTTTAAGACAGACATTTCTAAGCACTTTCTATAGATAAAACTATTAAAACCTTATGCCAATTATTATTTAAAGTTATGAAAACTGAGGCACAGAAAGGTGATGTAACTTGTCCAAGGTTTCAGAGTTAACAAGTGATAAAGGCAGGATCTGAACCCAGGTAGTTGGGCTCCAGGGACCATGCTGAGGATGGCAGAAAAGGAAGTGAGAAGAGTCTGGGTCCCTGATGGCATTATGGATCTCCCACACCAGCCCCAGACACCTACCTTTGATTTTACTATATTCAAAAACTATGTAACTGTCTTAAGCCAGTGTATCAGGGGTTTTCTCACAGCTGAATACAGTCCTGGCTTCCATTTGGTTTGTTGTGATACACAGGAGAAGGCCCTGGGCTCTGTGCCAGGTGAGCTTTGTTCAAGTTCAAGCTCTGCCAGGTAACTAGCCATGTAACTTTGACAACATTGCTTCAGTTCCCTGGGCTCAGTTTCCTCATCTTTGAGAGAACTATATGAGATTACTTCCTTGGCCTTTTAAAGTCTGCTCTTCTGAGATTCTTCTGAGATTCTTCATGTTTCTCAGGCTGCCATTTCATATTCTCTGATGCGTTAATTGCTGCATAAAAGGGTAGACAGGAAGCAGCGCTTGTTGTGTGCAGGGTCTCTGCACTGAGACAGTCAATGGCAGAGCTGCATCTGAAACTGGCCAGCCCTGCCCTTGTTTCCCACAACCCTGCTGATAATCAGTTTGTTAAAGTCACTTGAGAAATCAACATGCATTGAACATCATACCATTACAGACGAGCTTACCTTATATACTTAATTTCTCACTATTTTCCCCTAAAACTGTCCATCAGGCACATGCATGTCTATTTAATTCTGTTAAAAAGCCCTCTACACAATGCCCTGTTAACAGCAATAGGAGGAGTTAGTGAGAGGAGTTTAGCTAAGAGAAGACAATTTTGTCAGGCCAACTACTTATAACCACCAGTAACTTAATTTTGCTCTCAGTTGGTCATTCCTCAGTGATACTGTTTGGATCTGTGTCCCCACTCAAATTTCATCTCAAATTGTAATTCCTAGTATTGAAGGAGGGGGCTGGTGGGAGGTGATTGAATCAGGGGCAGATTTCTCCCTTGCTGTTCTCATGATAGAGCTCTTATGAGATCTGGTTGTTTGAAAGTGTGTAGCACCTCCCCCTACTCTCTCTCATGCTCTCTCTCTCCTGCTACCATGTAAAGATGTGCTTGATTCCCTTTCACCTTCCATCATGACTGTAAGTTTCCTGAGGCCTCCCAGGCATGTTTCCTGTTAATCCTGTGGAACTGTGAGTCAATTAAACCTTTTTTTTTTTTTAAACAAATTACCCAGTCTCAGGTAGTTCTTCATAGTAGTGTGAAAATGGACCAATACAGAAAATTGGTACCAGAAGATTGGGGCACTGCTACAAAGATACTTGAAACTGTGGAAACAACTTTGGAACTGGGTAATGGGCAGAGATTGGAACAGTTTGGAGGGCTCAGAAGAAGAAAGGAAGATGTGAGAGAGTTTAGAACTTCCTAGAGATTTGCTGAATGCTGATAGAGATATGGACAATGAAGTCCAGGCTGAGATAGTCTCAGGTGGAGATGAGGAACTTATTGGGAACTGGAGTAAAGGTCACTCTTGCTATGCTTTAGCAAAGAGATTGGCAGCATTTTGTCCCTGCTCTAGAGATCTGTGGAACTTTGAACTTGAGAGAGATGATTTAGGGTATCCGGCAGAAGAAATTTCTAAGCAGCAAGGTATTCAAGAGTTGGCTTGGCTCTTTTTTTTTTTTTTTTTTTTTTTTTTTTTTTTTGAGACAAGGTTTCGCTCTGGCTGTGTCACCCAGGCTGGAGCGCAGTGGTGTGATCCTAGCTCACTGTAATCTCTGCCTCCCAGGTTCAAGTGATTCTTGTGTCTCAGCCACCTGAGTAGCTGGGATTGCAGGCATGTGCCACTATGCCCGGATAACTTTTGTATTTTCGGTAGAGGTGGGATTTCACCATGTTGGCCAAGCTGGTCTTGAATTCCTGGCCTCAAGTAATCCACCCACCTTGGCCTCCCAAAATGCTGGGATTACATGCATAAGCCACCACTATAGCTTGGCTGCTTCTAAAAGTGTATGCTCATATATGTGAACAAAGAGATGATCTGAAACTGGAACTTATATTTAAAAGGGAAGCAGAGCACAAAAGTTTGGAAAATTTGTAGCCTTGCCAGGTGGTAGAAAAGAAAAGCCCATTTTCTTGGGAAAAATTCAAGCCTTCTGCAGAAATTTGCATAAATAAAGAGAAGCCAAATGTTAATAGCCAAGAATATGGAGAAAACGTCTCCAGGGCATTTCAGAGACCTTCACAGCAGCCCCTCCCATCACAGGCTGGGGGCAAAGGAGGGAAAAATGGTTTCCTGGGCCAGGCCCAGGGCCCAGCTGCTCTTTGCAGCCTTAGAACATGGCACCCTGCATCCCAGCCACTCCAACTCCAGTTATGGCTAAAAGGGGCCAAGGCACAGCTCTGGTCATGGCTTCAGAGGGTGCAAGCCCCCAGCCTTCATGGCTTCCACATGGTGTTGAGCCTGTGGGTGTGCAGAAGGCAAGAGCTGAGGTTTAGGAACTTCTGCCTAGATTCCCAAGGGTGTATGAAAATGCCTGGATGTCCAGGCAGGAGTCTGCTGCTGGGACAGAGCTCTCATTAAGAATCTCCACTAGGGCAGTGCTGGGAGGAAATTTGGGTTTGAAGCCCCCACACAGAGTCCCCACTAGGGTACTAGTTAGTGGAGCTGTGAGAAGAAGGTCACTGTCTTCCAGCCCCTAGAATGGTAGATCCACTGATAGCTGTACCGTGTGCCAGGGGAAGCCACGGGCACTCAACGCCAGCCCATGAAAGCAGCTACAGGGGCTGTACCTGGCAGAGCCACAGGGGTGGAGATGCCCAAGGCCTTGGGAGCCCACCCTTTGTATCAGTGTGGCCTCAATATGAGGCATGGAGTCAAAGGAGATCATTTTAGAGTGTTAATATTTAATGACTACCCTGCTGGTTTTCAGACTTGCATGAGGGCCTGTAAACCCTTTGTTCTGGCCAATTTCTTCCTTTTGGAATGGGAGCATTTACCCAATGCCTATACGCCCACTATATCTTGGAAGTAACTAACTTGTTTTTGATTTTATAGACTCATAGGCGTAGAAACTTGCTTTGTCTCAGTTAAGACTTCAGACTTGGTCATTTGAGTTAATGCTGGAATGAGTTCAGACTTTGAGGGACTGTTGGAAAGGCATAATTGTTTTTGTAAATGTGTGAAGAACATGAAATTTGGGAGGGGCCAGGGCCTGAATGATATGGTTTAGCTCTGCATCCTCACCAAAATTTCACGTTGAATTGTAATTCTCAGTATTGAAGGAGGGGCATGGTGGGAGGTGACTGAATCATGGGGCAGACATCCCCCTGGCTGTTCTCATGAGATCTGGTTGGTTGAAAGTGTATAGCCTTCTGCTACACTTTCAACCAACTGCTGTTCTCTTGCTTGCTTGCTCTCTCTCTCTCCCTCCCTCCTGCTGCCATGTAAGTAGGTGCTTGCTTCCCCTTTACCTTCTGCCATGATTTTAAGTTTCCTGAGGGCTCCCAGTCACGCTTCCTGTTAATCCTGCAGAACTATGAGTCAATTAAATCTCTTTTCTTCATAAATTACCCAGTCTCAGGTAGTTCTTTATAGCAGTGTGAGAATGCACTAATACACTCAGAGATGTTAGAGTCACTACAAATCACTATGTTAGTTGAGGTCTGAAAAATTGTCTGTATTAGCCAAATGTCAATAAACCAAACTAAAATGACAAAAATTTCCAGACATATACACAAGTAAGTTCTGGTGATAATGCAATGGAAGCTATAAATATCAGATAAATCCTAAAGATCTCTTATTCATGAGTTTTCAGGTATTCTATTGCCACAGGTCATTAAGAGTAAACAACATGAATGCAGTTTTCTGATGGGCTTTAAGGATGTGTAGGATCAGAGCCTAACTGAGGGTATTGAACCAGGTTAAAGCTTAGAGATCATTTAGTGCAGAGGTTCTCAACTTTTGCTATGCATTAGAATCACCCAAGGGGCTTAAAAAATCCAAGTGTTCAGCCTTAATCCAAGACCACTTAAATCAGACTCTGTGGGTGGCACTTAGGCATTAATATATTTGAAAGTTCCCAGGGGACTCAATGTACAGCTAAGGTTCAGTACCAATAATCTCAGCTAGATTTCCCCCTTTTATTCAGGTGAGAGGCTGAGACTCAGTGAGGGAAAGTGACTTGCCTAGAGTGTCAAAGTCATGATCAAGCTCAGGTCTGTTGATTCCTGGGGTCTTTGCTTTCTACCATGTCAGAGCTACCTCATGCCCTGGGAATTCTAGTCGCGGACAATCTCGAGCACACCGTGAATTTAAAGGCAGTTATGGAATTGTATTTGCAAAAGAACAACAAAGAATTTTGACTCAGATGTTTTAGGAATCAACCTGCAACATTTATGCCTACAAAAATCTACTGCAAAAAGAGACAGGTTATTTAGCCCAGTGGCTAAGGAATAAGCCCACTGCATAGCATGGAAAGCCATGGTGGACAGAGAGATAGACAGGGAGAGGAAGGGAGAAGGAATAAGCAAATTACATTTTCTGGGTGCCTACTCTGCTGTGTGGGCCAAATGCTAAACACTTTAATAGATGAGCTAATTTAATTCTTAGATCCTCAATACCAAGCTATTTAACTGGTATGCACAGAAATAGAGGTATTGGTTGTTCAAATATTCAAATACTTTTGTAGACATTGGTAAATAGCTGTTGCCCCAACATGTTTGATTGCTCTCCGCTCTACCATTCCTGTTTCCTGGTCACCCTGCTTCTTCTTTAGGACTCCCTTGACCTCTCTTAGTTCAACACCCAAGGAATGACACAAGGCACAGGGGAGGACTTTAGACCCTGCTCTAATACCAAGGCCCAAATCCCTTCTGATTACTCAGTACCCATGATCCACAAGTTGTTAAATCTTTTGAGTATCACCTTTGCACACTCCAACCCAGCAAGACACATACAGGATCTATAATTTTACAGAAGAAAAAGCAGATGCTCAGAGAGGGTGCATGACTTGTTCAAAGTCACACAGCAAGTAAATGGCAGTCACTCCTGCCACTCCCTGCACTTGAGCCTTCAGGCAGTGGCTATGTTTAAAGAATGATGCCCTGTAGGTGCTCGAGAATCAACTGTATACTTCACGTCTTCATCTCCTTTTCTTTAAAGGCTTAGCATGAAAACGGGGAAACTACAATGGCAATGCTTTAACTCGCTCACCCACAAAATGAACTAGGATGTCTGTAGTGAAGATATCAACACTGCCAGTGGATTTCTTTCTTTTTTCTTTTTTTAAACAAAACTTGATTTGAGAGGAAGAGAAAGATCATTTTAGGTTTAGCCTGGGAACTTGTCTTAGGGCTTGAGTTTGGATTAAGTCATGTAACTGTATTACCTGTATTCACTAACCACTCTTCTCCTCCCCTTCCTGCTTCCAGAATCCCCACTCAGAGACTTCAAAATAGTGAATAACATTCTCAGATGCTGCCAGGCCTGTGTGGCCATTATTCTTTAGTGTGAGAAGCACTTAAACATGAAGAGAGCTAAATAAGTAACATTTACTGCCCCTTTACCACCACTTTCCCACAGCACAATAAAGCTGGAGATAATATTTAATATTGCAGATTTGGGCTATTTATTCTGCATTAAACTCCACTTTCTTATCCTCCTCAGACTTATAAAGAATGCTAATAAATTCTATAAATTGTAGAATTTTATTAGTAACAGAGAGAATGTGATCAAGTTTCTTCTCATCTCCATAAACACTTGGGTGCAAGACCGTTGAGTTCAGGGTTCACCCCATGTGGGGCATAGCACTAGGCACAGAGAAGATGCTTGGTAAAAGTTGTTAAATTCAATGTTGAATAATAGAATTCTGTTTTGTGAAGAAAGAAGAAAGGGTGAACCAAGATTAAATATGTAATTTCTAGCATAGATACAATGGCAACTTCAGCCTGCATTAAGTCACCTTTTCTTTTTTTTTTTTTTTTGAGATGGAGTTTTGCTCTTGTTGCCCAGGCTGGAGTGCAATGGCACAATCTTGGCTCACCACAACCTCTACCTCCCGGGTTCAAGCGATTCTCATGCCTCAACCTCCCAAGTAGTTGGGATTACAGGCATGCGCCACCACACCTGGCTAATTTTGTATTTTCAGTAGATACGGAGTTTCTCCATGTTGTTCAGCCTGGTCTCAAACTCCCAACCTCAGGTGATCTGCCCGCCTTGGCCTCCCAAAGTGCTGGGATTACAGGCGTGAGCTACCACGCCCGGCTTAGTCACATTTTTGAAGAGCAAGCCACTCATATTCTAGGGGATTCTTTCCTCTTTGTTACCCTAGAACATACTAACTTTATTGTTATTTTATTATTATTTCTATTTTTAGACAGAGGGTCTCACCCTGTTGCCCAAGCTGGAGTGCAATGGTGCCATCATGGTACACTGCAGCTTCAAACTCCTGGGCTCAAGCCATTCTTCCACCTCAGCACTATCAGGTAGCTGAGACTCCTGGTGCATGCGCCATACCTAGTTAATTTTTTCATTTTTATTTTGTAAAGATGGGTCTCACTATGTTGCCCAGGCTGCTCTCAAACTCCTGGTCTCAAGCAATCCTCTTGACTTTTGGCCTCCCAAAGTGCTGGGATTAGAGGTGTGAGCCATCACACCTGGCCTCAAATGAACATTAAAATAGGATATAAGATAAAATCTAGTCTTTATGAAAGAAAAATCTGGATTTTTAATTCATAGACTCTCTAACATTGCTCTCTCCCAGTGATTTACTGATATAAAATAATCCATTTTTAAAAGGAGATGAGTGTTTTACAAATAATCTTTATGTAGTGACACAGTAAGATATTACAGCCAGGGGTTTCCAAGCAAACAGACTAAGATTCCACTTATGAGGCATATGACATTGGATGGATCTCTAAACTTTAGAAGCATCAGTTTCATCATCTTTCACAGGGATCATAACTCTCTGTTCCTTGTTTCCCTAGGTTACTGTGAAGATGAAAGGAGATGATGTGTGTAACACTCACAGACTGGGACCCAGGATGTATGCATCAGATTTTAGGGAAACATTGGTCTTCTTTCTCACCATGGTTCAAGGTCTTGGGATGCCTCCAAGACACGCTGACAAAAAGTCCCATGATTTTGTAGCTTAGTGTGTTGTGCCACAAAAAAGCCTTCAAAATTATTAAAATAAGTTTTCCCATAACAAAATAAGGGATCTACAACTAAATAGAAGTATTAATGATTATTTAATACTTCAGAAAGAATGAAAGAGAGGAGAGATTTTCTATACTTGGGGTCTATGAAATTCCCTTCTATCCATTAAAAAAATAAAGAACTTTTAAAACAAGGTTGAATATGTTCCTCTTCTTCATAACCAAGGTTCTCTAAGACAGAAATATTAACAGCAGAAAAAATATTGTGTTGAGATTAAATTAAGAAAAATATACATATATATGTACTTTTTTCCCCAGTTCAAAGGACGATAAAAAATAAACTACATATATATACCCCACATAGATATATAAATAGTTAGATAAATATAGAGATATAGATAATCTACTTTCATGATTTATAATAAGGACACAGAAAAAG
This sequence comes from Homo sapiens, assembly GCF_000001405.40. Taxonomy (NCBI): domain Eukaryota; kingdom Metazoa; phylum Chordata; class Mammalia; order Primates; family Hominidae; genus Homo; species Homo sapiens. Next base: position 79,775,865 of record NC_000011.10, read on the forward strand.
GCTGGGATGGCAGTGGGGAATGAGCAGAGTCTGAATTTCTGTACTCCAGCATAGCACTTACACTATGAGAAACAGTATTAGCTAGAGCTATGTTAGTGCAATTGTTAAAAGCTCTGTATTTTACATGAAAACTTGAGCCATTGAAAATAACAGAATTAGCTAGAACTGGCATCAAGCCTTAATGCCAGAATGTAACCAGTCCACAGAGGTAGGAAGATGTTCTTAGGCAGGGACCCAAAAAGAGGACTGACACATAATAAAGGATCAGGATAATACAAGGCTAATAAAAAAGAGAAAAGGGACTGATGCTTTGCTATTTCTGAGTAAGGAATTCTTCTAGATTCTTAGTGAGAAGGAATTAAGGTAAAGCCAAAGCGATACGTAGTATTTATGCTTTGTTGTATATATTATGGTTTATGCAGCTTTTAAATAAACTATATGTAGTTCATTCTGTCTACGATGGTAGCAATAATAGCTATTATTTATTGATGTCTTATTATATACTTGATGTTCAGCGAGGTATTACATATGTCCACATCTCTTTGCTCACATGACTCCAAGCTGGCATAGGCCTCTTCCCTGCATCCATCCTTCCAAGAGCAGAAAGCGTATACCTGCTGGTGTATGCTCCTTCATTTCAAGGAGTTGCAAAGGAGTCTTATATATAAAAGTGTGGATGGAGCTTGGACATGTGGGTGGAGGTGTCCATTGGCATATGAACTGAGGCCCTTTGTAGTATGGATGGGAAGAGACAGAAGGTGGGCTGGGGGCTGGTTCTCCTACACTGCCACAGTCCATCATTAAACTTTGAAGAGTCCAATAATTCTAAACTAGAACCATACCATCTGGGTTTTAATGAAATTTGTCAAAGGTGGTAAGGGATAAAAAAGACTTTATTTAACAGTTAGCTTGATTTTTATAACCATGAAGTATTTAGCCATAGGACACACGGTCCTCTATTTGTACCCTTTTTCGGGGACTATAAATTCAGAGGTAGGTTTAGCACCTAGCACAGTGTCTGACACACAAGAAACCCTTAATAACCATATTTCGGATGATTGGTGACTATTTTTAAGGCTTTTTCTTGCTTAGGAGTGCTTCAAGTTAAATACAATATGGTGTTTTGAAGTGTGTTGAGTGGGGTTTAAAATACTCAACAATTAGATTTTACAATGAACCATTCAGGACAGACACAGTGCTCACGCCTGTAATCCCAGAACTTTGGGAGGCTGAGGCGGGCAGATCACCTGACGTTGGGAGTTCCAGACCAAGCCTGACCGATAGGGAGAAACCCTGTCTCTAATAAAAACACAAAATTAGCCAGGTGCGGTGGCACATGCCTGTAATCCCAGCTACTCAGGAGGCTGAGGCAGGAGAATTGCTTGAACCCGGGAGGCAGATGTTGTGGTGAGCCGAGATCGTGCCATTGCACTCTAGCATGGGCAACAAGAGTGAAACTCCATCTCAACAACAACAACAACAACAACAACAACAACAACAACAACAACAGAATTAACCATTCAAACCATTCAAACAGAATAGATCTTACTACTTGAACAAGAAGGGCCTGAAATAATAACAGCTTGATAGAAGCTGTTGAAGGGGATAAGACCTACAATATTCATAGCCACTCTACTAGTTGGTAGCAATTAGCTGGGGAAAAGGGGGAGAGGGTAGCATCAAGAGGGGAACAGCTGTTTCTGCAGCTGTTGACAGAAACACTGAGGCTGAATGCGAATTAAAGTTCATCTTCATGTGCTGCATTGTTTCAGCAGGAGAGAGGGTCAGCCATTTGGAAGCTGCATGGAAAGGATGCTCAGCTCGACGTGCCCTTGATTGCCAAGCCTCTATTGCACACCCTATTCTGACAACTTGGTGGCTGCAAGAACTTTGTCTCTGCAATAATGGATAGCTGGAATTCAACTTGTTCAAGAAAAGGACAGAATGTGGGGAGAGCAATGAGCTAGGAGTTTGAAGACGTATCTCCAGTTTACTGAATGTCCAGAGAAAGCCACTTTACCTCTCTGAGCTTCATTATCTCATTAAAAACACGAAAGTGTTTAGCACCACTATGAACCTACAAACACAGGTGAACATTCAGTTAATGTCAGCAGCTGCTACTACTATTCTTGTTAATTATTTCTCTCCAATGTAAAGTGGAGATAATAATATCCTTCCTGCCTTCTTCAGGGGTAGCCCTAAGGACAAGTGAATTAAGAGGTGAAAGTGGTTTGAAAGCTGAAGATGGTTGACAAATGTGGGCAGTTGTTAATATCACATATTCCAAAGGAGGAAAGATTTAAATGGCCTCCAAAAGCCTACCTGACCCCTAATATCTGGTGTACAGAATTCCTTGTATCAACACATTTCTTTGGTGTCTGGAATTCCTATATCAGTATCGTTCAATGGAACTTTCTGTGATGATGGAAATGTACGATCTTTGTACTGCCTGTGCTATCTAATACATCTACTGTCTTGAATATCACAGCCTTATGTCAACTCATTCTTATGGAAGACATATACATTTTAAACACATTTCATTCACTATTGCTTGCTATAGGTAGCATGATTTTGAACTTGACCGATGTCAAAAATTATGTTAGTCATATGAACACCTTCATAATCATATTACACAGACACAGCAGCTGACAATATGTGGAGCATATTCTCAGCTCTCTGAGCTAGATGGTTTATTCCATCTTATGGAAGAGGCATTGGAAGTTCAAAAAGACTAAAAGTAAACTGAAGAGATGATGTAACAATGTAAAGAATAACAATGACAACCATATTGAGTACTTACTATGCAGGGCAGGAATTATCTAATTCTTTTACAAGCTTTATCCTATTTGATTCTTACAGTAAACCTGAATATTATTTATTTTATTTTGAGGAAACTGAGTCTAAGTAACTTGCTTAAAATCACAGAGTCCAGAAGTGGCAGATTTTTACCTAGGAGTTCTAATTCCTAGTAGAAACCACATTAACCTAATAGGATTAACCGAATAGGATCCCCTCTACATTACTCTCAAGCACTGCTCTCTGTTAATTTCTTTCATTGATTTTACCATAATTTACAATTATGATTGTATTTGTTTGTCTTGTTTATTGCATTTCACTCCTCTTCTAAATGTCACAAGGGCATATACCATGTTTGTTTTATTCACCAATACTTTTCACCCACACAGTAGGTGCTCAAAAACTATCTGATGTTGTGAGTGAATAAGTGTCTAATGTATTTTGGCTAACATCATAATCATTATGATCATCTTCTTCATTGCTTATGTTCACACCTTCCATACTATGTTGTAAGTTGTCGATTTACATCCCTTTCCTCTCTTAGACTATGAAAACTTTAATGTCAGTACCTCTGTCTCTTTTTTATCTTGGACCCTAACCTGACACTCAGTAGACCCTCACAGATATTAACTGCATGAATGAAATGGAATTAAACCCTTTTAGAGCAGAAATAGGAGTCTGAGAATTGAGACATGGAGTTTGTGTGTCCCCATGGAGGAAAGCATTAAAAGAAATAGAGAATCCATTCAAGTAGCAGATGCTGCTGGGAATGTCATGATGGGTTGGGGTGAGGCCCAGAGAAGTTGGGGAGGCAGGCCATCAGGACACCAGGCTCCAAACAGTCATGGGAGTGCTCCAGGTGTTGAGGGCAAATGTCCCAGGTAAATGTCCCAGGGGTTGGGGGGCAGACAGCACAGACAAATGCCTCAGGAGTAGAGGGCAGTTGGATGAGGCTAGCGCTACTCTAAAAACCGGCTCTGATCTAGGAGGTAGGTTGAAAGAACCATCACTTAGCCCTTTACTGGGTGGGAAAATGCTTAAGTAAAATGAAAAGGAACATTATTTTCACCAGAAAACAGCTTTTCCTTTCTTAACTGTAATAAAGCCTGTCATTTGTTTCATATCCTTTCCTAATAGAAACTTCCCCTGACCTTCTCTGTAGCAGGTCAGTACACTTGGTCTTTGTTCTCAAAGGCCTGTGTGATTTCTCTTTGTAATAATATTATAATTTTAACTGATTAATTGTACAACTCTTGGTTTATGTCTATCTACCCACTGGACTATTGACTCCGTGGTTATTCTATTCACTGACTTATCCCCAGCAACTAGCATGGTGCCTATTAGTTATTAATTAGTTACTATTATTATTAGTCAATCATTTATTGAATTAAACATGACCATAGTAGAGGAAGTGCTATGATCAAGTATATGGTTTTTATTCCCCGGGGAAGCCTATCACCAGCCCATCACTGAGGCCCTCTGCATGCCACTGTCTTGGACACATCAATGAAGCCCTAACGGTGAAAATATAGGCACACCACCCAGCACAGTCCCTGGCATATAGTAGGCATCACATGCCTGTTAGTGGCTTTGCCTCCCCAACTCTCTCCCTCAGCTCTTTTATGCAAGTTGTCAAGTATAAATTATAAATAATGAATAATCACAAACAAGCCACAATACATAAAATCAATTAAATACACATTTGCATCTTTATATGCCAGGAATGTTAGGGAAGTTCCTGGCCCTATGTCCAAGATGCCGGCACTCTGCACTATGGTTCTCGGAAAGAGTCACCTGGGGAATTTAGGCATGGAAGTTCCTGAGCCCCACTTCTAGACATTCTGATTCAATGTACCTCTGGTGTGTTTAGAATACTGCTCATTGAAACTTTAGGAGGCTCAGAATATTTCCTTCCTGTAATATTTCCTAAAAGGAAAGATAACTGCAGGAGTCACTGGCAGAAGTGAAAGCAAGGTTGTTGAGACTCCCAGGTGTTAGCGAACAAGCTTGGTTTTCCCCACGGGCAGGGATCTCAGACCTGGCTGATTAGTAGCATCTCCTTGATAGAAGTATTTTAAAGATGAAGACTCCTGGACTCCACACGAGGAACTAGGTATGGGGATTCTGATCAACCAGATCTGAGAATTGCTGAATGATGGGTTGAGTACTTAGTTAAGTGTAATGACCGACCTTTGTCCTAAGGCCCTTTCTTATGTCTCCACTATCCTGATACACTGACATACAAGCTCAGCCCTGGACAGTTCATGGGGAGGAACTTCAGTCTCATCAGATAACAGGCTGGGAGAAAACTGAGACTTTGGGTTATGACCCTGAGCCCATCATGGCAAGGCAGCATGAGACTTTTCTCCTCCTCCCTAGGACTCCTTGTTCCTCATAGAGCTGCTCCTGCAACTGAGACCCAACTCATTTGTTTGCTGGGTCCTTGTGGTTTCCATTCCCAGGGATGGAACCTGCTGGATCATTTACGGGTTAGAAACCGGGATCTTAGTTAACATCTGTTGCTACCTACCTGGCCTCAACTACTATCTACTGCTTGAACTGATGCTCATTCTATGGCTCCCCTCAGATGTGTCTACCTCTGTCTCCCTCTTCTGATTAGTCCTTGTATATAGTCAATTTTCTCAATCACATCTTTCTGTGAGCACTGAGCATTCGTCTTCCCAACTGTCCCTATAAGGCCATGTTCTATGCTTACCCAGCATGCCTTGCATGACTGCCAAAAACCATGCTTCACATTTTGCTATACATAACAGTATTCATTCCATGTTCATGTAAATCATTTTGCATTTTAAAGAAATCATTTTGTTTTATTGTGTGTGTGTATATATTTGGCAGGGAGGGGTCAAATTAATTATGAATCTTTCATCCCCCAAATTATTCATAAAGCCAGCACCATTTGCATCTTAAATAGTCTCCAGGAATTCAAAGAAAGAATGTGCCATAGTCACAATGATAAACTCAATAATAATTAGAATTATTCCCAGGCTGTTAAGTAATGCAGACAAATTAAAACATTTTCAGTTGAGCTTATTATATTCTAATAAAATGAAAGCATAGCTAAAGGGCAATATTGGGTATCAGCTGGTCTATTACCAATTCTACATTCTCTTAGGCTATTTATATACGTCCAAGGTGCTTATATAGGCTCAAAAATGATAAAGAAATGATCACCATCACTTCAAACCTGTGGACTGAAAAAACAAAAACAGAACAAATAAAACAAAAGCAAAAAACCTTTTATCAATATAGTTGATTCTTCTATTAGAATTTGTCACCACCACTGATCTAATAAGTAACCCATTTAAAAGAGTTTTTCCAGAGATTTTTAATGTAACTTTTCCTTTTCAATACCAGTATGCCCTACATTACAAATGTTGGCCAGCCTTGAGTTTTATTTTGTTCTATTCTACCCTTCCCTACCTAATCTGCTCCTGTCCTGTTTTATTTATTCTCTATGGTCCTATCCAGCCTAGCCTATTTGATTTTATGCAGTATAATATATAAATTCATTTTATGCAGTATAATACATGACCAAGGTGATTGGTCACCTACAACATTCCAGGAACTTCAGGCAATGAAGAGACAAAACAAGTTGGAGATTTTGCTCTTAACCTTTTTGGCTTCAGCGTGGAGTGAGACTATGAGAAGTACACAGGTTACTATACAATAGGGCAGGCCTGTGATGTGAGGGGACCAGGGTATCATGGGAGAAACAAATGTGACAACAGGAAGAGACTGGTGCAGGGGCGGTGATCAAGGATGGCAATAAGCATGTTCACAGACTGCCCTGACATCCTGATGTCTCATCACAGCATTCTAGGAAAAACAGGCTGCAGAGGGAAAGATCACCAGGCTGTTAGAGATACAAGATCAGTAATAAAAACAACAAACCAAAGCCACAGCTCTATTTGTTCTGTACACATTATACAAATGGCTAAAAACAAAACAAAACAAAACTCGCAATAGAAAATAGCCACAAAAGAAATGAAGACTTGCAGTACATCAGATGAAAAGACTGTCTGTATGCCTTAGCTGCCTAGAGCACCTGCTGCCGTCTCGCTGTCTTCTCCATTTTCCTACCTCTCCACCAAATATTTTTCCTCTTCACATTGTTGCTCACCTGGCTGAGCAATTCACTTACTTTACTCTCATCCATTCTTAGAATGGATCAACTATAAAACCTATCAAACACATAGGACCTATGTGCTCACCTTTGGGAACACAAAAATGCTAATGATATTGATTACCCTAATAATAGCTACCATTTTGGGAGCACCTCCCATGTGCCAGTCATTATGGGTATTATTTCTACTTTTTGTAACCACAGGTGATGTTGGGACAATCATTATCCCTAGACAAGAATGAAGTTAAGAGAGTCAGTGACACACAGATTAAGACTGCATAAATAGTTGTTAAATGAATTAATGTGTGACTAAAATACGGATAAATGGAGGGTGGTCCAAAGTAACTCTGTAGTAAGTGGTGGAGTGTGGTCTTGAACCATGAAATATTGAAGACTTTGCTCTTAACCACAGCACTATATTAAGACTAAGCTTTGGTGGGGAGACAGCTGTGGAAGGGGTGATCGCTGGAGGAATCTCTGTTGCAAACAAGGACAGGGAGGGGGGTACTGGAGAGCTGGCCTGGATTTGGGAGAGGGCCCAGGAGCTGCCAGATAGAAAGGGTGGGGGGCTTTGCCAAGATATGCTTCAATGAAGCTATGTCAGTCTGAAGCAATCTTTTTAACCCTTCCCTCTTCTACATTACTCAACTTCAGTTTCTTCTGTCAGCTTCCTGCCTCCCTGGCATGGTTTCCAGTTTCCTCACCATCTTTGTCACCTGTCCTTGGCTACACTCCATTTTTTTAGATTTCTTTAAAAGTGCATATATATTGTGATTTCCAATTGCCTGCTGACACTTCTTAGCCAGAAAATTTTGAAGAAAAACTGAAGAATTTTAATTTTTTATTATTTTAATTTAAAAAACTATGAAACTATTTCAGGACATCATACAAATTGGCAAAAATTCAACTTTGTATTTATACCCGCTAAAGATTACTGAGGAAGAAGCTACAAATCCTGTGAAAAATTTGAAGGCTTGTTCTGGCTAGAGAATTGCAGGAAGGGAACACTGAAGAATCCAAGTACAGTTAGGGATTGTCATCAAAGAAACCCCAGGGTCCTTCTAAGTAGGAAAATTGATGAGAGAATCTGAATTTTTATTCACCCCCTTGATATCAAGCAGAAACTCCCACACAAGCCTCTTTATTCCCCATAATAGTCTTCAGAGCACCTTGCACCATACATGTATTTTTCTTCCGTTACAAACTCATTTGCACGTGTCAGCACTAATTTTCAAATGTGCCTTGAAGCAGTGAAAAATGAAACTTCAGATTGGTAGCAGCTTTCAAATAGCGTTCACCCACAGCTGGCTCTCAACTTTTACTTGTTATTAAAAAGGAGGAAAAGGCGAAATTGGTATTTTTTTTATTGCTCTAATTAAGCCTTTAAAGGCTGCAACCACATAGAAAAGAGATGGGGAGGAAGAGGGGCAAACAACAACAAAACAAAGCTCTTGCTTTAGAAATAAAAGTGCCAACTAATAAAATTCACAAAGACAAACTCCTCTGCAATTACTGTCTTCTCAAACTCGAGGTCCCTCATCTGTACTCCTGAAAGAGGTGGGCATAACTGAAGCAAAGAACTGTTTACTTTCTGGGGGAAAACATGGTCCTGAGGTGGGGATTGGTATAGACTGAAAGGAAGGAAAGAAACAAAACATCCCTTACAGACTGTACTAAGCTTCTAATGGGATAAGTCTCCCACTGGAAGAAGTACATACTATTAGAGGCAGAGAGTATTGGTAAAGCCACTAGCTCTTCACTGAGACTGAAACCAGACTATGCAATTCTGTGAGAACTGCAATGAAGATTCTGAGCTTTCTGCTAAGCAGAAGTCATTGAAATAATTTTCAAGATGAGAGTGACAAGTTTGTATTTTATTTTCTGAAAGATCATTGGCTTTGGGGAATGGCAGATTGGGGTGAGGCAGGTAGAAAGGAGGGAAACCAATAAAGAGCCTGTTGCACAATTGAAGTGGCAGCTTGAATAAGGGGCATGGCAGAAGAATGGAGAGAAGCAAAAAAGTGAGACAAAGTAAGTAAAATACTACATGGCAATTGCTTTGGTATGCATGTTTGTAAGGCGGTGGGGCTGTTGAGGAAGAGGCAGAGGGAAATGTCTAGAATGTGACCAGAATTTGCAGAGGGAACAAAAGGCTAAAAGTTTAAACTTCTTTGGAATTAAAATTTTGCAGACTCATCATTGGAAACTGTGACTCTAGGGCATAATTTAAATATCCTTCTTCCTCTCATTTCCTTTAGAAAGATGGATCTATAGCCTATTTGTTCCCATTCCATGCAATACCCTGTGTACTTTAAGAATTTGGTGCCATTAAAAGAAAGAGAATATGCTACAGCAATTCAAATTACTACCATAATGGCAAGGTGGAATAGACAGGAGCTGTGGTGTCACGGAACTTCCTCAAACTAATAAAAGACATCTAAAAAACCTAAGTTCAGCTTATACTTAATGGTGAAGACTAAATTTTTCATCCTATAACTAGGAACAAAGCAAAGATGTCTTGTTCGACATTATAATAGAATTTCATTCGACATTATAATAGACTTTCTAGCCTATTGAATAAAGCAAGAAAAAGAAAAGATAAACAGGTTGGAGAGTACAAAGTAACAATGTCTTTATTTGGAGAAGACATAATTATGTATGTAGAATATCTGTTGGAATCCATAATCAATATTTTAGAACTAATAAATTTGGTAAAATTTAAAGCATACAAAATCAATATAAAATCAATTGTATTTCTATATATTAACGATATAAAAAGAAATAAAAATTAAAAACAAAGCATTTACAATAGCTTCAATAATATGAAAGGCTTAGGATAAATCTGAGAAAAATACATAAGACCTATATGCCACAAACTATAAAATATTGCAGAAATTGAAGAAGTTCTAAATAAATGGAGAGCTATGCCATGTTTATAGTTTGGGTGACTCAAATTGTTAAGATATAAATTATTGCCAAATTGATTTACACATGAAACACCATCTCAATCAAAATCTCAGCAGAATTTTTGGTAGGAAATTACAAGATTACTGTAAAATTCATATGGAAATGCATAATATTAAAGCCAAAAACAACTGTGAAAAAGAACAGGTGGAGAAGTTGCACTATTTGATTTTAAGACTTACTATAAATCTATAGAAATAAATGTGGTGAATACAGTGTAATACTGGCATTAAGATATACAAATAAATAATGGAACAGAATAGACTCACGCACATATGGCCGATTTACTGTTTTACAAAGGTGCAAAGCCAGTTTAGTAGAGGAAGAATAGTCTTTTCAACAAACATTGCTGGAACTATCAGATTGCTATATACAAAAAAAAACAAAAGAATTTTGTTTCATTCCTCACAATATAGAAAAATTAATGCAAAATGAATCACAGATATGAATGTAAAATGTAAAACATCAAACTTCTAGAGAGACATATAGAAGAAAATATTTTTGACTATGGGTTAAGTAACAAGTTCTTAAATTATCAAAAGCAGAATTCATAAGAGAAAAAATTGATAAATTAGACTTCATTAATATTAAGAACTGCTTTTTAATAGACACTCTTTAGATAATAAAAAGAGGCAAAACTAGGAAAAATATATATAAACACATATTTGATACATCATATATTCAGAATTTATTTTTTAAAAACCATCAAGGCCGGGTGCAGTGGCTCATGCCTGTAATCCTGGTACTTTGGGAGGCCGAGGTGGATGGGTCACCTGAGTTCAGGAGTTCAAGACCAGCCTGGCCAACATGGCAAAACCTGTCTCTACTAAAAATACAAAAATTAGATGAATGTGGTGGTGGACACCTGTAATTCTAGCTACTTGGGAGGCTGAGGCAGGAGAATCGCTTGAACCTGGGTGGATGGGCGGCAGAGGGTGGAGGGTTGCAGTGAGCTGAGATTGCGCCACTTCACTCCAGCCTTGGCAAAAGAGTGAGACTCCATCTCAAAAAAATAAATTAATAAAATGAAATAAAAATAAAAACCACCAAAACTCAGTAATAAGTAAACAAACAAGACAAATTTTAAAAGTAAAAACAAATTGAACACATTTTTCACCAAATAGGATACATAAATGGCCAAGAAGCATAGGAAAAAATGCTCAACATTAGTATTCAGTAGGAAAATGCAAATTAAAATCACAAGGAGATATCATCATACATATTGAAATGTCTAAAATCCAAAAACATGACCCTACTAAATGTTGATGACCATGTGAATCAACTCAAATTCTCCTATTCTGTTACTGCGAATATAAAATGGTATTTACTTTGGTAAATAGTTTGGCAGTTCCAAAATAAGTTAAACATACACCTACCACATGACTCAGCTATTCTACCCTAGGGTACTTACACAAGAGAAATGAGGACTGTCCATACAAAGAGCTATCCATGTACAGCCATGTACAGCTTCATTTATAATAGCCCCAAACTAAAAGCAACACAAACATCCATCAACAAGTAAATAGATAAAAAATTGTGGTATATCCCTACAACAGAATACTACTGACAATTAAAAGAAAATTAACTATGTACACACAGACCAATATGAATGAATTTCAAAATAATTATGCTGAGTGAAAGGAAACAGCCAACAAAAAAAAAAAGAATAAAAACTGAATGATTCCGTTTACTAATCTGCAGTGACCAAAGGAATATCAATGGTTGCCTGGAATGGAAAAAGAACAGGGAGTGGCAGGTGGGAGGAATTACAAGGAGGCACAAGGAAACTTTTTGAAGGAGTAGATATGTACATTATCTTGATTATGTTTCATGGGTGCACACATATCTCAAAACTTACCCAATTGCACACTTTATGTGTAGTTTATTATTTGATTACATTGTACTTAAATATAGCTGCTTTTTTAAAAGCTTTATCTGTATGCAAACAAGTTTTATTTTGAATTCCTGGAGCCTACATTCTAAGCATGTTTTTGTGTGTGTGTTTTTTGTTTTTGTTTTTGTTTTAAGACAAAGTCTCACTCTGTTGCCCAGGCTGGAGTGCAGTGGTACTATCTTGGCTCACTGCAATCTCCACCTTCCGGGTCTAGGCAATTCTTCCTCAGTCTTCCGAATAGTTGAGATTACAGGCATGCACCACCATGCCCGGCAAATTTTTGTATTTTTAGTAGAAACGGGGTTTCACCATATTGGCTAGGCTGGTCTTGAACTCTTGACCTCGTGATCCACCCACCTCGGCCTCCCAAAGTGCTGGGATTACAGGCGTGAGCCACTGCACCCAGCCTAAGCATGTATTTACAATCTGCATATATAGACCAGGATATTTCTAAAAGTGATAGAGGCCAACTCCTTAGGTGCCTAGTGGGCTTTCCCTGAGAGGGGCATGTTCTGCTGTGGGAGAAAATGGAAAGTAGGTTTCTCCTAAGATCCATTTCTATCTTCAAGGGCCTAGAAAAATGGGCAGCCACACCTCACAAAGGGAGAGCCGATTAGCAGAGGAGCAATGTTTTGCCAGGCATATTCCTGGTCACTTGAGGTGTCCCCCAATTAGGATGGTAACTGGACTAACATTTGGGGCCTCCTCAAATCACATTCTCTTGCCGTACTTGCAAAGGCCTCTCATTCAAAGGAGGATCTGCTTTTCCTAGTCTTAATTATCTTTCAAGAGAAGAACCTTAAACCTTTGTTCCTGAACATTTTCTTGGGATATAGCACTGAGTATACGACTCTATTATAACTTTTAATGCGATCCTTTGTTTAGAGCTTAATTTATACATTTATAAGGATGATAAAAACTATATATCTAGCTCCCGTTGAGGTGCCCTAAATCTTTTACACACACTGTCTTATTTAATCCTTAGGACAATCCTGTGTGTGGTATTATTACATATATTACAGATAAGAAAACTGAGGATTAAAAGGTTGTTTGCTCAAGGAAATACTGTGCTATTTTAGGAATGGATATTTAAACCTAGATCCAGCTGACTACAAAGCCAGTGATACAAACTACTTTTCTATTGCTCATTTATTGATTGCTTCTTTTTTCAAAAAAATTGAGACATCTTGTTATAAACACAATATAAATTAGTATACCTTTCCATTGAAATTGTGCCCTAGAGGAAATATCTGTTTCTTACAGTAGACCATGAGGGCTGAGAACTCTTCTTGATCAATTTTTCACTAATTCCTGATACAATGTAGCTACATAATAAAGTTTGGCCAAATGTGTATGTTAAGATAATCCAGGCCTAGAGAATTTTGCTTACTGTTAAAAAAAAAAAAAAAAAAAAGAAATAGAGAAGAGGAATAAAGGAGAAACTTTCTCGTTTATATATCTCCTAAGAAGGAGGGCAAGTTTAAATGTTCAAAGTAAGAAAGTTTTCCACTTTGGCTTTAGAATGGTGTTACACTGTTTATATATATATATATATATATATATATATATATATATAAACTTTAAGTTCTAGGGTACATGTGCACAACGTGCAGGTTTGTTACCTATATATACATGTGCCATGTTGGTGTGCTGCACCCATTAACTCATCATTTACATTAGGTATATCTCCTAATGCTATCCCTTCCCCTTACCCCCACCCCATGACAGGCCCCAGTGTGTGGTGTTCCCTGCCCTGTGTCCAAGTGTTCTCATTGTTCAATTCCCACCTATGAGTGAGAACTTGTGGTGTTTTGTTTTTGTCCTTGCCATAGTTTGCTGAGAATGATGGTTTCCAGCTTCATCCATGTCCCTACAAAGGATATGAACTCATCCTTTTTTATGGCTGCATAGTATTCCATGGTGTATATGTGCCACATTTTCTTAATCCAGTCTATCATTGATGGGCATTTGGGTTGGTTCCAAGTCTTTGCTATTGTGAATAGTGCCGCAATGAACATACGTGTGCGTCTTTATAGCAGCATGATTTATAATCCTTTGGGTATATATACCCAGTAAAGGGATGGCTGGGTCAAATAGTATTTCTAGTTCTAGATCCTTGAGGAATCGCCACACTGACTTCCATAATGGTTGAACTAGTTTAGAGTGCCACCAACAGTGTAAAAGTGTTCCTATTTCTCCACATCCTCCCCAGCACCTGTTGTTTCCTGACTTTTTAATGATTGCCATTCTAACTGGTGTGAGATGGTATCTCATTGTGGTTTTGATTTGCATTTCTCTCATGGCCAGTGATGATGAGCATTTTTTCATGTGTCTGTTGGCTGCATAAATGTCTTCTTTTGAGAAGTGTCTGTTCATACCCTTCACCCACTTGTTGATAGGGTTGTTTTTTCTTGTAAATTTGTTTGAGTTCTTTGTAGACTCTGGATATTAGCCCTTTGTCAGATGAGTAGATTGCAAACATTTTCTCCCATTTTGTAGGTTGCCTGTTCACTCTGATGGTAGTTTCTTTTGCTGTGCAGAAGCTCTTTAGTTTAATTAGATCCCATTTGTCAATTTTGGCTTTTGTTGCCATTGCTTTTGGTGTTTTAGACATGAAGTCCTTGCCCATGTCTATGTCCTGAATGGTATGGCCTAGGTTTTCTTCTAGGGTTTTTATGGTTTTAGGTCTAACATTTAAGTATTTAATCCATTTTGAATTAATTTTTGTATAAGCTGTAAGGAAGGGATCCACTTTCAGCTTTCTACATATGGCTAGCCAGTTTTCCCAGCACCATTTATTAAATAGGGAATCCTCTTCCCCATTTCTTGTTTTTGTCAGGTTTGTCAAAGATCAGATAGTTGTAGATACGTGGCATTATTTCTGAGGGCTCTGTTCTGTTCCATTGGTCTATATCTCTGTTTTGGTACCAATACCATGCCGTTTTGGTTACTGCAGCCTTGTAGTATAGTTTGAAGTCAGGTAGCATGATGTCTCCAGCTTTGTTCTTTTGGCTTAGGATTGTCTTGGCAATGTGGGCTCTTTTTTGGTTCCATATGAACTTTAAAGTAGTTTTTTCCAATTCTGGGAAGAAAGTCATTGGTAGCTTGATGGGGATGGCATTGAATCTATAAATTACCTTGGGCAGTATGGCCATTTTCACAATATTGATTCTTCCTACCCATGAGCATGGAATGTTCTTCCATTTGTTTGTGTCCTCTTTTATTTCCTTGAGAAGTGGTTTGTAGTTCTCCTTGAAGAGGTCCTTCACGTCCCTTGTAAGTTGGATTCCTAGGTACTTTATTCTCTTTGAAGCAATTGTGAATGGGAGTTCACTCATGATTTGGCTCTCTGTTTTTCTGTTATTGGTGTATAAGAATGCTTGTGATTTTTGCACATTGATTTTGTATCCTGAGACTTTGCTGAAGTTGCTTATCAGCTTAAGGAGATTTTGGGCTGAGACAATGCGGTTTTCTAAATATACAATCATGTCATCTGCAAACAGGGACAATTTGACTTCCTCTTTTCCTAATTGAATACCCTTTATTTCTTTCTCCTGCCTGATTGCCATGGCCAGAACTTCCAACAAGCCAGAAGAGAGTGGGGGCCAATATTCAACATTCTTAAAGAAAAGACTTTTCAATCCAGAATTTCATATCCAGCCAAACTAAACTTCATAAGTGAAGGAGAAACAAAATCCTTTACAGACAAGCAAATGCTGAGAGATTTTGTCACCACCAGGCCTGCCCTAAAAGAGCTCCTGAAGGAAGCACTAAACATGCAAAGGCGCAACTGATACCAGCCACTGCAAAAACATGCCAAATTGTAAAGACCATCAATGCTAGGAAGAAACTGCATCAACTAACGAGCAAAATAACCAGCTAACATCATAATGACAGGATCAAATTCACACATAACAATATTAACCTTAAATGTAAATGGGGTAAATCCTCCAATTAAAAGATAAAGACTGGCAGATTGGATAAAGAGTCAAGACCCATCAGCGTGCTGTACTCAGGAAACCCATCTCATGTGCAGAGACACACATAGGCTCAAAATAAAAAGATGGTGGAAGATCTACCAAGCAAGGAAACAAAAAAAGGCAGGGGTTGCAATCCTAGTCTCAGATAAAACAGACTTTAAACCAACAGAGATCAAAAGAGACAAAGAAGGCCATTACATAATGGTAAACGGATCAATTCAACAAGAAGAGCTAACTATCCTAAATATATATACACCCAATACAGGAGCACCCAGATTCATAAAGCAAGTCCTTAGAGACCTACAAAGAGACTTAGACTCCCACACAATAATAATGGGAGACTTTAACACCCCACTGTCAACATTAGACAGATCAACGAGACAAAAAGTTAAGAAGGATATCCAGGAATTGAACTCAGCTCTGCACCAAGCGGACCTAATAGACATCTACAGAACTCTCCACCCTAAATCAACAGGATATACATTCTTCTCAGCACCATATCTCACTTATTCCAAAATTGACCACACAGCTGGAAGTAAAGCACTCCTCAGCAAATATAAAAGAACAGAAATGATAACAAACTGTCTCTCAGACCAGAGTGCAATCAAATTAGAACTCAGGATTAAGAAACTCACTCAAAACCTTTCAACTACATGGAAACTGAACAACCTGCTCCTGAATGACTACTGGGTACATAATGAAATGAAGGCAGAAATAAAGATGTTCTTTGAAACCAATGAGAACAAAGACACAACATACCAGAATCTCTGGGACACATTCAAAGCAGTGTGTAGAGGGAAATTTACAGCACTAAATTCCCACAAGAGAAAGCAGGAAAGATCTAAAATTGACACCCTAACATCACAGTTAAAAGAACTAGAAAAGCAAGAGCAAACACATTCAAAAGCTAGCAGAAGGCAAGAAATAACTAAGATCAGAGCAGGACTGAAGGAGACAGAGACACAAAAATCCTTCAAAAAATCAATGAATCCAGGAGCTGGGTTTTTGAAAACATCAACAAAATTGATAGACCGCTAGCAAGACTAATAAAGAAGAGGAGAGAGAAGAATCAAATAGATGCAATAAAAAATGATAAAGGGGATATCACAACCGATCCCTCAGAAATACAAACTACCATCAGAGAATACTATAAACACCTCTACACAAATAAACTAGAAAATCTAGAAGAAATAGATAAATTCCTGGACAGATACAGCCTCTCAAGACTAAACCAGGAAGAAGTTGAATCCCTGAATAGACCAATAACAGGCTCTGAAATTAAGGCAATAATTAAGAGCCTACCAACCAAAAAAAGTCCAGACGGATTCACAGCCGAATTCTACCAGAGGTACAAGGAGGAGCTGGTACCATTCCTTCTGAAACTATTCCAATCAATAGAAAAAGAGGGAATCCTCCCTAACTCATTTTATGAGGCCAGCATCATCCTGATATCAAAGCCTGGCAGAGACACAACAAAAAAAGATAATTTTAGACCAATATCCCTGATGAACATCGATGCAAAAATCCTCAGTAAAATACTGGCAAACCGAATCCAGCAGCACATCAAAAAGCTTATCCACCATGATCACCTGGGATGCAAGGCTGGTTCATCGTATGCAAATCAATAAACATAATCCATCACATAAACAGAACCAATGACAAAAACCACATGATTATCTCAATAGATGCAGAAAAGGCCTTAGACAAAATTCAACAGCCCTTCATGCTAAAAACTCTCAATAAATTAGGTATTGATGGGACATATTTCAAAATAAGAAGAGCTATTTATGACAAACCCACAGCCAGTATCATACTGAATGGGCAAAAACTGGAAGCATTCCCTTTGAGAACTGGCACAAGACAGGGATGCCCTCTCTCACCACTCCTATTCAACATAGTGTTAGGCTATTTCTATTTGATTTGTCAGGAAATCTCAGAAGCACTAATTTGACTACTGCATCAGGAACTCTGGAATATCAGGATGGGCCTACAGGGCTGAGACAAATGTAGAATGCAATCGTTGCGCACCAGAACCACCAGAAGAAAGAAAGAAAGAAAAAGAAAAATAAAGAGACAAACAGAGAGAAAGAAAAGAAAATAAAGAGAAAGAAAGAAGAAAAAGAAGGAAGAAAAGAAAGAAAGAGAGAAAGAAAGAAAGACGAAGAAAGAAAGAAGAAAAATAGGGAGGCCATTGATACCAGGACTATTTCCACGAAAGTCGGGAAGTGCACCCTGAGCTAGGTTAGTTTTACAGTACTGAATCAGCATTGGGGTAATGGCTAAGAAAGTACAATGCCAGATAAAAATAGCAACGGTAACTACACTTATTGAAATCTTACTGTGTTCCAGGCACTGGTGCTAAGAGCTTTGTATGTATTGTCTCATCTCTTCTTTCCAACAGCCTGGTAGTGAATCTATAGGAACTATTACACCTGCATTTTACAGATAATAAAACTGAGATACAAAATGTTTCAGTAACTCGCCCAAGATTAAACAAACAGAGACAGATCTGGCATTCTTAACTCCTGCACTATGATAAGACACCACAGGAAGTCCCACACTGTCACCCTGGTGTTGATCAGCTAAGGCTGGGTGTTGGGAGAGTTGGGCTGTAGTGCTACTCCTAGCCGGTGTGAGCCCTTTTGGACCCAGAGGACAGGGGAGACTAGAGGTAGGTGATTCTTCCTCCTAATGAGTCATATTTCCGTGTGTTGGAGGGGGCAGGGGAACAAGTCAGAATCATACTTAGGACAAGGGGTGGGAGGCACTGGGGTGTTCAGAGTTAGAATTCCCAAAGAAAAAGGAATGGGGAACTACAGCAAACCACGTTTTCATCTGGACTCCTGTAGGATCCCATGTTTTTATTGATTCTTCACATAGTGGCACATTCAGCATACAGTTTTGTTGAGTGCCTACTATTTACCAGGCACCGTGATATCAGTGCATAGTAATGATCTGGTTTCTTCTCCTCTAGTTCCCCAACTGCTTGGGAGTTCTCTGTGTAGTCAGTAAGGAACAAAATGCCTAGCATGTCTAGGTGAATGAAGAACGACTTGGATTTAAATCCTGGATCTGTCACGTGATAGCTGTGAAGCCTTGGCCAAGTACTTAATTTCTCTAGATCTTAGTTACCCTGAATGTAAAGTGAAAATTTTATGTTTTGTAAGTACATAAAGACCAAGGGAAATAATGCTTGTGAAAGCACTTTATAAAATGCAAAGTGCCATGTAAGTGTTACTTCTTGCTCTCTTTAGTTTCCTCTCTGGCTCTCCCTTCCCAGTTCTAACCTACTTCCTTCTTCCTCAGTGCTTTAACCACCCCCATTCCTGTTATTTAGTTACATAGCATTTCTTTAAATTGTTCCTTTTTGAAGAGCAGACCAGAAGCAAAACATAATGAGGAGGTAAACATGCACTTCAAGGACAAAATTTACTTTGCAAGCACAGGCAAGTGGATCCTTCCTCATAATTTTTGCATTGCTCACTCACCATCCAACTGTTTCTCTGTGAGAGGGCTGGAGAACATGCTGTTCTTTGTGTTTGTGCTTTGAGGACCAGGTTAAAACAATGAGGCAGATTCTGAAGGCTTCATCCAGGGAAGCTCTTAGAGCCTCTTAAATGCCTATTCTGTTCTGTCCTTCAGAGCCAAGTCAATCCCCAGGGCTGGGGCACAAACAGAATGTACTGTCTCTCCAGGGCCACACGAGGCTCTTCCACCCCAGCTCATGGGGAGAGCCTCAAGAAAGCTGTGGCTCTGCAGTTTTGACCTCATTTCACTGTTTCTAAAGGAGTTGGCCTTGCAGAGCCATCCATGAGGATCTGAGCTCTCTGAATTTGGCCACCTGATGCAACATCCTTTTTAGGACCTGTGGGCATCCTGCACAACAGCCCAGAACCAGAGCTGAAGTGAGAGGGGGCTACTTACATAAAGGTAACTTTGGTCTGAAAGACAAAACAAGCACCTACCACCATCAAAAAATTTAAGTAGCTTGCCCAAGGTTGAACAAATAGAGGAGACAGAGCTGGCATACTTAACTCCTGCACTACGATAAAAGTCACGTTTGTGAAAGTCACCTGTGTGCTTCTTCTAAAAACACATACTAGTGTGATTCCTCTAAACTATCAGTAAGGCAGTCATATACCTTCACCCACTCCCCAGTGCCTGTGGGCTTCTAATCCACAACAAATCCTTTGTGATCAGGATCCTGTTCTAGCTTCAGTCACCTTGTATCCTCTTCTAGAAATTCCTCATTTTTCATTTCATTCTTCTTTGCCTACCACGTACTATCTGCTAGGCATCTGTTCCTTGAGAAATTCCAACAGATCCATCAAGATCCAACTCAAATGTAAAAGATACACTGGTTCATCTCAGAACAATGCCTTGTTGAATGTTGAGACAACACTTTATTGGTGCCTCTGTTATAAAACTCTTGTGGACCTCCTCCCATGACTTTGACCGTGTTGACAGCAAAGAACCCCATTCCACTTTGTTTTTCAGAGTTTGACAGATAAGAAACAGTGGTTTCTGGGGCACACTTTAAGGCTTCTCTTGTCTCTCTATCCCCACACCTATTTCCCTACTTCTATGGTGGGAGAATCTTCAACTAGGTTTACCAAATTCCACTGGTGCCCAGAACACTGGAATTGGTCATTGTTCTTGTGGGGAGTTCTTTCAAAATGCAAGTGATAATGGTTATATTAATAGCATATCTGTGAGCTGTCCTACTTTCTCCTGATCTTTTTCTCCTCTGTTCTAATCCTTTCCAATTATCTGACTAAAGGCTGAGTCTGCATCATGACTGGGGTGGTAAAAGGACCCCTGGATTGTGTCAAGCATCTCTTATGCTTCCTTGCTTACTCCTTTTTCTTGAACACTAATAGATGTTGTCTTTTGGCCTATCATTCCTATTGCTACAGATAATTGGGTCTGTGTATTGCATGAAGCTGCAATAGTTTTAGGATTTGCTTGGTTTCAAGGCTATTTAACCTTAAGTAGTATAGAAACAATACACCGTCCGTGTGTTCTAGCCTGCTTACTAAGTTCTGCCATGTGGAATTTGAGGCCACAGCTCTAAGTGACATTAAAGGGTTGCTTTGTCTTGCTTTGCCTCTTCACACATCTATTTATTCCAGGAACCTCAAGTTACTGAAAGGATGGTTGGGCCAACACAGGATTTAGGTTTCTTGATCAACACACATTCTTGCTATCATACAAATGTTATCTCTGCAAAGCATCCCAAACATACTGCCCCAGCAGATAAGGAAATGAATCAAATTATCCCATTTCCTTCGCTCAAAGCCCTGATGTTATCTTCAGCTCCTGTCTTTCTTCTGCCTTCTGTCCAGTCAGCTCCTTAACTCCTGTCAATTCTACCTTACTAAACTGCTTTCTTGACCTGTACCTCATCTCATCCCCACCTCAATTGTCCCTGGCATACTTTGGATGCTGGGAATCCTGCACTTGGATTACTAAAATGCTCTCCTAACTGGACATTCTCAGTCTATCCTTATGGTAGCTTGTAATGAGCTTCCTAAAAGCACAATTCAAACCTTGTTTCCCCCACTACTCAAAAATTTTAGAGGCCCTTCACTATTCATATCAGAATACTTAGGCTTATGATAAAACAAAACAAAACAAAACAAAACAAAAACAACCATCCTGTACAATGCATTTTTTGGGAGGGGGCAGTTAACAATTACACAAACCTGGAATTAACATTCAAATATTGGAAGATTGCTTACAAAGATACAAATTTCCAGATTTATTTGAAAAATTAGACGATTTGACCACACTGAATCAGAATCCCCAAATAGCGGTCATCATCTAGAGGTGAGTTTGGGCTTTTTAAGTGATCTCTGTGCTCCTGAAGTCGTGGCAGATCCCTCCCCACACAATGGACACACATGCACATTCTCTGGCAAACTTTATACCCACATGGCTGATTCCTGTCAATAAAATGGAAACCTTTCTCTCAAAAACAAAATTCAGATGACTTCTCAATCTCATGTTTGAAGACTTGACCACTATGGTAGACTGAGTAATGCCTCCAAACATGCTCACATCCCTATCCCCAGAACCTGTGAATGTGTTACCTTATACACTAAAAGGGACTTTGCAGATGTGATTAAGTTAAAGATCCTAAGATAGGGAGATTATCCTGTTTATCAGGTGAGTACAATGTAATCACAAGCGTCCTTATAAGAAAAAAAACAGGAGGAAGAGATACCAGAGAGGAGATGTGACATGGAAGCAGAGATTGAACTGATTGAGATCAGAACCTAAGAAACTTTGGCAGCCTCTAGAAGCTGAAAGGGGCAAGGAACAAGTTCTCCCCTGGAGCTTCCAAAAGGAAGTGGTTCTGTCCACACTTTAATCTTAGCACTTTAGGACTTATATCAGACTTTTGACCTCCAGTACTGTAGGATAATTAGTGTTGCATTAAATCACTTATTTTTTGGTAAACTGTTACAGCAGTGATAAAACAACTTCACCCAAACTTGATTTTTAAAATTCACCTTCTAGGATATCTTTCTATACATTTGATGTATCACTGAGAAGAGATCACTCACCCTTCTCCCAATGCCATATAATCATACAATTTCTGAATTCATGAGTTTGCTTGAACATCTGTTTGGGTTGCCCATTTCCTCATCTCTCGAATCCAAATTCTTCACAGCTCTCAAATGCCACTTCCTCTTGAAACTTGTTCCTTTCCATCTGTTTGGCTTGACTCGATATAAGTTGATTATTTCATCTTTATACTCTTCTCCCATATTACTGGATGCTTGCAATGTGCCAGTCTTTATGTTTCTTATTTACTTTCATCTTCTTACATAATCCTCCCAAAGAGAGGCCCTTGCATGTGTATCTTCATGTGTGGACCCCTCAGCCTTCATACCCAAGTACCCTCTATT
The DNA here is from genome assembly GCF_000001405.40 of Homo sapiens. Taxonomy (NCBI): domain Eukaryota; kingdom Metazoa; phylum Chordata; class Mammalia; order Primates; family Hominidae; genus Homo; species Homo sapiens. The sequence continues at coordinate 79,798,557 of NC_000011.10, forward strand.
TTCTCTGCAAATCCCTGCCCCTTGACCACCTTCCATTTATAAGGGGTCCACACACATGACTGGCAGTCTTAACTCAGGAATATACACCAGAAGAGGTCTATGCAGGTTCTGGAAGAAGGATTGCACTATGTGGCTTAGAAAGTTTGGGGTTCTCTATATACAGAGTATAAACCAGAAGTGGGGCTCTGAGTACTCATGTCTCCTTGGTCCCACAGAATCCTCACCCTTTGAGGAAAGTCACAGCCAGAGGAGGGCCAGAATGGGACCCTCCAAAGTGCAGAGACTTGGGCAGAATCCTCTCTTCTCTGGGAGTGGAAAGTACTGGTTTAAAAGTCTTATGTTGATGACTGGAAAGTACTGGTTTAAAAGTCTAAGGTTGATGACTTATGTTCTCAACAGCATATACCATCCATGAGGGTAAAGACGGTAGTGTACTTTTCCTTTTGTCTCTGCATGACCCTACTAGGTTTTGGAACGTGTGTTGAATTGGTTCCCACTGAACCAAAATTCACAGTGTGGGTAGAAGGGTCCTGAAATTTCTGCCTTCCTATTCTACGTTAGTCACTAATCTAAGTGTTTTACACACGTTCCCTTATTCAATTCTCAAAAACTTTTGAGAAAGATATTGAAGATTCAAAAAGTACATTCCAGGTAAAGTAAGTAACTTAGTCAAGATCACATGGCCATTAAGCGGTAAATTTGAACTCACATCTGCCCATTTCCACCTGTCTATTTTATGCTCCTTCATGAATGCACTAATTCTTCTAGTAGTGTTTTATTTGGTGCTTACTATGTGATACGTATTTCAACTGATTGCTGTTGATATGCTATTGAGTAAGTCAGATATTGTCCACGACCTTATGGAGCTTATATTCCACTGAGATAGTCTCAGAAATAATCACATTTCTATGTGATGTTTCCTAATAGAATAAGTAGATAGTACACAGTCTTTCACAATACAGCCTCAAATTGCTAAAAGTAAACCTTCAGTTGGTGTGACAAGATGTGGGAAGCAGTATGGTCAATAGCAGGCAGGTCTCAGAACCCCTCAAACCATGATATATTGGCCCATTTATTCCCATTTACAGAGCTTTCCAAGCTATAAAAATATACAATTAGCACACTTTTGTGAATAACAATAACCCTGCATTATAGAGATTATTTTTTATATTTCTCAGACTGGAATGGTCTCTATTAGAAAACTTGCAAGCATTTGGTAATGTGATGGAATTAAATTTATTAATTTAACATGGCATTTGATTTACTCTATTATTAGTATGAATATGAAAATTACATTTGGCATGATATATCAGCATGATAGTGTTTGGGGATAGTGTTAACTCCTCTGAACCCAATCTCAGCTAGGCAAATTGACACCAACTTTTGCACTTAAAAATATTACACACAAAAGTGCAAAAATATTAGAAAATTTGTTCAAGGTCACCCAGCAAATCAGAGGACAAGGTGGATGGGGAGGTAGAAATGAGAGGTTTTATGAGAGTAGTCCTGGTTGCTGAATGTGTGGTGTGTGTGTGTGTATGTCTCACACATCTTTCTCCACTCTTTCATCTAACATTTTACAAAGAAAGAAGAAAATGCTTTCAGGATCTGCATATGGTGTGAGGAGTGAATTCAGTGTTGCTTTTAATTGAAAGCTCTGAGGGTAAACCTTGCAGAGCAGAGTAACAGCTGTAACACATGCAACTGCCCCGCTATGCTTGTGTCACCATAATATGCAAGCTTATTATTTTTTAATTAGGAGCTTCAGTGTTTTGTTAAATGGTAAATGTGTCAGAACCTGGGGATTTTGTTATTCGCTAAACTATGTTGCATTTACTCTTCATGGAAGCTTTTGGGAGATACAAGGTCAGTTTGCAAAAGGCATGTTATTATTGTGGAATACAATAGTTAACATTTTTACTAAGCATTTGCCATTTTCCAGGCATTGGGATGAACGCTATTTGGATTCATTTATTAAGCCAACCAACCAACCAAATCATACATATTCTTTGAACTCTTACTATGGTCCAGGGACTGTGTTAGTGGCATTTTAGTGGATGGATAAGTGATGAATAAAGTCCATCAAGACTTAATTCTTTAGGATGTATAAAAACATAAAATATATGCTCATATAGCTGAAATGGAAAACATGCTCTGATTAGCACCATAATGGAAGAACAATTAAGTGTCTTCTTCCACTTAGTCTCCCTCCTCCCTAGATTTCCCCCATCTGGGTGAAAGTCACCTCTGTTCATCTATCTTTTAGCCCAAGGCACAAATGCTGTGGTCACTCTTGATTTCTTCCTCTCCTCTTTCCATGTATCAAGTCCATTGCCATGTGCTGCCAATTCAATCTCCAACAGATGCCTCAGTCATCTACTTTCCCATTATTCCTTCCACCTCAACCTAAGCTCTTTGCCTGCACTTTGCAATAACCTCTCAACTGTTATCCTCAATACCATTCTTGCTCCCTCTAATCCATTCTCCTTACTCAAGCTAGTGTGATCTTTGTCAAAACACAGATCAGATTGTCTCCCCTTTGCTTAAGAATCTTCAGTAGCTCCCCATTGGCTTATTAAATGTACTCTATAAGGCCCTGGCTTACCTGTTACCCTAAATCATCATTCTCCAATCCCACTAAACTTCTTTTGGTTTCTCCCATGCACTGCAGGGTCTTCAAAGTGCTGTTCCCTCTGCCTTAAATGCTCTTCCCACCACTTGTTACCTGGCTGGCTGCTACATGTCCTTCAGATCTCAGCTGGAAAAAATATTTTTCCAGGGAGAGCTCCCTGATTTTCAAGTCAAAAGTAGATCTCAATTACTTCTCTTTCTAGCATGTTGCTCCTCCTTCATAGCATGTACCACACACTCTACGTTGCCATATAATTTATCGTATGTTATATGCTTAATGTCCATGTCATACACCAGAATGGCAACTGCACACAACCTCAGTGCCTAGAAGAGAACCTGGGTCATATTTGGCATTCCGCAAATATTTGCTACAGGAATGAAAGAGTTAATACATTAATCCAGGGAATAGAACCTCTGCACATGGAGAGAAAGGAAAGACTCCTTTTGCTAAAGAGACAAGGTGGGGCACTTGGGAGGAAGCAGAATTTGGCGTTTGATCCTAAAAGATCCAGTCAGATTAGAAATGCGATGGGTGAGGAGATGACTGGGGAAGGTATTCCAAACAGAACAAATAGATGTATGTGTGTTTGAGTCTACGTCCTATTACCAGCTGTGTGGTCTGGTTGAATTATATTACCTCTCTCCTTTTCTGTAAACAATTAATACAGAATATGTCTCCCTCTCTGAACCCTTGTAGGAGTCCAGTGAGATGTGGACTATGAAAATCTTCTTAAGATCACCGACCAAAAAGGGACTTGAGAAGTATTTTTAATATTTGCATTTCAATATTTAATTGCGCATGTTTTACTGACAACTTTGTCCAAACTTCTGATCTTTTTCAGCTAGATCCCCTCCAAATCCAATGAATCCGTTTGTTTCACTGCTTTTCCTGCCCTCCCCTGGGAACCTATTTATTAGCAAATGCCATGGAAATACTTGGCCTGCTTCACATGAGTTATATATATCCTTCTCCGGTGTAGTGTTGCTGGCCATGCTCTTTGCACCTAGTTCCAGCTAGATTTTCTTTAATAATTATGTTTTGCAAAACCAAAATAACCATGTACACATGTAGATGACTTGGGTCTTGACTTAGCAATAGAGAGCTGGTAACCTTGAAGTGCTGAGGAACAAGGAAGTAAAGGACCTTAGAAAAGAAACTCAAGCTTTCCATTGCTCCCTGGTCACCTGTGTTGGCAGGAGAGGTGCCTGGTGCTTTTGAGGGCTTAGGGATGTGAGCTAATATTTACTTGTATGTAGGATATGATGAGCTTTTCAACAGTTGTATGGCTATGCATTTAATATCTCTGTTTGTCACCAGTCTATTCCAACCGCTATGGAAAACTGTCATATTTTGAGCATCTCTTATGGGCTAGTCACTTGGCTGTGTGCTTTAGCTGTTTTATTTTATTTAATCCTCAAAGAAACTCTGTGAAGCAAGTATTACTACACACAGTCGATGAATAAAGTCTTTTAGGGTGGTGGTTTCACACTGTGGTATTTCCCAGAAACCTTTGGAGGGCTTGTTAAACTATAGATTGCTGAGCTCTGCCTCCAGAAGACTCTCATTCAGAAGGTCTGGGGTGGAGCCTCTGAATTTGCATTTCTCACAAGATCACAGGTGATGCTGATGCTGCTGAGTCAGGCATCACACTTTTGAGAACCACTGTCTTAGAGAATCGGGGACTAGTATCCACAGGTAGTGTTCAGGAGAACTGGAAATCAAACCTGGATCCAGCAGAATCCAAAAATCATGCTCTTTTCTGCAGTATTACACTTGCTCATTTAAGTGAAGGCTGGAACATGAATTCCATTAGAGGAGTGAAGGTATGGGGGGAGAAGGAAAGAAAAAAGAAATGGAAGAAGGCATGAGACAAGCAGGTGGGAGAAAAGCCCCATCATGTTCAGTCATGAGGGCTTGAGAATTACCTTGGTGTACCTGACTTGGCCCACCTTGTGACTCAGAAGTTACTGAGTTCATAATGGAAAGGTATATATATTTGAGGTGGAGTCTCCACCATCACCCAGGCTGGAGTGCAGTGGCATCAACTTGGCTCACTGCAACCTCTTCCTCCCAGGTTCAAGTGATTCTCCTTGCTTCAGCCTCCCAAGAAGCTGGAATTAAAGGCGACCGCCACCATGCCTGGCTAATGTTTTTGTATTTTTAGTAGAGACGGGGGTTTCACTATGTTGGCCAGGCTGGTCTCGAACTCCTGGCCTCGTGATCCGCCCACCTCAGCCTCCCTAAGTGCTGGGATTAAAGACTTGAGCCACCGCGCCAGGTTTTTATATTTTTGAGGTAATATACCATCAAAATGATCTAGTAGAAGATGGAAAGAAGATAGTTAACATGAAGACAGTTTCTGAGTGAGACTCGATATTTTTCCTGAACCTAAATATAAGCAGCTTCCCCAAGTGTCATGGCCTTGCAGGTCACTTTGCTCCTCTGTCAAATTTTTTTCCATTAAATGTTTGTAATAATAATGCCCACCTAATAAAAAAGGTGGCAAGGATGACCTTTAAGCTATAGTGAACCATAAAGCACTTGGCTGATGTTAATTTGATCCTCTGTTAAATTTCAACAAGCTAAGAGTGATATCATCAAAAGCATTCATGGCTTGGATTCCTGTGAAGCTTTCAATGCCCCTACAGTAGGGTTAAGAGGCAAGTGTCACCTGCACCTGTATGTGTATTGCACCACTATTCACATTGGTAGAGATATGGAATCAACCTAAGTGTCCATCAAGGGATGACTGGATAAAGAAAGTACGGCCTATAGCTCTCCCTCTCCCTCTCCCTCTCCCTCTCCGTCGTCTCCGTCTCCTGCTTTCCACAGTCTCCTCGTCTCCGTCTCCCGCTTTCCAAGGTCTCCCTCTGTTGCCAAGGCTGGACTGTACTGCCGCGATCTCGGCTCACTGCAAGCTCCCTGTCTGATTCTCCTGCCTCAGCCTGCCGAATGCCTGGGATTGCGGGCGTGCGCCGCCACGCCTGACTGGTTTTTGTATTTTTTGGTGGAGATGGGGTTTCGCCGTGTTGGCCGGGCTGGTCTCCAGCTCCTGACCTCGAGTCATCTGCCTGCCTCGGCCTCCCGAGGTGCCGGGATTGCAGACGGAGTCTGGCTCACTCAGTGCTCAATGTTGCCCAGGCTGGAGTGCAGTGGCGTGATCTCGGCTCACTACAACCTCCAGCTCCCAGCCGCCTGCCTTGGCCTCCCAAAGTGCTGAGATTGCAGCCTCTGCCCGGCCGCCACCCCGTCTAGGAAGTGAGGAGCGTCTCTGCCTGGCTGCCCATCATCTGGGATGTGGGGAGCACCTCTGCCCGGCCGCCCCGTCTGGGATGTGAGGAGCGTCTCTACCCGGCCGCCACCCCGTCTGGGAGGTGTACCCAACAGCTCATTGAGAACGGGCCATGATGACGATGGCGGTTTTGTCGAATAGAAAAGGGGGAAATGTGGGGAAAAGATAGAGAAATCAGATAGTTGCTGTGTCTGTGTAGAAAGAAGTTGACATAGGAGACTCCATTTTGTTCTGTACTAAGAAAAATTCTTCTGCCTTGGGATGCTGTTAATCTATAACCTTACCCCCAATCCCGTGCTCTCTGAAACATGTGCTGTGTCAACTCAGGGTTAAATGGATTAGGGCGGTGCAAGATGTGCTTTGTTAAACAGATGCTTGAAGGCAGCATGCTCCTTAAGAGTCATCACCACTCCCTAAACTCAAATACCCAGGGACACAAACAGGGCCGAAGGCCGCAGGGACCTCTGCCTAGGAAAACCAGAGACCTTTGTTCTTGTGTTTATCTGCTGACCTTCTCTCCACTATTGTCCTATGACTCTGACAAATCCCCCTCTCCGAGAAACACCCAAGAATGATCAATAAATACTAAAAAAATTAAAAAAAAAAGTATGGCCTATATACACAATGGAATACTATTTAGCCATAAAAAATAATAAAATAATATCTTTTGCAGCAACGTGGATAGAACTGGAGGCCATTATCCTAAGTGAAATAACTCAGAAACAGAAAGTCAAATACTGTGTGTTCTCACTTGTAAGTGTGATCTAAATAATGTGAAGACACAGACATATAGTGTAGAGTGATAATGAAGTCTCAGAAGGGTGAGAGTGAGTAGGGGTTGGATGATGAGGAATTACTTAATGGGTACAATGTACTTTATTTGGGCAATGAATACCCTAGAAGCTCTGATTTCACCACTACACGATCTATGCATGTAACAAAATTACACTTGTCCCTCACAAATTTATACAAATTTTAAAACACAAGAGCTTCCATATAGATACAGATGTAGATATAGATATATAGTTATAGATATAGATATAGATAAATGAGGCAAGTTGAGGAGAAAGGTAGTGGGGCAAAAAGATGAGTACAAACCCTGAAGGGAATGTCCTAGGTCTCCTTAGAGAAGGGGAAAGGTGAGAAAGCCTCACACTGTACCATATTATAGTAACTTATTTTTATTTTATTTTATTTTTTGAGGTGGAATCTTTCTTTGTTGCCCAGGCTGGAGTGCAGTGGCATGATCTCGGCCCACTGCAAGCTCTGCCTCCCGGGTTCATGCCATTCTCCTGTCTCAGCCTCCTGAGTAGCTGGGACTACAGGTGCCTGCCACCACGCCTGGCTAATTTTTTTTTATTTTTAGTAGAGACGGGGTTTCACTGTGTTAGCCAGGATGGTCTCAATCTCGTGACCTCATGATCAGCCCGCCTCAGCCTCCCAAAGTGCTGGGATTACAGGCTTGAGCCACCGCACCCAGCCTACCTTATTATAGTACCTTATTAGCAGCACCCACCACCATGGATTGGTGACATTTATCTTATATAAATGCCTCAAGGCACAAATGGGAGCCAAACAGTAGAGTGGTTAAGACTGGGGGCTTCTATGTCAGCCTAACGTTCACATTCTTTTCTTAGCACTTTAACAGCTGTGTGACTTTGGGCAGGTCACTCCTGTAAATCCCTATTTCTTCTTTGTCAGATTGGAACAGCAAGACTACAACATAAGATTTCTGTTAAAATTAAATATCTTAATGCACTAACATACATTTAATAAAAAATTTCGGCCTGGCGCAGTGGCTCATGCCTGTAATCCCAGCACTTTGGGAGGCCGAGGCGGGCAGATCACAAGGTCAGGAGTTCAAGACCAGCCTGGCCAACATGGTAAAGCCCCATCTCTACTAAAAAAATTACAAAAATTAGCCAGGCATGGTGGTGTGCACCTGTAATCCTGGCTACTTGGGAGGCTGAAGCACGAGAACTGCTTGAACCTGGGAGGTGGAGGTTGCAGTGAGCCACGATCGCACCACTGCACTCCAGCCTGGGTGACAGAGCAAGACTCCGTCTAAATTAAAAAAAAAAAAAAAAGAGAGAGAGATAATTTCAAGGAATAAATGAATGAAGAGAAGAACACATACACACTTAATAAGATTCACAATTTTGCTGGGAGATGACTCAGCCCAACAGCTCCCTGAAATATGTCTCCTTCTTTCATCTGACTTAAACGTGGATTATTCCTTGTCTCCTTTTTGCCTCTGCATGAAGCTCCCCTCTTACTCCAGTGGTAAGAACACCTGAGAACATGGGTGAATTACCCCAGTAACTTCTCTCATGGTCACAGATGAAAACCAGACGGGAATGGCAGACAAGGTGACATTAAAGTATTGATGGAGAAAGCACCTGCGTTTGTATTTAAGGAAGCCAAATTGTGCAAGAAGTCATGGTGACCTCTGCTGTACATTGGGGAAGAAAAAAATAAGCAATTTACTTGCACATGGTCATGGAAAAACAGCCTTGGGGGAAAAATTACTTATGTAGTGAATTTATGTTGGGTTGTAAGACAGATTATACTATCAGCAGATGAGGTTGGAGGAGCAGGGAGGACGGATGGTGAGTGAAGTGGCTTGCATGGGGGAGGTTGCCTGAACTACATGTGAACCTTGAAATAGCTGGTGACATTTTTAAAAATGCTGGGTTAAAAACATATTATTTAAAAAAAAAGCTAAACCTGACATTTATTTTGCATGTATTTTATATTTACGTATAGCAATATTTGAAGTATAACAATAAAAATAGCATAAGTAGACATCTTGTTAAGAAGCAGGAATACCTGGAGAATTTTTAGCATTGCTGTGTATTGTTGGTCTCTTCTGTGGATCTCAAATTCAAATGCCTGGTGAGGCCAGACAGGGAGTGTTAGTGACTCCCATAGGACAAAGTCAGGGAGACAAGAAGGAATGGTGGGGACTGAAGTGAAATGGAATAAACACACCCTGTTAGAAGGGGGCAGCTGCTTCTCAGCTCCAAGCAGTGGAGGGCTTAGTGTTGAAAGATCTTCTTTTTGCTTCTTCAAAAGACACTAGAAATCTAGAATCTTGTGTGACACACCTGATAGTTTAATAATGGTTGAATATATTTTAAAGAACGCTATGAGTCAAACAAAATATTGGTTGAACACATTTTAAAGAACACTATGAGTCAAACAAAATGTACCTTTGAGTCAGGTCTGGCTGTCAGAAAGTGATTTCTGGTTTATGCAGACATAAGCAGGTACCACGTGTGGAAAGGATTCCCAAACCTGTAGGTTTTACCCAGGACTTTGTGTATTTAAGCCCCATCAGTCTTTCCACACACTGTGCAGCCAACACTTTCTGCATTAGAGGAAGTAAAGGCCAGTCTAGCTCTGCTTAGGAGAAGGCTTATGTGCACATGGCTTTGAAGTCAGACAGATCTATTTGGAGCTAAGGCCTGGCTCCATTACTTATTAGAACTATATGGGATTGGGCAGCCCTCAGATTCCTCATCTGAACCCAGGTAATAATAGTAACTAGATCAGAGGGTCATTGCAAAGATTAGATGAAATTATGCCTGTAATGTGTTCAGCAAAATTCTAGACATATAGTAAGCATTCAATAAATATTATTCCTACTAAAAAGAATCCTGGCCCCTCTATATTCCCTCATTAGACCTTTGCCTCATTCTTCTACATTTCTGCATTTACCTGACTCTTCATTACTCAGATTTGTGCCTATGTCCTGGTCCTACACATATCCTTTGCCTCAAAGGCAGGTTGACTTTTCAGGTTCCCACCCTCGGCACCCTGTTAGGCAGTAATTACACCCTCCTTTCTGATTACACTTAATGAATAATCTTAGGTAGTGGTTAAGTGTAGAATAATAGAATTTTCCACCCTTGGTGGTGCTGGTAGGAGCTTGAATATATATCTAGCTCAAACGTCTTCTGTCTAGAATCCCTTCTCTAAGGTCCCTTATAGAGTCTTCCTTGCCTTGTTTAAATTCTTCCATAGATGGGCCACTCACTACCTAGCAAATAACTTGTTGGACAGCTTGGACTATTATGACATTCTTTGTGAGGCTCAACTAACATAGACTCTCCTGCAGATTGTAACGTTTGCCCTAATTATCTTTCTCCTCAGGAGGAAAATAGAATGTGAATAAATGGAAGAGTACAGTGGGCTATAGGCATAGGTGTCTGAAGTTTACCATTTTAATTAGATCATAATGAAAATCAACTTATGTCTGAGTTATTGAGGTGTTCTATTCCTGACTATGCAGGGTAACACAAATTATGTGTATGTGAGAAATGTATATGTGAATTTGAAACTATTATGCATAAGAAAAACTTACTTTGTACAATATATAGAATTAAATCTACCAAGAGTTTTTAACTAAAATCGATTGATTATGTCTTTATGCAGAAAATCACTATAAATTATTGATGTAAGGTGGTTTGTTGTTTAGAAGTACAAACCACATGTCTCTATCTCCTACTGCTTACCATCAAGTGTAATGGTAGTGGTTGAGTTCCTTTTCCAATGATATAGAAGCCAGTGCTTGCTATATCTGTGGAGGATCATTTGGTTGTTGCTCATATTAAGCACCAATATGCTCTCATGCTAAGCTCGTAGGCCACTTACAAATAGAAAATTTTGAATAGCTCATTATGGCTTTGCATGTTTTGGCGTAACTTTAGAGGATAGCATTTAAACTTATAAATTAAGCTTAGTCAATATTTATTGAGCGCCTTCTATATACCAAGCACTATTTTATCCCTGAGAGTAAAATGTAAATAAAATATAGTCCTTTTTCCCTAGAGTTTTTTGGTGTAAAGATACCTAAACTGATAATTTTGAGATAATATGGGAAGTGCTATGACCGACAGGCATGCATCCAGCCCACGAGAATAGAGATAAAAATCAAGTAAAAAGTAGGACGAGATGATGCCTCATATGAATCGTGCAGGTTGAGTAGGAGTTAATAATGACAGGCAAGGTTTGTGAAGCACTAAATGTGTGTCAAACAGTAATCTAAGTGCATTTACACGTCTTGGCTCAGGAAATCTTTATGTAAACATTATGATGTTAGTGTTATTATCGCTTCATTTTTATGAATGACTAAATTGCAGCAAAGAAAGGTTAAGAGGGTAAGCTAGGGTCAAGTGAATAGTAAGTGGTAGAACCAGAGTCTGAACTCCAGAAATCTGACACCAGGACTGATAGTCACCATGGTGCACTGCTTTATTGTAGTGAAATGAAGACATATGTGAAGGTCATGCCTAGCAGAAGAAACAGCATGAAAAGTGGGAGGTATGAGCAGGTATTATGAGAACATAAAGTATGAAGCAGAAAGAGGCAGGAGGTAAGCAAGGGAAGCAATGAGTAAAAGGTTTTGAGAAAAGGGTCTTCTGGTTGCAGTTTAGGAGACTGCAGCAATGAGCCTATTAGGAGGCATTTTAATGGTTCAGGGAAGGGACGGTGAAGAGAAGGTGAAAGGAGAAGAAGCTCTCAAAATGACTGGGTTGACTTGCCTGTCAGTTTGGTGGAGGAACATCAAAGTCAAATTCAATCTAGTATTACAAAAATAATGTGACATTTCTGTCAAATGGAATAAACACATCTATTCCACTTTTTGCCATTTTATATTAGTAAAAATAGAAATTATTCATATAAACTTCAATAAATTAGTTTTTCTTCTTATATGCACAGACTCTCTTACTACAAATTCTCTAGATGGAGGTTTCAAGTAGCCTAGTCTCATGTATTAGGGAGAGAACATGGTAGTAATTGGTTTAGGCACCTGCAGAAAGGAAGGTGGGGCATTAGGAGATGGCTTCTGAAGAACTGGGCATGTCCTTAAGAAAATATAATTAAGGCCGGGCGCAGTGGCTCACTCCTCTAATCCCAGTACCTTTGGAGGCCAAGGCGGGTGGATCACTTCCGGTCAGGCATTCGAGACCAGCCTGGCCAACAGGTGAAACCCCGTCTCTACCAAAAATATAAAAAATTAGCCAGGTCTGGTGGCATGCACCTGTAGTCCCAGCTACTCGGGAGGCGGAGGCAGGAGAATTGCTTGAATCCCGGAGGCGGAGGTTGCATTGAGCTGAGATTGTCGCACTGCACTCTAGCCTGGGTGACAGAGCCAGACTCCTTCTCAAAAAAAAAAAAAAAAAAAAGTAAAGAAAAAAATTTAATCGAATCTTGACTAGAGGAAGGAAATCTTAACAGATTTCAGATTTATTTAAGTTCAACATGCCTGAGGAAGGCTACAGTCAGTCATATTCCTGAGTACACAGATGGACTATAGTTCCCAGACCTCCTTGCCTTTTGGTGATGCTGTATGGCTGAGTTCCACCCAAAGGAATGTGCCTAGAAGAATGACTGGCACATCTAGGCTCAGAACATAAAAATTCTGTTATTCTTGTTCTGTCTTTCTCTTCTGGTTTCAAGCAAATGAGCATGATGATTTTGGAAGCCCCATGTTGAACATGGTAGAGCCATAAAATTAAAGTGTCAGTCCCTGAGTCAGCACATAGATGAGAGGTGCTTACCAGTTAAGTATAGTCTTTGCACCCTACCTGAGTAAGAAATAAATGATGTTCTGCACTTTGTAAGGCTGAGGTGGGTGGATCACTTGAGGCCAGGAGTTCGAGACCAGCCTGACCAACATGGCATTTCTACTCAAAATACAAACAATTAGCCCGGTACGATGGCGCATGTCTGTGGTTCTAGCTACTTGGGAGACTGAGGTGGGAGAATTGGTTAAACCCAGGAGGCAGAGGTTGCAGTGAGCTGAGATCATACCACTGCACTCCAGCCTGGGCAACAGAGTGAGACTCTGCCTCAAAAAAATAAATAAATAAAATAAAGAAATGATGTGATGTTCCTTAGATTTGGGCGTTTCTGTTACAGCAGCTAGGACTTAGCTAATACAGTCATTGGAGAGAGATATATCTCATATATATATTTTAACATGTTTACATCATGTATATACACACACATATGAGTGAAAAATTTTTGAAAAGTCAGAAGCCTATTAGCATAAATCACACCCTGACCTAGGAAGATAATCAACTGTCCTGAACTCAGAATAGGTAGATATTGAAAACGACTCAGGCTATTGTGTTGCCTTCCACGGCTGTGCATGGGCTATGGGTCCAGAAGCCTTGAAGTCAAGCCTCGCTTTTATTAGCTCATCCTGGGCAACAGTTTAAATCCATTAACCTCAGATTCCTCTTTTATGAAATAGGGAAAGAAGACTGTTCTTGACTTCTTCCCAGTTGCTGTGAGGATGAAATGGGATTTGAGTTTGGATAGTCCTTCCTTCAGAGGCTGCAAAGTGCTCAAAGTTAATTATTATTACCTTCTTAATTACCAGAGACACATATGTGACTTATAGATCTTTTGTCATTCTTATTTCTTCCTCTTCCTAATTTCCTTCAAATGTTTCTATGTCTCAAGCGCCTAATGGCTTTCTCGGAAACTTGAAACATGTGTCAGTGCTACTTTTGTGAAAAGGAATAGGCTGGAAAAACCCAGGAAGGCATTTCCAGCCCATGGGAGAGGCCATTGGATTGGGATTCTGGCAAGCAGGAATGGTTAGATTAGTCTTCATCATCCTTAGGGTGGTTTACAGCATGGGTTTGGAATCAGAAATATTTTGGAGTAAACCCTGGTGTCCCTCATTTTCCAACTGTGTGACCATGGAAAACCCGGGCCATAGTTCTGTTATATAGAAAATAGAGATAACAATATTATTTCGTGGGGTTGTTATAAGGTTGAATTAATTAATGATGGTGCCTGGCATGTACTGACCACTCAATGCACATGGGCTATTGTTAACAGTTATTCTATCTCTGGGAGTTCTACCTCTCACAATCCTCTAGGAAGAACCAGGGAAGCCACCCTATAATTGCAACTGGCATTGCTTGTCCTTGTAATGTTTAAACATTACTTTTAATACTATGTTGAAATGTAAACACTGAAAGTGATTTGGGTTTGTTGTTGCCTTGCTAAAAGGATATACATCTTTCAGAAGCTTTTAAGCTCTCAAGTCACTCTTTCAGTCAAAGGCTGCCTCAACTTGAAATAATGAATTCCTTTATTCATTTACTTTGTCTTAATTGACAATAATAGCTACACTCTATTTTATATTTGCCTTTTCCTCCCTTTTCTGTATGCCTTACTCGGTGCTGCAGACTTGGAATATTTTTAATATGTACTTTTTCCCTCCCAGCTTTCTACGCCTTTGTTCATTCTCTGCAAAATATGGAAACAACGGTCTTGGAGCCACTAACTGGACCTGTGGGACCTTTCAATGTTATCTTATCCTCTCTAGGTCTTATTTCTTTCATCTGCAAACAAAGAGGAGGAACTGAATATTTTCTAAGGTTCCCGCTCAGACAGTTTAGAACTCAATTTATCTTGCACTTGCCATTCATTTATTCAGTGAACAGGTATTGATTTCATACCATGCATAGATCCCCATTGCAGCAATTAATTTGCTGCAGTATAATTGTTTGCATCTCAGCACTGGGGAAACAGATATAAAATGGCATAATCTCTGTCTTCAGGAGCTTACATTCTTTTAGGGGAGGTGCAAACAAACAATTTCACTGTAGTAATCTAACTACTGCAAGAGAGGCTTATGTAAGTTTCAGAAGAGAATATCAAAGTGGCCCTTGCCAGTGATGGGTCAGGGAAGGACATAGCCATTAAAATCATTTAAATAAGCAGGGAGAGATGTATTTAATGATTAATTCATGGTAGCCTTGCCCTCCAGAAGCTCTCAGTCTAATGCAGGAAATAGTGGGAGGGTCATCATTCAGTATGTCAAGCTCTGCGGTAGACGAATAAACAGTGCCATTCACACACAGAGGAATAAGTGACTAGTTGGTTCAAGTTACTATCCCTTTGAGCTATAAAACTGTTTGCTTCAAAATAAACCTAGAGGAAATTATCCACAGGAATATAATTTAAAAATAAAATATATTAACTTGTGACGTGACTGTTGTTTGCTACGTGCTAGACAGTATGCCAAGCATGACACAGTGGTACACAAGACATTTCTTCCAACATATGGTGTTAGGAGGGAAAACAAGAAATGAAACCTAAACTTGTCAAGAATTTAAAAGCAGAAATCCAGGCTTGTTGCCCTAGCTCCTCCACTTATTAACTGTGTGACCTAGAGAAAATCACTTGACCTCTCTACTCATCTCCCTGGTATGCAAACAGAGATGATAACAGGTACAAATGAGAGTTGTATAAGGGACAAGGTTCAAATAAAATAAGGGTTATGAAAGTGCTTTGTGGGCTGTTAAGGACTCTATTCATATCAGTGATTATATAAGGGAAAAAGAAGGAATTGGTCGTCCTTAACCCGAGATGAGAAAATGCAGTTATTTCCACACATAATGACCCATGTATCCTCAGGACTTCAAGGCCACGTACATGCTGTTGGCTCCACAATCTATTTCCTGATTAATCTCCTTTTTCAAATGCTGACCAATCATAACTGTCTATTGAACTTCTCTACTTGGGCTTCTCCCCAGGTAGAGAAGAGAATTCTCCCCAATTCAACTTCTTCCCTTTTCCCCCTCACTTCAGATTTTCTCTGGCTCCCATATTTCTCTTCTCAGTAAATAGTTCCCAAATCAGAACCCTCTCGTCTCTCAGCCCCATGTTCCACTGGTTGTGAAGTCCTGGACAGTTCTCAAGTTATCCCCATGCTCACTTCCACTACTTGATTCAGCAATCATCATCTCTCCTCTGAGCTATTACAATAGCTCCTTTAGTGTTGCCCCTGCCTTGAGACTTTATGCTCTCTCCTTTCCAATTCATCCATTCTACTATTCACAGAGTGATTCTTTACAATAATAACTAGATCATAGCACTCTTACCCTTAAAAGGCTTCAGTGACTCCTCATGGTGTGCTCTGATAGCTTAATAATTTAAGCTATTAGGAGAAACATGAGATTCTTTGTGACCTGGATCATGTCTCCCTTCCCAGCCTCAGTTTACTAATTCCTTTTTTAACAAGCTACTAATATTGAGCTTCCTATTTCTCTTCTCTGTACCTTTGCTCATGATATGCTATTGGCCTAGGAATCTCTTTTCCTTCTCTTTTACCAACAACTATTATTTAAATCAAAGTTCACCTCAAGTATCACTTCCATGAAGGAATTCTTGGAAATACGTGCCAGGAAGGAAGGCTTATGTCCTTCTCCTTCACACACATTGTAGCTGTATATGCTTCTAACACCATGCTTGTCCCACTGCACTTAGTATGGCATGGACTAACTCTTACTCATCTCCATGCGCCAGCACGTAGCCCAGGGCCAGATACACAACGGCTGTTCAGCAATGTTCGAAATGGCTGGTGGCTCTTCTGGATGCAAAGGAGCCCTCTTCTTGGAGTCAATAATTATATTTATGTATCTCTAGAATTACAAGCTGAAAAATATTTGCTCCCCAAATAGCCAATTTTCTGATACTTGCAAAATAACAGGGCCTTAGAATTTTGAAGGGGAATGAAAGTAAAAGGGAAGAAGACAATGAGGGAGAAAAGGAAGGAAAAAAGGAAAAAAGGAAGAGAAGGAGGAGAGAGAGAAAGGGCAAAGGATAATGTGAACTGATGAAAATAGAAGTTATTCCTTTAACATCTAGACATATCAAGAACTCCTTGTAAAGAAGGTCTGGTAGACTCTTCAGTTGATCACAAGGGAGACCCTTTGAAAAGATGGACCCTTATCTAGATCTAGTGCTCTTGATTTTTTTCTAATGCCATAATACCAATTTTCATGTATTCCAACATTATCATAAGTAATTTCTTAAGTAGCTCTCCTGATGATGTCATCTTGCCCAAATGTGCAGCTGTGGGTTGTCCTGTACATCTGAGTGGCATTACTAGATGAAGATCTGCAAAAAGAATATTCGAAAGGGAATGTGTTCTCATGTTTTGTAGTATTGAAAGAAGCCAGATGTTTGGATAACTTAGATCTCCTCCATCTAGAACTAAAGTAAGGATATGATTCTTTATGCTGATTTTGTGGTGTTCTTGTTTATTTTGTTTGATCCAAAGAAATTTTATAAAATCTCATTAGTCTCATGACTTCCTTGTCAATTGTCCCCAGTGACCTCTGGGAGTTCCTAAATAGTGCCTCCTGTGTGTCCACAGCCAGATGCAATCACAGCACTGAGCCCTCTCCATTTTTCTTCCTCCCCTGGATCCCACTCATATATGCACACTGCCAGTGGCTAAATTCTAACTAAAGAAGTAATAGTTCACAGAAATAGACTCTGATGTCTACAGAGAGAACAATGAACAAAATTAATCATTATGATCCTGTTTTTATGTTTATTGTGGAAGATTATCCTTTGTTAGCTTTTATCTTGGCTGCTGGTGCCAATGTAGGAACATGGCTGTTATAATAAAAACCAAGCCTTCTTGTAAGACTTCAAGCACATTATCAGCTACGGATGGTACTGATGACTCCAAAGGAGGCAGTAGACATTTGTGGAAACAAAAGATGATTGGGTCTGTCAGAGGAAGTATAAAAGTAACCCAGATTACTCACACTAAGCTAATTGTCCTGCTCTGGTACATACATTAGTTTTAATTTTGTCACTTGTGTAGACAGATACAATTATGCTGGTCAGCTATTTGCTTGTATTTCAAGGATAATGGATCTATTTCCTCCTTCAGAATGAGTGCGATAAGTTGTTGACTAAAAATTGCTGGCATTACTCTTAATTTGGGTTTTAGGCTTAACAGCAGCATTAGGAGAGATTGAGGTTAGACATTAAGAAACATTCTCACTGGCAGTACTGGAGAAATCTCTATCTCTGCTGATGTTAAAACGGTTCAGAAATTCTCACCTATCCAAGATAGAGTAAGAAGTTTCTTGCAAAAGGCTAGACTATGCTATTTCTGAACGTTTCCTCTGACATTGGGACTTTATGATATTGAGGGGTGGGGTATCTTTTATCCATTCATCCATCTATCTATCCATTCATCATTTATTAAACTCTCTGCAAGTTGAAGATTTCGTGTTTTTCAATAGGGAATTAATAAATGAAAAATAAAATTTTTGCCGTTGGGGAACTCATAGTCTAGTTGTAGGAAATAGACATATAAACAGAGCTAGACATATAGGAGTTAGCCAGGTAACTAGGTGAGTAGTGAGAAGGGAGGACATTTCAGGCAGAGTAGTGGTATATGCATGGAGGTATCAAAGCTCGAGGATAGAGCACACACCAGTTGATGCATAGCCAGACCTAGGGTCTATGCCATTGAGTTGTAAAAGGTGGGTTATGGGATGTTAGCAAGGACTAGATGATGGACACCCTTTGTTTGACTTTGTGGCAGGCCTGTGAGCAGGCTGCTCAGTTCTCCCTCCAAAAAATAGCCTGCTGCAAAGACTATTAACTCACTGAGAGCCACTGACTGTAACACTTTTTGATTCTTATGGAGTTCGTACTCTCCCGGACATGCTCCCAGCCAATGTCTGGCATAGTGGGGGTATCAGAGCTGGGCCATTGCTACTTCACATAGGACTTCTCTAACAGGCAATGTTTGCCCTGAGGCTTCCCAGTTAAAATGGCCACAACTTTCTCAGAACAGCCTGTGAGAGTGTCTTTGGCACTTCTCACTCAACACTTTCTCCTTTCCTTTCCCCCTGCATAGTGTCAGGACTGCACTATGATCTGATGCTCTTCCCACTAGTGCCTGCTCTCTCTTCCCCTTCTCCCTCGCAGGCATTTCCCTCCACAAATCTTGTATATTTGTCATTCTATCTTGGTGTCTACTTCCTGGAGAAGCTAAACTGGCATAGATTCAGTAACGTGTTTGGATTTTGAGCTGAAGGCAATGAGAAGACACTGAAGGGTTTTGCACAGGAAGACTGAGTGTTGAAACCTTTGTTACAGAAAGATTGTCGCTATAGTGTGGAGGACTGATTTAGGAAGAATGAGACTTGAGGCAGGGATACCCATTGAGAAGTGAGAAAAAAATATTTGAAATGGAGCAAAAGCAGAGAGCAGCGTGGGAAGGAGGTTAGAAGAGATGAATAAGGAGGTAGAAACAACAGGGATTGGTGATGCACTGGTTGTCAACTGCAATAGAGGGAGAGTAGAAGATGATGGGGGCATATCAATGGTTAAGCATGCCATGTGCCTGGCCTTGAGGAATTCTTGGGATGTGGTTTGCTACTGGAGAATCCTCACATGAGTGTAGAGAGGGGAAGGCGGCAATTTCCTGTGCTCCTTATGCTATATTTCCCCTCCACCAGGATGGACACTCCAGCTAAGGAGAGCACCAATGAGGTCCCCGCCTCTCAGGAACTAGGCTGAAGGTTTGGGGAAACTGAGGCCTCAGTTGGTTGAGTAACACTCAGTGGTTGACAGAAAGAGAGGTGCCTGAGGCAGTGGTGGTGTCAGCCTGTCTAACATAAGGTATATAAGGCTGTAGGAATCTGTATTAGTTTGCTAGAGCTGCTATAACAAAAGAACCCCAAATTGGGTGCCTTAAAGAACAGAAATGTATTGTTTCAGAGTTCTGTAGGCTGCAAGTCTGAAATCAAGGTGTCAGCAGGGCCATGGTCTCCTCACTGGAGACTCTAGAGAAGAATCTGTTTCTTACCCTTTCTTAGCTTCTGCTGTCATCACATGGCATTCTCCCTGTGTGTCTTCACATCTTCCCTCTGTGTGTGTCTTTCTTTGTGTCTCTTCTCCTCTTCTTATAGGAACACCAGTCATATTCGATTATAGGCTGACCCTCTTCTAGTATGACCTCATCTTAATTATCTGCAATGACCCTTTTTCCAGATAAGGTCACATTCTAAGTTCTAGAATAACATAAATTTGAGGGTCACTATTCAACCAAGTTCAGAAGCCCCAAGTGAAAACTTAGCAAATCCTTGAACGCTTTACTATACTAACATTACCTTATGAAATTGTGAAAACTACTTTTACCAAGCCTAACTAGATCTAAAATCTGGTTCTGGCTGCAATTTCTTCCTACACCATCAGTGTAGCATGTATATCTTTGTAACCAGTCTGGGGCCCACATAAGAATTTCTCTACAAGGTGCAAGAGGCTGGAGTCAGGCATCAGCTCAGGTGTTGGAGGATCTTCTCTCAATTTATCCAGAATTTCTGTCAAGTTTTCCATCACTCTGTTTCCCTCAACCTTGGCCAAGGCCTAGGGGCTTAGGGAGTGTTAAATTAACCTTTGAGCCTCTTACTGGTCTTTGGATATTTATTTCCTTTCCTAGTTGTTAGAAAGCATCCTGCCTTACTTGATCAAGCATTGGTATTGCTATATAAAGGAGAACTTTGATAATTTAGAGAATATCTCCTTTTTGTTTTCTCCCAGAAAACCCAAGTGTCAAGATTATTGTCTCATTGTGAACTTAAACAATCCAGAGTTGAAACTCCAAGTTGAGCTGTGATGCCTTTGTCCCTGGCAATATCAGTCCTTGGGAAAGATACCAGTACAGCTATGTTAGCATCCAGTCTCCACCACCTTCTTTGTCACCTCTATTTTAGGAGTAAGATGAGCTAACTGTTTAAATTCCCTGTCTTTCAGCCATAGGTAGCTAAGGGATTCAGTTTAGGTTACAAACATCTAGGTGGAAGTTCGCTGGGGTATTTTAGGAAAGCTCTTGCTTTCCCTAATAAAAAAGAAAAAAAAAGAGGTGGGGACATCTCCTTCCCACTTCCTTCCATGCTTTCTGGATTAAATAGAGATGGGATGCTTAATGCTAAGGAAGCTGTCCTAGCACACTGAAGAAGAGATTAATGTTGACATTACTGAACCAATGTGAGAAAACAATCAACCTCTAAGTCATAAGTCACAGATAATTAAGAGGTGTGGCAAATTAATACCTAATTGTCCTGTTGCTGAGGAAATGAATAAAGCTGATTCAATGGTGGTGACTTCCAAGCAAAACAACCTAACAAAAACTACCTTGGCATCACATCTTCAAATTAGGATCTGAACTCTTATCACTTGTAAGTAGGTATCTTAGCCAACACTGGACCCTACGATTTTTAAAAATTTGATACAAATCTGAGTCCAGATAAGTGTAAACAGAACAGAGAATGTTAAGTAAAATTTAAAGTTTTGAGCCTATAGAAGTAAAGAATTGCATTTACTTCTAGGACAAAGGTTGTTTTTCTTTCCTTTTTTTCTTTTTCTGCTTTAGGATAAATTATCACAATGAACCAGGCTTAACACTGGGCTTCCCCAAGGTAGGTATTACATAAAAACCTGTTAAATAAAAAATAGACCCTGTAGCAATGCAAATGTGAGGTAGTTGCCCACCCTTTGTCTTGGGACAGCATGAAGCTATCATTAAACCCTAAGGCAGCTGTTACATTTGAGATCATAAATTCTTTCTTTAAGCTGGAGCTGTGTTTCGAAGCTGCTCACCTCTTTTCTTCTTTTTTTTTTTTTAAGAGATCAGTTCTTCCTCTGTTACCCAGGCTAAATAAAATGCAATGGTGTGATCACAGCTTATTACAGCCTCAATCTCCTGACTCAAGTTATTTTCTTGCCTCAGCCTCCCAAGTAGCTGGGACTACAGGTATGTGCCAGTGTGCCCATCTAATTTTTAAAGTATTTTGTCGAGACAGGATCTCACTATGTTGCCCAGGCTGGTCTCAAACTCCTGGCCTCAAATGATTTTCCTGCCTCAGCCTCCCAAAGTGTTGGGATTACAAGCATAAGCTACAGTGTCTAGCCTTATTTTATCCTTTCTCTTGTAAAATTCTTGAAGGAGATGAGGAGTAGAGAGGAGAAGTGCAAGGCCTGGGGCAGACTCGGAGAGAGTTAAGGTGGTCTTGGTGTCAAAGCATAGCACAGAACCGAAGAGGGGGCCTTCATATTCCCTCTGAGCAGAGTCTGACACCTATCTAACATAACTGGAATTGGTATCTTTAGAAAGAAAAGAACTCTTTTGGTGGAATCCCAGGTAATATGATTAGGGATATCCTCAACAGTAGCAATAGGGAGACTCTTTTAGCTGGCTTCCAGGGAAGGAAGAATGTATTGGATGTCACTCGTCTCATTGTGACAGGAGGATTGGTTTGTGAGCATAAACTCTTGTGAAGCTCAGGAGCTCCCCCAAACAACGAGGGAATGCTTTACAGAGTAGATTGGCGTCTGGTTGTCCCATTGCTGGAGGCTTTATAATTTAAACTATCCCTATAGAGGTGACCTTGCTTTTTGCCCCAGGAGCATAACTATTAAAATAACAATTGGGAAACATAAGTGATATTTTAAGACTTTCTAGTAGTGGGTTATAATAATGGTCCTGATTTTTTACACTTCTTTGTAAGCATAACTTTTGCTTATGTAACTTGGCATGGCCCTCCCCCTAGATCAGCCACCAGCTGGTCAACCCTTAGACAGTGGATTCATCTAGTCAACCCCGTATAATTTTGATATGTGAAAACACTGTTGCATGCCACTGGGTTTTAAAGGTTGTTTGTTATGCAGCAGTATAAGGCAATTGATAACTAGCACATTCTTTAAAATGAGTGATATTAGGAATGTCACTGAGTCTCAGTTTTGTACTTTTTTAATCTATAAAATAATTATAACAAGACCTATCCCACCAGAATATTTTGAGTATTAAATAAGGTGACTCAGCATGTAAGATATGGTTATTTCCTGGAAACACCAAAGACTAAGTATGTGGATTTTAAGATCGCATTATAGGACAGTCATCCACATCTCAGTCCCAGGGATCACGTTCCAAATAATATTTCTGTATCCCAAGCGTTGTGGATGTGCTGCACATGGGCTACCTTTCAGTGCATTCCAAGCTTCAGAGGGTGACACTAATAGAGATTTTCTCAAATTAAATTCTAGTGTAAACTAAGTGTTTGCAGAATTCATGTTACCAATGGGTGAGGCAAAGAAACCAGGAGGTGAAATATCACCTTTATGATATCGATTGGAAAAGACTTCATGGAAAAGGTGACAAAGTAGAGAAACAGTGGAAATGGCATAAGCTTTAGAGGTGGGAGGCATTCAGTCAAAATCTGGGCTCATTTGCTAGCTATGGAACTTTAACAGGTTATCGAATCTCAGTGAGCTGTGGTTTTTCTACCTTATAAACGGGAATAAAAATAAGCATGTTGTAAAATGGTTAAGAATATTAAAGGTAATGCATGCATTTAAGCCATCTAAGATAAAGTAGGCCCTCTTGCATCTACATGTCAAAAACCTTGCCCCTTTTACTTGGTCTTGGAGCATAAAGACGTGGGGAACAGAAAGCCAACTAACATTAATAATTTTAGGTGCTGAACTATGAAAGCGAATTTGGATAAAGAAAGCAGCAAAAAACTTAGTCTTTTTTGTGTGTCAGTTTTAACGGACAGAATTTTTTTCTTTTGTTTTGTCTTACACTTTATTTAGATACAAGGTGTCCCAGAACAAAAGCTGGACGTTATTTTTAAATGTGCAAAACAATGATATGATTGGTATTCTATATTATCGTTATCACGTTGCCAAACACGTGAAAATTTTAGTATCAACTATCTGCTTTTCACGTATGTCTACTGCAATGCTGCAGTCTGACCCTGCTTTAAGTGTCTTTGCAGCGTTGACTCTAAATGTTAAATATGATGCTTTACATTTGTATAGCACTTAATAACTTAGGAAACTCTTTTCCAGATATTATTTAATTTTTGACCTCCTCAACAACTCAATTGAATAGCAATTCTTATCCACAAATTGAAGATGGGGAACAGGCTTTGTGTAATTAAATGGTGAGCCCAAAGTCACAAAATTAGTAAATACTGATCTAAACCACAAAGTGGTAAAGAAGATGTCAGGCATTCCCTAAGACCTTTTATATGTCTATTGCTATGTTAGGTTCTTTACTTTTAACTTCTTTAATAATCACAAAACACACAATCTTCTGTGGCAGACCAACTGGGTACCTCTTTATTAGTCACTGTCCCATCCTCCGGTCTGGCTCATGGAACTTACATTTTCTTTTCATATGTACGTTGAATTGTGTTTAAGAAAGAGGGGCTCCAAACCTAGCCTTAGAAGACAATTTATGGGCAGTCCAAACTGACCACGATGACCCACTGTTCTTTCTAGTGACTGGTGCGGAGATGGGCATAAGGTCCAGCTTAGCCAAAGATTTAAAAGAAGAGTTTTCTGGAAGTTTTGGAAAAGACACACTCCCCTTCTCCCCCAGTACCAATCTAATAAAAAGAGAGCAAAAGATACATAAGGAGAGCCCCCAGCTCCATCTTTCCTGCTGTGGGTGTTACCATATGAGGGTCTGAGTTTGGAGCCATGACAGCCATTTCAATCATGAAGAGAAATTAAAGCAAAGCAAAACAAAACAGAGAAGCTGAGCGACAGCCTTATACCTTTGAGCTACACAATGAGTCAATGTGGAAAAGCCGACTTTCGGATTTCTTATTATGTGAGTTAATTAAAAGTTTTTATTGCCAAAGGCACTTTTAGTCACATATTCTATCACCTGCTCTTGAAATAATCCTAGATGATTCAGCCTTACAAATAGGCATTGTGATCACTGTTGATAAAACTGATAAAACTGAGGAACAAAGAGTTTAAGTAGTCCAAGTGCACTAATGCAGAAAGTGGCAGATTTGACATTTGAACTTTAATGTGTCTGACTTGGGCCACAAGGTAAAATTGCCTAATTTATACTTTGGCCTGATAATGACTGTCTTTATTTTGTGCCTCTCAATGCTGGGGAAAGCAATGAGGAGAGGTGGGAAGAGTAGAGGACTCAGAAGTAAAAATTCAGACTTCAAGTTCTAGTTTTACCGTTTTGGAAGAGTGTTACTTTGGGCAAGTCTCTTGATCTCTCTAAGACTCAGTTTTTTTCATCCATCACATGAGGATGATAACCTCTGGCCTATTTCCTTCCAGGGCTATGGTGAAGATGACAAGAGAGAAGGTATGTGGAAATCTCTCTCTACTGTAGAGGATAAAAGATTCTTATTATTAGAGAAGATGTCCTCAGGGCAGACATGGTCTCCTTGTGATGTACAGTAGAGACTAAGGATACTAATGGCCCCTAACATGAGTATTATAATAATGTTATTGCTTTTGATAAATTTATAATTTGTAAGTTGTAAATTCAAACATTCTCCCCTCTGAATGCCATTCTGAAGGTTAATGAATGAAATACCTGATTTTTCAAATCCCAAGAGTTGGTGTTAATTGGAAGCAAACACACACCTTCAGGTTTGATCTCTCATAACAAGACAGTCAGATAACTTAACCTCAAAGCAATTCATTACTGCACCACTCAGAGTTCTGGGAAGACGGTAGACATTTCAAAGGATTTAGATGTGTGTGCGTGCTTGCCCCACCCATTCTCTTTGCAAAAATAGTAAACCAGAAGCAAGAAGAGGACCAAGGGAAATTTAAGGGAATAAGATAGAGAAGTTTTAAATAACTCGAAATATTAAATCCATAGGATCTAATTAGAAAACAGCCCTGGAGGTTGCCAGCATTTGCTAGTTATCCATGATAGAATATTTTGCAATATTTAAAAATCATTACCTGAAAGGTGATTTAAAGGTACAGGACAGTACACTCAGGGTCATGTGGAGAGATAATGATACAATAGAATGTAGAAGCCATATGATTCCAAAGGAATAAGATGTGTCTGTCATACACATACATACCTGAAAGGAACTATGAATTTTGGCTTCCTGAGAGAGGGACTTCAAATTCAAAGTCACATACAATTTTTTTTTAAACAAAAACTTTGTGTTTGCATCTCTTCCCTCAAAGTTATAGGAAAAGGACATAGTTTTCACAGTATGCTTTTATAAGGTTCTCCATTTATTCTGTGCTTACTGTATGCAGGCAGTGTTCTAAGCATTTTACAGATACTTGCTTCCATTTAGTTCTTACAATAATCCTGTGAGGCAAGTATTATGATCACTCCCATGTTAAAGATGGGAAAATTGAGGATCACAAAGATTAAGGAAGTTGTCTCAGAGGGCCCAGCTGGTAAATGAGGGAGTCTGGAGCAGAAACTTAGCTGACTCTGGAACCAGTTCCATACCACATTTAAACATCCTCTATGCTAAGTTGACAATTTACGTATATTTATATAGAATTAAGTAAATTGCACGGGGAGTAGGAGAACAAGAGGCTTTTCTATTTCATTTTGTTTTCTTATCCTTGAAATAAAATGGACACAAAAGGTGTTGTGTCAAGACCATTCAATCAGAATATTTTGTCTCCTGCCTTTCTCAAGGTGCCACATCCTTACTTTTAAATTCTCCATCTCTGGGTCAGATGATCTCAGCTGTCCTTACTGGCGGGCTCTCTGCATCCAGCCTCACCCTCTTTCAATCTGTCCTTTAGAGCAAGCTTTCAGTTACAAAAATCTGATCCCTTCTTGACTCTTGTGAGACGTTGTTATCACTGTCCGCATGTCCTTCAGGCAGGCACCCACAGGTCTGGCCTACCATGTAGAAGCCTCCCTAATCCTGCCCTGGCTAAACATGTGTGCTAATTGTATGTATTTTTATAACAAATACTGAGTTTTGCTGCAAAATATCTTCCTTAAATAAGTCGTTTTTAAAAAGCTGCCATCACATCACACCTCCTATGGCTTTCCAAACATTCTGAGCTGTGTCTCCTCTTGTGTCTCTGTCCTTTGTTCACCTATCATTTAAGCAAAATAGGTGTAGTGTCTAGGGCCCGTGATACTTTTAGGGGCTAAAAAATGTTTTAATTAAAAGAAAAACAATATAATCCACCTTGGATTATATTTATCTTTATACCAATGCAGTCATAATATAACATATATGTTATATACATATAATAAATATATATATTATATATATAACATATAATTATATGTTATATATATAACATATTATATGTTATATATAATAATAAATATATATATGTTATAGATATAATTATATGTTATATATATATAGCATATATAACATATATATATAACATATATATATATTTATTTTACAGAGGACAAGACCCACGAAATCAAAAGTTCCCAAGAGCAATGAAATTTATAATGCCACCCTGACTCTCCCTTCTTTCTGTAAGACCCACAGTCCACATGGAGAAATCCTGCCCATTCTTAAAAAAATATTGGCCAAGTCTCATCTTCCATGAAGCCTTTCCTGACAACTCCTCTGAAGCATTTTAATTAATGCATGTATTTATTCATGTATATATCTACTTTTCTCTTTCATCGGCTCTTCCTCCAAGAAGGCAATTTCAAGCAGAGAGTAAAATAATCCTAGCTAAGAAATAAGAACATTGATTATATGTCAAATCCAACGGTAAGTGCTTTACCCAAGTTCATCTGCTTTAGCCCCATACTATGGGGTAGACATTATTATTATCATCCTTATTTTACATTTGAGAATATGGAGGCTAAGAGAGATTGAAATGTTATCAGTTACAAGTGGCAGAGTGAGGGCTTAAACCCGGGCCTGCTGGTTCTGGAGGCTGAAGTTGGCTGTCTTGGTAGCAGTATACTGGGGAAGAGCCCTCTTCACTGGCTTCATGATTCCAAGTAGAGAGATATCAATACTGTAACATCTTTGGATTTTTTTTTCCATCCTCTACCTCTAGCCCTGGATGGAAGAATGACCATGTGATGCCAAGCCCAGCCACTTTCCTCTTCATCTTCTCCCGTTGGAATTCACCTGTTTGGAGAGAGCACATTCTCTGGTTTGCTCCCTACCATTAGAGAAGTTTGGAAGGCCTGCAGCTCTTCAGCTCCTCCTTTTATGTCTATTTTGATATTCGTGAGGCTAACATACTCAACCATGTCTTCAACTTCTCACACAGTTGTAAAGCTGACACTTCAGTTAGTCTCTCCTTTGCTTTCATATTTGGGCACAGAAGAACAGTGAGAGTTCCTTGGGCTTTTAAAAACACCAACATGCTCCTAATCATAAGACACAAAGATAACTCACAGGAGGATTGGATAAACTATTTTGAAATAGAGAGGACTTTTTAGAAAAGGGGGATTCTGAGCTGAATTTTTAATTGCCAATCTCTGTGTAGCAGAAACACAACATTGGTTTGAAAGTAAAATATTTTAATTCAACATTATATTGAGCTCCAGGATTACACTAACTAATTAAACAGACATCATTCTTAATGGCAGCAGTAGCAGTGGAAAATCTACTAATTTAAAGTACTTACTTACTATTACTTAGGGTATTAACACCTTACATGGTGTATTTCATTTAATTCTCACAGTATCTCTTTGTTAGTAAATACCTTCTGTTTCATAGATGTATAAAGTATTATTCAGAGATGTTAAGTAATCTGCCCAAACAATCAGAAATAACGTAAAACAAAATTATAATTGAGGATTCAACCTATCTTTATATTATTCACGTAGTTATTTTTCACCATCTTGGTGCCTTGAATTCATCTCCTGTAGAGGTCTTATCTCTAGATATTTTGATGATGTGTTCCCCTGTCTGTCTCCTCTAATAGAATGTGAACTCCATGAGGGTAGAAATAGTATTCTACTCCTTTTTTATCTTCTGCTCTTAGCATATTTCATTTCTTCAGTGGTATCTGTCTTTTGAGTTCTGGTATTTGCTAGGTACAATATGCAGTGTGGGCCACAAGCTGGTGAACAAGACAGACATTATATCATTCCTACCCTACGGTGCTGATAGTTTATCAGGGTAAACATAAAATGCACAAGTTAAAAAAATAAGTAACTTAAGATCAATATAAGTACCGTGAGATAAAGAAACATATTGGGTAGGCTGGATAGAGGGAGCATGGACAAGGAAGGCCTCGCTGTAAATTCTAAGTTAAGACTTGAAGGATGGACAAGAGCCAAGTTCAGGGCACACAGATTTCAAGAGGAAGCAAAAAAAATGTGTAAAGGATCTGACACGTGAAAGATCTTGACATGCTCAGAGTTAGAAGATGTGAAGAGTAGCAAATGAAATTTACAGAGCCTTGGGGAGAACTTTGGATTTTAATTCAAGTGCAATAGGCAGACACTAAAAAATAATAAACAAGTAATGATCATAGGGATGAAGAAAAAAGAATGTTGCTAACATTCTTCTGAAGAAAAAAGAATGTTGCTGACATTCTTCTGAAGATAAAATTGACAAAGATTGCAGGTGATTGGTTGCAGGGTGAGGGAGGAGTCAAGGTTGACCTGAGGGAAGGCTTCCAGCATGAGCAACTGGATAAGTAGTGGTACCATTTACTAAGATGGGGAAGGCTGGGGAAGCATAGACTGGAGAGCATACTGGGGCAGGTAGTAAGCATTAGCATGTTTGAGATTACTATCAGATATTCAAGCATGGTTGTAAAAAATTGACAAATGACCACAGCTTATCTCTATTTGGTTACATTATTGCCATTTGTTGGTGGGCATGTTATACACCTGGATGCAGAAATAAGTATGTGCATAAGTCAAAGTAACAAACGTACATCCTTAGAATGGTATTAAAATATAGTCAAATACCTAGTGTAAAAATATTTTACTATGGGTACAATATATTTTCGCACAGGTTGCTCCAGGTTTTTATAACTAGTATAAAAACTGAATTACACAAATTCTCAAATTCATACTATGTGCAGTGGTAATTAGCAATTAAACAGCTGAAAAAATATTTCCACGTTCTAAGACATATGAGTGTGTATGTATCCTAAGGCAACATGTATGTATGTGTGTATGTATGTATGAATAAGACAGGGTCTCACTCTGTCACTAAGGCTGGAGTGCAGTGGTGTGGTCATAAAGCACCTTATAACCAAAGTCCTGGGATCAAGCAATCCTCTTGTCTTAGCCTCCTGAATAGCTGGGACTACAGGTGAGTGCCATTATGTTAGGCTAAGTTTTTAAAAAAATTTTTCTAGAGATGGGTTTTTTTTATGTTGCCCAGGTTGGCTTTTGTTACCTGAACGAAGTATGGAATAGCTCTGACTTCCAAAGATAACAGCTTTTCATTGGCACATCTAAAGATATAAAGATGCACAAATAAATTTCCTAGTTTTTAAAAATTATACTTTAAGTTCTAGGGTACATGTGCACAACGTGCACGTTTGATATATAGGTATACATGTGCCATGTTGGTTTGCTGTACTCATCAACTCGTCATTTACATTAGGTATTTCTCCTAATGCTATCCGATTTAATGAAGCAGATTTTAAGAAGCAGAGATGTTAGGAAGATGTTAAGATGTTCTTTTGGGAGAATAGGGATGTTCCCTATTCTCCCAAGAGCCAGTATACATCCCTATCGAATGTTGGCTTGAAGCTATTTTCAGAAATATTTTTGTATGCTGAAAAAGTGCAATTGTGACTGAAAACAAGAGTAAATCTCCCATCTCTCACCCCTGCCTTGCATTTACTTCAACCATAGTTCTAGAAATCTGGCTTGGAATAGAGCTGAGAGTGAAATATTAAGACACGAGGTTTGCACCTTCAGGATGCAGCTCTTTATCCTCTAACGTATACTCATTTGGACAACAGTAACAATGCAGCTTGCAAAAGGGCAAGGCCACCTTCTAGCTTCTAGCAGGGAACAAGACATATGCAAATGAACATTTACTCTCCTGCTAAGCAAACATGGTCAGTTATTACAATGGGCCAATGAGGGTATAGTAAAACATCACAATATGAAAAATAAACAGAATTTAAATGAAAAAATATTAATCATAGAGCTAAATGCCTGGTATGGAAATATCATTTGAGAACATGGAGGGGACAAATCTCATAATACATTTCCAAATAAATGATGACAGTTTTCATTAGATGTCTGTGAAGGGCATTAAATATATTCTGCTGAAAAATTTTATAAGAGAACTACCTTGCAATTTTGTCAGTGTGGTATTAATATGTTTGACCCAATAGGTAGACTTATAAAATCTATAGTGTAGCTCAGATAAAAATATACATCTTTAGATCTGAATTTTTCCAAGATATCTCTATGTTACTCCGATAAAATATTGATAAGATTGAGATAACAACTATTATAAGAAATAGCTTAGAAATGCCCTAAAAAGACTAAAAATTTGCAATTTCTTTCCCTGCTTTGCCTTATTTTCTCTACTGAAATCTTGTAGACAAGGCTTCTATGTTTCCTCAACACTCTGATTAGGACTGTATTTAAGGCTTCTTTCTGTTTCCCAGTGCTCTGATCCTTGTGAGGACTCAGGACCACTTGTGGCCTTGTGTGAAGGCCATCAGTGGTAACTGAATGGTTCTAAGCACAATTATCTAACTCTGAGACTCTGCTACTTACCTTTCTTTAATGGCTTCCCATTGCCACCTGGATAGCATTCGAACTCCTTAGCCAAGTTTACAGAGCCCTTTCTCACTAGCCCTTATCCATAGCCTCATCTTCTGCCCTCACACATACGAAGAGTCTTCAAAAACTTCATAAAAAATGCATCTCTGCTTCATGAAAAAACTATGCACAGATTTCAAACTTTTTTTTTGCATCAAAATAAACTTATACTAACTTGTTATAACATGTCTGAACAGGATCTAGTTTGAGATACTAAGAAGCATAAGGCATCAGTTTGAAAACAGCCAATATGAGAGCACACGAATTCTGCCAAAAGTGAAGCAAGAACAAACATCAAATACATGGTGAAGCTTGGGTAAAAGAATGCGAAATCATTGATGTTTTACAGAAAGTTTATAAGGACAATGCCTCAAAGAAATCATCAGACTCCAAATGGATCATTCATTTTAAGAAGGGATAAGATGGTATTGAAGATGAAGCCCACAGGGGCAGACCAACCACATCAATTAGTGAGGAAAAATTAGTCCATGCTCTAATTGAAAAGCACTGATGATTAACAGCAGAAACAATAACCAACACCATAGATGTCTCAATTGATTCAGCTTACATAATTCTGACTGAGAAATTAAAGTTGAGCAAACTGTCCACTCAATGGACAAATGCTAAGGAATGCCAAAACCATTACATTTAGATTAACTGCAGATAAAAGCAGAGATTTGAATGGAAATTTTAAAAAGTGTGATCAAGCTCCTGATGCGTGTATTCAAGTAATTATGATGGAACCTGAAACGTGGCTTTACAAGTACAATTCTGAAGACACAGCACAATCAAAGCAATAGCTAGCAAGAGGTGAAAATTGCCCAGTCAAAAGAGCAAAGGTCATGGCAACAGTTTTTTGGGGATGCTGAAGGCATTTTGCTTATTGACTTTCTGAAGCGCCAAAGAATGAAAACATCTGCTTATTATGAGAGTGTTTTGAGAAAGTTAGCCAAGGCTTTAGCAGAAAAACACCCAAGATAACTTCATCAAAAAGTTTTTGTCCACCATAACAATGCTTCTGCTCATTCTCCTTATCATAAAAGGGCAATTTTGCAAGATTTTCTGTAGAAAATCATTAGGCATCCACCTTACAGTTTTGATTTGGCTCCTTCCGACTTCTTTTTGTTTCTTAAAACATCTGTAGAGGTCACTCATTTTTCTTCAGTTGACAATATCAAAAAGACTGCTTTGATATGGTTAAATTCCCAGAAACTTTGGTTCTTCAGGGGTGGACTGAATAGCTAGTATCATTGCTTACAAAAGTGTCTTACTTAAACTTGATGGAGCTTCTATTGAGAAATAAAGTTTATATGTTTTTATTTTTACCTTTTAATTCCATTTTTTAATGTACTTTTTGAAGTCCCCTCATACCTGACAATCCTGCTAGAGCCATTGCCCACATACATTTTTTTCTGACTGTTATATCTCACTATTTCCTTGACCTATGACCTGATTGCCCTTCAAAACCCACACCTAGAAAGGTGTTCACCTAGTTAACTCCTGCTTGTTCTTGTTTTTAGACTCAATCAACTCATCATCTCTTTCAGAGAGCCTGTACCATTTCCATCACTCTGGCATATTGCCAAAGCACCCTACCCTTACCCTGATTATGGCACTTCCATCATGTTATTAAAATTATTTATTTCTATACTTATCTTTATTACAAGACCTAGAGTTGCTTGAATAAAGAAGCTTCATCTTCTATTGCCGTCACCTAGCACACTACCAATGGGTATTCAGTGTGTGTTTTTGCTTGTTTTGTTTTTTGATTGAACAAAACAATTCAATACTCATTTCATTCTACCTTGTCCCAAATCTCCTTGCTCATCACTTGCAGAGATATTCCCTAGCCTTGAAAATAAGAGTGTGTCATTTCAGGGGCAAATCAATAGGCTTCTCTTAAGTAATGGGCAGTTGGAAATAAGAAAGGAGGATTTGCTTTGATCAAGTTAAGGTTACCCTAGAGAGTAAAGTATGACAGTCAAGGTCTGCCACAATGTGACAAAACATGTTAATTTCACAAAGGGAGCCTCTCAGAGTTTTGCAGAGGGAGTAGACATGGTCATCTGGGAGTATACAAAATAGCTCGTAATCCTCCTAAAGTTTCTTTTTCGATTTTGGCAGAGTTGTAATTGACCACCCACACAGGCTAGATAATGTAAAATCTTTTGTGTGTAAACTCCTGGGAAGCCTCATTCAAATGTGGCTAGCATGGAAGGGACAACTTTTGTGTATATATGTGCGTGCACTTTATTTTTAAAAATAGCATTCTAAAATCTGGCTGATAATGAAAATAATAAGCAATGCTAGTTTACAGGTAAACTCACTGCAGTTTTTTTAGAGGCAAACTTCACCAAAAAATGCACAGTTCCTGCATTTCAATCAAACACATCCCTGGAGACTGGTCTTTAATGCTGACCTGGGAAAGTTAGTCTTCCTGAATATGAGCCATTGTCTTTGTCTTATTTGTTACAGGAGGGTGGAGAAATGAAATTACCTGGTAAAAACAAGCAAAGAGGAGTTTAAGTGTCATGAGGCAGCATCCTCGTTTGTGGTGACTTTCATTTCAGTTGGCTTCATGAAACATTTATCATGTAGCTACCATGTGCCAAAGCTAGGTCCTGCCGTTATGGAGGTGAGAATGCCATTGCCTAAAAGACATTAATCAGTAAGTAAGGGCTTGTGTTCTAAGTAAATTCCTACTCTATTAAAAACATTCTTTAAATGCAATTTTCTCAAAAAACAAAAAAAAAAAGCAAAACAAAACACCTGTCTCTGTCCTGGGTCCCACAGCACCCTGTTCATTGCTGTATTCTGCCTAGTAAATGTTAGTGATTATTATTATTATGCTCTTTCTCACAATATTCTGATATTGTTGGCTTCTGGGTTTTCCTGTAGACTAGAATCTCCTTAGAAAAAAGGGGCTGTGGTGAAGTAGGCAGGAACATGGATGCTGCTTTATAGCACATGGGTTCAAATCTGAAGTCTGCATTTATTAGATGAGTGATTTCAGGCAAGGTATTTAATAGCTCTGTGCCTCAGTTTCCCCACCTGTAAAATGGGAATAATATTACCCACTTCAAATGGCTGTAATTATGACAAATGAGTTGATATATGTATATGTTTAGAACAGTGCTTTACAGGGAGTAAGCACTCAGTAATATTAGCTATTTGAAATTTTCATACATACACACAAAGTACCTGGCTCTGTGTAAAAGCTGCTTGTCTACACTGCCAGTTCTAGCTTTTAGCTTAAGGTCTTACCTATAATAGATGTTAGTATGCATTGTTAGTTGGTGTTTCCACTAACCTTGTCTAAGAGAGAAACCTGGGACTTATCCTCAAAAACATCCTCACCCTTTCCCTCCACATCCCATCTGGCATCCACCTTCTTCATTCTAACTCCACGCCAGCTCTTTAGTCATGCTCCATCATCCCTCTCGCCACTGCTGTAGTTTAAGTTCTCATCACTGCATGCCTGGACACTGCAGGAATCTTGAAATTGTTCTGTGTCCTTCTACTTTGATACCATGTGGTCAATTTTCAATGTCACAATCTGAGAGGTCTTTAAAAATATGAAACAGGTAAAATCACACCCCAGCGGAAAACTTTTAATGGGTTTTCCTGAGACTGAAAACAAAAGTCTTAATGTGGTTATAGAACTAGAATGTGATCTTATCCCTCATCAGCACCTCAGCTTCACCTTGGGTTGCCTGTGAGTCTGTTACCATTTCCTTGAAGGTAGTGATCTCTGCCTTCTCTCAGGATCTTCCATTTGCTTGGAATGCTCTTTCTCTTGACTGTTTCTATCTTTTAGGGCTTAGCCTAAAACTCACTTGTGCAGAGAAGCCTTCCCTGGCTCCCCATCCTCACCATACCCAGTCATTACCTAGCCCTCCCCTTCACGTCAGCTAGCACGGTTTGTGTGCACACAGACTTATCTGAGAGATTGTTTTTCATTGTTCATCTCTCCACCAGTTTGTAAGTTTCACAAGGACAGGTGCTATGTTTGTTTCATCCAGTTTATCCTCAATGCTTAGCAAAATTCTTGGTGCTCAATAAATAATTAGCAAGCAAATGAATGTCCAATAACTATTTAATAAATGTATAGGTTGCAGCAATGAATGAACTATAATAAAATATTTTAGATCTGCTCTGTAACAAACACTAGGGCTCTGATATGCTTTGCTTATTTTCTTTTCTCTGCCTGTCATGATTTTACTGCTGAAGGAGCTATATTACAAAACATCTAAATACAGAGAAAGGGCCATTTCCACTCAGAGGAAATTAAATGTATCTTTGATCTCAGTCACTGGAAGTTCCTGTGAAAAAAAAAAACCCCAAATTCATTCCTGCAAAGAAGCTCTCGGCAGTGAGCAGTGTACATCATGTCTGGTCTTGTTGTGATGTGTGTGTATGAATATATGTAGAATCATTTCCAGCCTTCCAGAAACCATATTTCAAGAAGCCTATATTAAAACACTCATAAAATACTAATTCAGCCAATAACTATACATGGCAGTGACCTGGGGTGAGAAGGACAAGAAGTGAATTAGATGTGCAGAGATGAGAACATTGAGACCCTGAACAAGACTAGGTGAAAAATGAAAGTTATACATATATATGGAATTGAAGACTGATTAGAGACCCGGAGAAGGTTAGAGATGACAGGAATCTTCATGAATATTTGATAGAAAATAAGAAGAGGACAGTAACACAGGGCTGAAGATAGAGGTTTAGAATCAGACAGACCTGTGTTCAAATCGTGGCTTTGCTACTTATAGCTTTGAGATTTTGGCCAAATTATTTGACCTTCCATATTTGCAATTTATTATCTAAAAATAGAGACAATAATACTTTTCTTAGAAGATTTTTGTGTGACATATATAGCATAATGCACATAATAATATAATGTATGTAGCACAGTGCTAGGCATACTCTGAGTCCTCAACAAGGGTTGTTGTTATTATATAAATCTATTATTTTATGAATGGAAAATATAGGAGGGACTCAAAGGGAAAACACAATTTGCCAAATGCTATATGACAAGGTAGAGATCAGACAAGGACTGTCATATATGCCTAATAATTGCCGGGTTTTTATTCCTTTCTCCTCCCTACTCCTCCTTTCCCTTCCTATCCTTCCTCACACACATTATAGAAGATAACAGCAACAGGTGGAGGACAATGCAAAAGCCACTAAAAGGATTTTCTGGTTTTGGCAATATGTCTATTAAACGACTTAATTTGAGAAACTTCCTGTTATTAGCAACCCCCGTTATGGCATGTATATAAACTGAAAAAAGATAAAAAAAATTCTTTATATGCTTAAGCTCAGTTTGAAATAAAGAAATTTAATTCTTCAGTTTCAGGAAATGCAGTGAGAGCTGAACACAATCTGAGAGCTGATAATTTAGCTGCCTGGAGCCAAGACAGGGATGGGAATACAGTCAGTTTCTATAATATTTCATTACAACTTGAGGACATGAGATGATATCTTGGTCCTGGATGAGACAGGTAGTTTTAACCGAGACTTTTGTATAAATCTAGGGCTGTAAAGGATGGGATAGAAAAAAGCCAGTTTTCCATGTGGCAGAGGAGATGCAGAGAGATTGTGTGCAAGTTCATGTTGTAGCTTGTGTCTAAACTCTAGTTGAGAAAAAAGACAAATATTTAAATCTTGAATCTATGTTTCATGTAGATTTGAGGTTCAAATGTAAGTAGGGGGGTAAACTTTGCATCAGGAAACTTCAAGCTGAAAAATTAGTATGATTGGTTGTAGTTTAGCGATGCTCATTCAATGCATGGTAGACAAAAAATGCAAAAGCACTTCTGCAAAGAGAATCTTTCAATAACAATGATTAGTAGCCTGAGAACACTGTTAATAGAAGAATGTAAAAAGAATAATAAATTAAGTATACTTAAATAATTACAAATATTAAAAAATAAATTTAAACTATAAGTCAATAATAAAACAAACAGGTGTGATAAAGAACTAAGTAGAACTTCTAGATACAAAAAAATGCAATGCATGACTACCAAAAATTAAACAAAAGATTAGAGACAGAAAAAGAGAAAGTGAACTGAAATGTATCTAAGGAAACTGTTCCGAATGCAGTACTGAGAGAAAAAAAAGACTAAAAATACAAAAATGATTAAAGAAA
Source organism: Homo sapiens (assembly GCF_000001405.40). Lineage (NCBI taxonomy): Eukaryota > Metazoa > Chordata > Mammalia > Primates > Hominidae > Homo > Homo sapiens. The sequence goes on from NC_000011.10 coordinate 79,835,986, forward strand.
AATAGAAAAAAAGAGTAAGAAAATCCAAAAGTATTTCTCATAGTAGTTTGAAAATAGAAAATAGAAGAAATGTGGGAGTGTGGGTGATGCAATATTTAAAGAAATCATTACCAAGAACTTTGTAAAACTGGCAAAAGCCATTATCCCTTACATTTAAAGTCCAGTGAACTTCATGCAGAATAAACAAAATAAACCTAGACCTAGAACTAGCATAGAAAATTACGGAATACCGAAACAGAGAGAAATCATTAAGATAACATTTTAAAAAGACAGATTACTTAGAAAGAAATTACTGCTAATCTGAGATATGACTTCTCATTAGCAGACAAGAGGCTAGGGGAAATGGAATAGTATTTTTAAAGGCTTGAAAACATAAAATTATTACAACAGAATTCTATACTCAGATAAAGTTCATTCCAAAGTAAAGACAAATAAAGTTTGTAGTTACATTCGAACTGAAGTAATTTTTCACTTATAAACTTTAGATGAAAATTATAATAGGGTATATGTTAAGAAAAAGAAAATAGAACCTAGAATGAAGCCATGAGATAAAGAAATGGTGAGTATAAAGTCTGGTTAACACATGGATAAGCCTAAGATAAAGACTGATTATACAAATGACAATAATACTTAATTTAGGGAGAGTAAAACAGAAAACTAAAATACTAGAGAACAATAGTAGGTGATACAGAAGAAAATGACTTGGCACAATGTGTTCTAAGATCCTTATGCTGCTAGAAAGGATGGTGAAGATACTGATTAACTTCAAAAACGTTAAGGTAGTCAACAAAATAGTAGAAAAAAAGCATGCATACATTCTTAGAAAATTGAAGGGTGTAAAAAAGGCAAAATAAAGAAAACTTTATCAATTTAACAGAAGATTAAAAAAGGAGGGAAACCAAGAAGAAGAAAGATGTTAAACAAATAGATAATAATCATAATAAATATAAATGTATTTATTATGTAATATATAACATTCTGTATTAAATGTATTTATTATGTAATATATAACATATTATATATATTACATAATAAATATAAATAGTCTAAACTTGACTTTTCACAAGAGACACAACTAAAACATAAAAATACAAAATGGCTAAAAATACAGATATGAGAAAAAGATATGTTAGAAAAAATATAAGCTGATCAAGTAAAATTGGTATAGATATAATAACAGATAAAGTAGTCTTTAGGGCAAAATGAATTACTAGGAATAAAGGGTCATCATATAACAAGTAAAATGATCTCTCAGGGAGTCTGATATAATAGAGTTGACTTAAAATATGTAAAGCCAAAATTGAGAGAACTACAAAGAGAAGTTGGCAAGTCCATAGTCATATTTGATAGATTTTAATGAAATTATCTTGGTAATTAATAGATGAAAGAAATAAAAAATTATTAAAACTATAGTAGTGATAAACATTAGCAAGCACGATCTAATTAACCACACTAGAGAACATATTCTTTTTGAGCATACATGTTATATTTCAAAAGGTTGATTGTGTACTATAAAACAAAGCAAATCTCAATATATACTAATGAATCAGTATCACGGAATACAATGTCTTTCCATGATGCAAAAAAAGAAGGAATATCAATAGCAAAGTACATTTATAAATTCACTGTGAGGTTGACAATTATAAAACACAATTCTAATTAACTAATGAATTAAAGAAAAAGTAGAGTGGAAATTAGAATATACTTAAAAATGGATGATAATAAAAATAATACATTTCAAAACTTGTGTTGTATAGCTAATGCAGTTCTTGGGGGGAATTTATGGCCATTACATGCTTATATTAGAAAAGAAGCAGGCTGAAAATTAGCTGAGCATTCAACTACAGTATTAAGATAATTAAACAATAAGAGAATAAACACCTATAACAGAAAGTAACAATAAAATATATTAACAAAAATGTGTGAAACAAAAGGTAAATATAAAGTGGAAAAGAATAAAATGCCCAAAGTTTGCAAATTGAAAGGACCAAGAAAATTACAAAATAAGAAACTTTTTGCAATATTGATCAAGAAAACAAGACACAAAGAAGTAGATTAGAAACAAAAGGGTAATAAAACAGTGCACAGATCAGAAAATTTAAATGGGGATACTGTTTTAAAATACATTACCCCCCAAAATTTAAAAAATTAGATAAAACAGAAAATTCCCTAGAAAAATTATAACCTACTATTACTGACTGAAGGTGAAATTTTCTACCTGCACAGGCTATTAATCATTAAATAAATTGAAAAAGTAGTTCAAAACATCCACATATTTTTTCTTCCACCTGAATAGCTCTACTTGGCTCACAAGTTCTTCATATACAGAATTTCAAAAAAGCCACCATTCTGTTTGCTTTGCCTTGGCACACTATCTGTGTCTTCTTTTCAGTTTTATTTTTTACATTGCTAAGCTCTGTTTGGTCTTCTTCTTTTCCCAATTACATAAACAGCACTTGCTTTGTGCCAGGCTCTGTTCTAGGTACTTGTGATAAAAAATGAATTAGACATGGTTCCTGCCTCAGAGGGACTCACAGTCTAGTAGAAGTTCAGATAAGTCACCAATAATGTAAGAAAGTTAAAGACATTGTGGTATGGGGCATTCTATTAGGCTGGTAGAAAAGTCATCGCGGCTTTTGTCATTACCGCAATTACTTTTGCACCAACCTAATAAGTACAGGTTGAGAATGTATACAGTCGTTCTGGATCTGGATCTTCCAAAATGCTATATAGTGTTAGAAGTGAAGAGGTCACACTTTATCAATTTTTTTTTTCTTATTTACATGTTTAAGATTTTAAAGTTCTTGTTTGGAAATAATTTTAAACTTATAGAAAAGGTACAAGGACATTACAGAAACAAAGAACTCCTGAAAGGATCAACTTAAATCTTAACCTATCAGCCTGGAGGACTGCACCCCACTCTACATGGCATGGGGAGGGGAACACATCAAAGGGAGAAACTTCCATTAGAGTTCAGCCCTCTGAAAAATGTGTCCCCAGGTGTTCCGGGGAGGGAGAATCCATTATCACGTAGCATCAAAAAACAACACTTTGTTGCCCATGCTCTCTTAAACTTATATTTATCTGGTTATCCAGCTCCTCCTGATTTCAAAATTTTCTTCACCCAAGATGTCTGGGAGTGTCTAAAAAGTGTCCTTTCAAATGTAAAGGATTCTTAAATTTAGTGCCACGCACAGTCAAATAAATAGGAAAATGACATTTCTCTTTTTTTACACTGGTTTTTAAATACCTTTCGCAAAAGGTCAATTCTGGAATTAGTTTGATACAGAAATAATACTTTAGGAAAAATATATTCAAAGAGAATATTTGCTAAAGAAACTATGCCATCAGTGGTCCAGGGGAAATAAATCAGTCACAGAAGCACTACACAACTTTGTTCTTCTAATTATAGGGCCCCATGGGACCCCCAGTTAGGCAAGTGGCCTCTCTTCCATTTTACTCTTGTTTCTTTGGTGAATTCATTTTGGATAAGTATGCCTTAAACTTTCAGCCGGACTTGAGAAAATACCTGTATTTCTCACAGTTTTTTTCATTGCAGGCATTTTAAGCCCTATTATTTTAAAAGAAAATAAACGTTGTAAAATTGTTGATGATAGAGATTTCTCTGTGTGGAGTATTTTATGATCCATAGAAGAGAATTTTATATAATGCCAGTGTAGAGAAAATATTTGAGTTACAGGAACATCTGGCTGACTGTTGGTCACAGGAACTAGGTAAGATTGAATAGAAGCTCATTAGTAGGTTTCAACCCTCAAGCTTTTTCCTGTTCTTCAATTCCTTAATCACTTTATTCTTGATTTTCTTTGATTGGAGATTTTGGAGCATCAGCATCCTATTGTATGACTAATCTTCCCAGGAGATGTTGAGTCTTTCTCTCCTTTCACATTTCACATGTGGCATGAGCCTCTTTTTCCAATGGAAGGGACCAGGCACCAAGTAAACCCCAGATAATAGCTCACAGTTTCCTCCACTGACTTCTTAACAGATCACCTCATCCTCTGTTTTAAAATAATCAATGCTTGGACTTTTCAGGAATTTGGAATGGTTTTTAACTATGGTTACTGATATGGTTTGGCTCTGTGTCCCCATCCCAATCTCATCTTGAATTGCAGTCCCCATGTGGGGCGGACCCAGTGGGAGGTAATTGAAACATGGGGGTAGTTACCTCCGTGCTGTTCTGGTGATAGTGAGCTCTCATGAGATCTAATGATTTTATAAGGAACTTTTCCCCTTTTGCTTGGCATTTCTTCTTCCTGCCATCATATGAAGAAGGATGTGTTTGCTTCCCCTTCTGCCATGATTGTTAAGTTTCCTGAGGACTCTCCCACCGTGATGAACTGTGAGTCCATTAAACCTCTTTCCTTTATAAATTTCCCAGTCCCACTTATGTCTTAATTAGCAGTGTAAGAATGGATTAATACAGTTACACATTAGGGTCAACCAGAGAGCTTTTAAAAACCCCAGTGCCGGGCGGGCGCGGTGGTTCACGCATGTAATCCCAGCACTTTGGGAGGCCGGGGCGGGCTGATCGAGACCATCCTGGCTAACATGGTGAAACCTTGTCTCTACTAAAAATACAAAAAATTAGCCAGGCGTGGTGGCGGGCGCCTGTAGTCCCAGCTACTCGGGAGGCTGAGGCAGGAGAATGGCGTGAACCCAGGAGGCAGAGCTTGCAGTGAGCCGAAATCGCGCCACTGCACTCCCGCCTGGGCAACAGAGCCAGACTCCGTCTCAAAAAAAAAAAAAAACCAAATTCCAGGTCATACCCCAGGTCAATTAAGTCAGAATTTCTGAGGGTGGAAACCAGGAATCGGTAATTCTTTTTTTTTCCCTAAATCAACTCCGCATGGATTACGTATCAGTCATTCTTAAAGCTTCCGGGTAGTACCAACAACATGCAGCCACAGTAAACAGCCCATGTCTAGGGCAGTATTTCTTAAACCTGAGTAAGCATAGAGATAACCTGGGCATCTTGTATATAGGCACGTTCTGATTTATTTCATCGGAGGTGGGGCCTGAGAGTCTGCATCTCTGTGGTGCTCAAAGGTGATGTTGATGCTCCTAGTCCACAGATACGCTTTAAGTAGCAAGGTACTCAGATAAGCTAAGTCGGCACGTGCCTTCCTCCGTTCTCCTTAATGAGACAGAGTGTTGTCTCATTAAGACTGGATCTGTTTTATGGTGGACATTGGTGCAGACAGGATGTAGACAATATTGCAGTGACTCAACTTCACCATCTTGGAGCTTCATGGGACTCTAGGGCCCCAGTAAGTTTCCATAAACTTCTAGGGTGAAACTTACAGGAAAAGTGATTTTCTTAACTCTCCATATTCAGGAGAGGAGACTGCCCCACCCCTCATTATAATTCCCCTAAGAGGTAGGATCAGGTGCCTGCATCTGTAGGAGAAGTTAAGGAAAGAGTGTTTTAGACACTGTAAGACAAGAAGACTGGTTTCTAATGTGTTTACTGAAAAATAAACCCTGTTGACACAGACGGGGCTTGAGGGCTTGACGGTTTTTTAAAACTGATGTTTCATAGAAGCAGAAACAACTTTTTCCTAGCGGAGCAACCATAAAGACTATGGGGGTAGGTTGTGTTTGAGCAGAATGAGAAAAATTTGGCTGAATAGCAGTACCTCGGGTGAACTGTATCAGCCTTTCCTCTGGAGAAGTTCAGCATTCTAGCTTCCGTTTCTGTGAACATTCTAATGAATAATAATAAAAATAAAATACTTCTTTATGCTATTTACAGAAGTAAGCCAATTCTTTGTTTAAAACAAAATGCATAACAATTCACAAGAGACAGTTTTTATATCCTCATTTAACCTGCTGCCTCTAGCGGACCTCAGAAGGAACAAATGAAGTTCATCTTTCACTGCTTTCAAAAATGCTTCCTCAAGCAGTTAATCAGATAAAATGGCCATACAGCTCGGTAGGATATACAAGAATAAGCCTGGATTTTGAAGTCAAACTGTAAACTGTGGCTTTGATCCTTATTCCCTGTGTGGCCTGGGCATGTTTCTTAACCCCTCAAAGTCTCTAATTTTCATCTGCAAAATGGATAAAACTCCAAGTTCATATCAATGGCTTTAATCAGTCATAGCTATTAGTACTTTCAAAAATTGTATTGCTTCTTGATACTTTGTTTTCTTGAAATTAATTAATCCTAGACATAAAAGGATGTTAAAGATTATCAGGTAGCTGGGAACTATTAATATTTGAAAGGTTCTTAGGCTAAGACTCAGATTCTGGGAAATGAAAGTCTAAGTTGCAAAATATTGAGTATTTAGCACTCAGGGTAGGAAAAGCACATGGTCATTATTTAGTAAACATTTTTTCCTTCCCATTTCCTTCTTCCTTCCGTGATGGATTTGGCATAAGGGTCTCAAGCCTAGGTGAACCCACAAGCAGTTTGACCTGGGGCAGAGACCACTGTGTAGGCTTTGCCTGAGGGTGGGTGGCAAAGGAGACTTCATCTCAGGAAGAGTGAAGAGTGGGGTCTCCAGGGAAACCAGAGCACGTCAGCCCTTCCTCTGCATTTCCCCAGAGCAGGCAGAACTCAGCTCCCTGTCTTCTGCGGGCCCGGCTTGTGTGGGCCGCTTTTTCAAGGTACTCTGGGTTTTCTGTAATGGGAATCTCAACAGATGAGTTGTACAGTGCAATTATGTACATGAATTTGCCATTTCCTATTCTCAGGTTGAATATTTCATACTTGAGAACATGCATAAAATGCAGTGGCCTTAGGTTTATTCTTCTTCCAGGGAGGTTACCTCTTCAGCCTAAAAAATCTCACAAGATGATGATGGTTTTGTTTATTCAATTTAAACTTTGAACTGTAGCTTATTTTCAATCTTCTGTAACATTAATTTGCAGATTGGATCTAATATTTTGTATTTTGAAAAACACTGCTCTCTGAAAAGAAATTAAACACATTGTCTTTCATAAAATTTTAGCCTCAGAACAAATGTCTATTTTTACAGGACCTAAATGTAGTTTTAGTTCCTCCCTAAAGAAAGTTAGGTTTTACTCAAAGAAGGAAAGGATCACAGAAGAAGGATGAGAAAGAGAAATTTAGAAGTGAATCTTTGTCTTTTATGATGGTTAGCCATTCACTGATGGCTGAAATTCTAGATAAAAAGATACTCATTTTGATGAGGGTAACTACTGTGTGCCAGACACAGCTAATGAGAGTTAGTTAACTATTTATTGTATGCCAGGAATTATTCTAGGCCATTTTTATAGCTTTTCCATTTACTTTCCACAGTAGCTTAGTGAAGTAGGCATTAGTTACTCATCTACAGAAATAGGTGAGGGAATTGATTGTTATAGTTTCAATATATTCCCTGAGATTTACAGCTAATCAGTGGTTGAGCCAGAATCAAATCCAGATCTTTATATTAATAATACTGTGTGAAAAGATGACCCTTCAAATGTTAGCAGCTTTTCTCCCTCACTTACTGCCTACTGCTGCTTGGCTGTGATTTGTCTTCAAATCCATACAATTCTATGCCTCAGGTTAAAGGCACAGCCCTGGCTTATCTCATAGAAAAGAGAGAAGACAGAGAATG